>NT_113891.3:4500000-4795265 GCF_000001405.40 Homo sapiens
AGAGCACATAAATCCTACCCTCAGAGTCACTGAGCAGTTAACATTACAAATTACAAACCATATCCAATCAGAGTCATTCTCTTTCCTGCTTGTCGCCTGTACTCATGTTACAGGTTAGGGCAGTACCCCGAGTGGAGTGAACAATCTCTGGACTAACTTGTCAGGATCAGAAGCTGAGGTATCTGCACCCACATTACAGGAATAGGATATGTGCTCCTAGGGAACTGAGGGTGTCAGGAGATGAGGAAAGTCCCTGGAGTCACAGAAAGAAGGTATCAGATGTGTCTCACTCTGACATATGCAGGTGTTTATGAAACTCTGGGATTTCTAAGGAAGGATGCAGTGCAGAGACAGGTCCCAGAGGAGACAAGAGCTGAGAGACCATCCAAACTGGGGACCACTTTGTCACTAGACTTCAAATTTTCAATATTTATAGAGTGTTTTCTAAGAGTCAGGCCCTTTGCTGAGTGCTATGTGCAGCAGGATCAAAGGCAGCCAGGAGGTAGAGGAGTCTTGAGGTACATCAGTCATTGGAGTTGAAGAGCAGAGATTCAAAGGAAAGCTGGAACTGGAGCTTTAAAGGAGATGTGAAGTGGGTGACTCAACCTCTGACTCAGAAAAATTGATACCTGCAGAAGAAAAAACCCGGCGGGCTTAGGACTCCCAGCTGAGTGTTGTATCCTCCATCCCCTTCCACCTGGTCCCTTTATTTTCTACCCCTCACAGTCCCCTAAGGAGAAGGTGGCCCACCCAACAGATGATGCTGCCTCAGATGGTTATCAAGGGGTACCCTAAGAAGAAATCATCTCACCCTCTCTTTGTCCCCATTTGTCAAGTAGCAGTGAGGCCGAGCCAGGGGATGGTGAAAGTGGAAGGAGGTGGGAGTTGGGCATTGGGTGTGAAGATGCTCTTTAAAGGGGTTTTAATAACCACTTGCTACCAGGCCAGTGAACACTTACCATAGTTGATGCCTTTTGAGCATGTTGCATTGTAAACTGTCCCTGAAATTCCTGTGCACTTGGCTTATGGGATGAAACATCCTCCTAGTTCTCTTGTCTCTCAGCTTCTCTGAAGTCTCATTGAGCACCTTCTCTTCAATTTCTTTTACACAGTAAGAATAGGATCAGCTGTGCTAAACTAACAAATACCCAGATATCCAGGTTTGGCTCATGCTACACGTCCAAAGTAAGTCATCCAGGAAGCTCTGCTTATCATCGTACTCAGGAAGCCAGGCTGACAGGCTTTCTCCTGCACATCTGCTCCCAGAACCTCCCCAGCAGAATGAAGGGAACCTAAGAATTTATTCACTGGCTTTTAATGATCCCTCCTAGAAAGAACACACTTCTCGCATTTCATTTTCCAATGTAAATCATATGGCTGCAACTAACTTCAAATAAGTGGGAATACTTGAAGGTGGAAAACATTTAAGAAGTACATACTAAATAAATAATAAAATACTTCTACAAGAGATATTTATGGAGGACCTACTGTGTACCAGGAGCAATGCTGGCATTATGGATATCAGCAGCCTTTGGCTCCTGAAAAGCTTACACACTACCTCCTGGCCTAAGGAGGGGCACAGGGATGCTGGCAACAGTCTATTTCTTCACCCGGGTACTAGTTACATGGGTGCTTGCGGTGATAACTATTCAACATACATTCTATTGGTTTGTGTGTTTCTTCCAAATGTCCCCTAGTTCACAATAAAAAGGGCTTAAATAGAGAAGTAAAGGAGAATTTGGGAATTTGAAGCAAAAGCAAGAAGCCACTGAATCAAGCACAAATATTGAGCTTTGATAAAGATTGGAATAAGAAACATAATAAATGAGATAAGAAATAGGACTTTTGCAACTGAAGTGTAATTAATAAACAAAAAGCCAAACTGAGAAACTGTCCCAAGGACAATATGATCGAGTAAACAATAGAAAATGTAAAGGACAAGTGAAGAGAAATGAAGGATAGAAACAGACATCTGACATCTTAATAATTAGACGTCTAGAAAGTCAGGGAAATAGTGGAGGAAGAGGAAATAACTGAAAACATAATAGATGTTTAGTCTTTATAGAAAGATGAAATAAGTTCATTCAAAATGCTGCATAGAATGTCAGATTGTTAAACAATTTTGTTAGAGTAAAATGACTGTAAACAAATGAGCTAATTATGTGAATTAAGAGGATGGAAAAGCAGAAAAACAGCAAAAAGAAAATACATGTAAATAATAAGGACAAAAGCTGAATTCAATGAAATATAAAAATAGAGAAGACAAAATCAAATTTTGAGGCAATGAAAACTTTAATGAGACCTCTGGCAAGACTCCTAAGGAAAATACAGGAGATTCAGAACGAAAAGGGTAAATGACATTTATACACATTTTAAAATGCAAAATCTTACGACCAACTCTATACATATAAATTTGAAAATTTAGATAAAAAGGATACGTTTCTAGAAAGATATAAAGGTCAAAACTACAGGAAGAAATAGAAAACTAAAATAGAGTAGAGAATATCAAAGAAATTGTCATGGGAAGCAAAGAATCGCCTTCCAAAGGGCCCTGTCCTGATCTTATTGCAGATGAGGGCGTCCTCCCACATTTCCAGGAGCAGATCATGCCTCTTACACGTGTGATTCTAGAACATAGAATGGAACAGAATTTTTGAGATCATTTTATGAGGTTGGTTCATTTATATTTCCAGAGCCAGCTAAGAATAGTACAGGAGAACAGGATTGTGGACTAATTTTAGCCATGTCACTGAATCCAACAGTACATTACAAAAACAATACGTTTTGACCAATTTTAGATTTATTCTAGGAATGCAATGATTCTTCAGTGTCAGAAAATATATAATGTGGTTAACACATTAGTGGACTCTGCAAAATTCATATTAATTTAAACTGAATTCAGCTCAAGACATAGACAGAATTTAATCAATTTCATGACATGTTAAAGGTAGTGAACCAAAAATCTATAGCATATATATTTCAAAGAAATGAGGTGGATTGCCTTTGAGATTGTGCAAAAGATAGGATGTCCTTCGTTGCTGGAAATGTTTAACATAGCATTGGAAGTTCTGAACATCACTCTGCGGGCAGAAGAAAATTAAGGCTGTGTAAAATGTAGGAAGACAGATAGTGACTGCAGATGAAATAATCTAAATACTGGACAAGACTGCAGCCACTGCAGGCCCAAAGCCTGGGTTTAAATCCAAGCTTTGCACTTTGAAGCTGTGTGGTCTTCACCTCTCCCGGTGTCTGATTCCCGCTCTGTAACATGAAATAAATAAGAACCAACCTCCAGATGTAAATAAGTGAACACATGAGAAGCACTTAGAATCGTGCCTAGAACATAGTAAGCAACTCAATGAATGTCATTTCTCATTACATTTGTTAATGTTTTTATCCAGCCCAATGGCAGTAAAACATCAATGCTCAAAGAGCCCCTGGTGAAGTGTTTCTCTTTCCCACTCTTCACCCCTAACTTGTTACCTCGTCTTTTCCACTCTGTCCCTAATACACCTATAGGATGACTCATAGGAGCCCCTGGACCCGGGGATGCTGTCAGATCGCTTGGTCTTTGAGACAATGGTGCCATTAAGGACCCCCGCCAGGCCCACCAGCAGGCCCAGGGCACAGACCAGCATCTCCATGGTCTCAGGCACCTGGATTAGTTCATGGACCTCTGGGGCACCAAGGGAAGACAGAGTTATAAGGTACAGAGAGCAGGGGCTGGCCTTGGATGTGGGAGGTGTTGGGTATTCGAAACCATGAGATGGTGAAATTTGGATAAAGTGACCGTAAAACATGGGATTGAGGAAGGCAGGTGCTGAGGGGCGATGGGCCCAGGAAATAAAGGTGGTGCCAAGGCCGTGAGGGCAGAGGGAGGGCGCTCCATACCCCAGTGCCTGAGGAGAGGCTGGTGCAGGCCCCAGTGCTCCCCCTGGAGGTCACAGGTGTCCTCGGCCATGGGAACGAGGGTCAGATAGTGGAACCTGTGGAATCTGAGTTTCTTGCTGGGCAGGAAGATGGTCTCTGCAATACCCTCAATGACTGGCTCCCCATTGCACAGCCACGTGATGTTCAGCACTGGTGGGAAGAACTTGTCAACATGGCAGACGAGGGTGTTGGGCTGGCCCAGATCCACAGGCTCCTTGGGAAAGACGCTTACCTCGGTGGGGGCTCCAAAAGGGGATAGAACCCAAGGAGCCTACTGCCATTGGCTGATTCTTAAAGGTTCCACCACCCCAAGTCCTATATTCACCAGATTAGGGGCCACCTCTCCCAGGCCCATCCTCCTGCTCCCCTAGGGCTCCTGGACAGGGTCACAGCTTCTCGTGCTCCTGACCTGGCCCCCTCAGCCCAGCCTTTCTCTTGAGTAAGAAGAAAATGCCTCCTCCTCTGCTGTCCTAAGAACCCAGCTGTGTGGACCCAAGATTTCTCGCTCTCAGGGAAGGGGCTCATTCATGAGTGGGCATCATGGCCTCTAGTTCTATGTGTGGCAGAGAGGCCCTCCCATCCCTCCAGCTGGACTCTAGAGGAACAGGCAGCTATAGGCAGTGCCATTTGTGGCCCAAGTCTGTTTGGACCATTGATCCGGGTGTTCAAGTGCTTCCTTGCCATGACGATGCCAGCAATACCCCTCTGAGAGGAACAGGCAGCTATAGGCAGTGCCATTTGTGGCCCAAGTCTGTTTGGACCATTGATCCGGGTGTTCAAGTGCTTCCTTGCCATGACGATGCCAGCAATACCCCTCTGAGCACCAAAGTCAAAGGTGTGAATAAACTCTGGTAGAGGCCAGACCATCTCCTTCTCATCCAGGTTCACGTAGAACTGCTCCTCCTCATCAAATTCAAACATATACTCCCCAGAGGGTCTGTGCGTCTGCACAAACTCTGCATATGTTGACACATGGTCTGCTGCATGAAGGAGAAGATGGAGAATGGGTGAATATGTAGGATGCTACACAGAATGCAGGAAGCAAACAGGTAACAGGAAGGTTATTGGGAACATGAAGGAATAACACAGAAAATGAGAAATGCAAATGAAAGAAAAGAAAAGGAGTGAGAAGAAACAAAGACAGAAATGACCCATGGACGATATAGGTTGTTTCCCTTGTCCCTGAAGACTTAACATCCGTCTATGATAATGGTAATGCTGAATACAGTAAGATAATATTTATTGGGCACTTACTATGTGCTAAACTTACTCATTGAATCTTCACACCCCCATGCAGAAGAACTTATTTTCCATAGTAGGGAACTGACCCCAGAGGTAAAGTAACTTGTCCAAGTCACACAACTCCTGGTAGAAACAATATTGAGTAGTCCTCCTACCTCATTCCTGTAGGATCTCAGAAACCCTACAGGACAATACATTAAAAATTACTGATATAGCCATAAAGCAAGGCAGGGAAGTGGAAGGATGGAATAAATATTTCAGAGTGGAACAAAATCGTGAAGGACATGAAAATACCTCCAGAGTCTTAGTGACATTTATAGACTTCAAGTTACATTCTTACTTTTAGAAGAAAAATGATACCTTCTATAATTTTATCCACAACACTTACATTTTAGGCAGAGTAAATTTAAAAGTATTATCATTCACATAACATTCACAAAATTGTCTTGAGGAGTGTAGTTTTCAAGTGTAGTTTCACCTGGAAATACAAGTTGTTGGCATTTGAAAGACCTACGGGATAGTATCTTAGCTTTACCTGATACATAAGAAGCAGCAACTGGTTGATAACAAAAAGTGAATTATTATTACAGTGAATTACAGAGAGTTTAGGGTTCGGCCTGGAAGAGGAAGTGAAGCCAAATGACACTGCATGGTTGGTGGTCCCTAAGTGAGGATTTCCCCTCCCAGCCCAGCACGGGGAGAACCAGTCCTCTACTTAGATGCATAGTGTGACAGCAGGTTCAGTGCCGCACACGGATGGTGAGGGTCCCTCACTGAGTTTAGGGTCTAGAGGATTACTCACCTACAGAAATGAATCCCAAAGGAAAAAGAAAAATACATGGTGTATAGACTGGGCTACACAGCTTAGGTCACTTTGTATTTATTATATTTACAAAATCTGAAAACTAAAGGTTGGCACATTTTGAAGCAAATTCCACACTTCAAATGTTAATTTTCATTCAGTTAATAAATGCTTTTTGTGAACTTTCACTCTCTAGGTAATAAGGATGAAACTCTAAAGATGGGAACTTTGTCCTTAATCTACTTGAAATTCAAGAATAAAACAGACAAAGAAAAGATGATTGCTACATGTGTGGTTTGATCACCACTGAGTATCACAAGGTATACACAAGAGCTACTCAGGAGCAAAATTAAAATACGATTTAGGAAAGGTTCCTAGGGACAGTGTTCACCTGCAGATAGCAAAACAGAGAAAGGGGAAATGGCATTTCCAGCAGGAGAAGCAGGCTCAGGAGCAGAGAGGCATGAAGTTGCAAGGAGAACTGCAGTTCTTCAGTGTGACTGAAGCCAGGGGAGATGTGGGCCAGGCAGCACTGTAACCTGCCTTGTGTGCTGATGGCAGGTGTTCGCATTTTATCCCACAGGACACAGGAAATTGTGAAGTATCTTAAGCAGGAGAGTAACACGGTCAGATTTGTGTTTGGATGGGGCACCTGTAGGAAGGATGGGCTGGAGGAGGCTGGACTCAAGGCAAGACCAGTAGCACTTTTAAGCCCTCTGGTAGGAAGTAATGAAGGCGTAGGCCAGGGCAGGAACATGGGGTGAGGAGGACAGCAGATGGATTTGATGGCAGTAATGACATGAGAGGCCACAGGAATCACTAAATCACGTGCCAGAAGTAGGGATATGAAGAAGTCGAGAATAACCACGCAACGTGGAGAATTGTGGCATCCGTGACTGCAAAGGTGATAATTAAGTGATTGAGAGAAGGTAAAATTTTCTGTTTGAGACATACTGAATTTAAACTTCTAGGGGAAAACATACAGTTGATTTGAAGGCAGTGAAATAAATGGATGAGTGTCATGCTACATTAGGTTAGTGACATAAACTGGAAGGAGGCTCATGGTGGGTGAAGTTCTAATTTTGGGTCAGGTCACTCAAGAAAAGTACACAAAGTCAGGATAGCAGGGATCTGAGTGTGTGCTCCTGCATCCAGACAAACACAGACATGAAGAAAGAGGCTGAAAAGCAGAGGACTAGAAAGTGGTAGGAAAACAGAGAGGAAGCGGGTTCATAAAAGACAACAGACAGGAGAAAACTTCCAGGAAAGAGGAGAGGATGCATCTCAAACACACTAATGACACACATAAGACAGAAACAGAACAGTGACCACTGGCTTGAGTTGTATAAAAGTCATTAGTTGCCACCCTGAGAGGAGCATCAGAGATGAGGGAAAGAAAAAGAGAGAGTGCATTGGGTTGAGGACTGAATGAAATGGGAGAAAATCGATAATAGGCTGGGCACAGTGGCCCATACCTGTAATCTCAGTGATTTGAGAGGCCGAGACAGGAGGATCACTTGAGGCCAGGAGTTTGAAAGCAGCCTAGGAAACATAGTGAGAGTCCATCTCTAAGAAAACAATTTTGGATTCCCTGCCTTCCATGAGCAACACAGCAAACATAAGCTCTGCAGATGTGCTCAGACTTGAGCCTGACTCACTGAAGAGAGTGTGGTGCTGCCAGGCCTCAGACACCAGATTATAATCAGCCTCTTCCCAGGCCCTGCACAGGAGAGGCCCACTCTGTGGGGCATACAGTGCCCAGGGGTGGTACAGGCCCTGCAGAGACCACAGACTGTTCACCTGACAAGAAATATCTTGAGGAACTCACTTCACAGATCCCTCAAGAAAGGAACCACTGCAGGAGAATACCCAGAAAATCGAAAGAATTCACAGATCCTTTTAAAGAAGGGAGGGGCCACTGCAAACTCCACCAGACAGGTGAAAAACTGTGCGTTCCCAAAGCGTGAGAGGGGAAAAACCTGCCTCCGGACCCATGTCCCCACTGGGGAACTCGAAAATCCAGATTACAGGAAAAGGATTTAACTTTACCTAGACCTGAAACAGATTTAGCATGAAATACAAAAGTACGCCGGGCGCTGCCGCTCACACCTGTAATCCCGGCACTTTGGGAGGCCGAGGCGGGCGGATTACAAGGTCAGGAGATTGAGACCATCCTGGCTAACACGATGAAACCCCGTCTCTACTAAAAATACAAAACAATTAGCCAGGCGTGGTGGCGGGCGCCTGTAGTGCCAGCTACTAGGAAGGCTGAGGCAGGAGAATGGCATAAACCCGGAAGGCAGAGCCTGCAGTGAACCGAGATCGCGCCACTGCACTCCAGCCTGGGTGACAGAGTGAGACTCCGTCGCAACAAAAAGAAAAAAAAAAAAAAAAAAAAAAAAAAAAATATATATATATATATATATATATATATATATATATATATATATATATATATGGTAGATGCAGCAGTGAGAAGAGCCTTGTAGGCACGCCCAGTCTTTAGCTCAAGCCCAAGGAAGCCATCCCTGACTATATCTCACAAGGGCCCTGGGGGAAGGCAGACGGCAAAATTTGGAAGGGGTCACAGTGTGAAAGGAGCGTCCAACTGAAATTTGTTATAATTCTGACTGGGCACAAATCCTCTGGAGCAGAATCTGGGGGCGAACGTAACTGCTGGAGAAAGAGCAGAAGTTACTGCCAACATTGTGGGCAGACAGGGAGGCACATGGCCTGAAAGCTGTGCTTGCTTTCTCAGCAGGAAACTTATAGCCTGGAGTGAGGTCTGAGTCCATCCTGAAGGCTGCAGGGAGATAAATTCAATGCTGTTAGTGTGGCACAGCAGGAGCAAGACCTGCCTCACCAACTGCATGGGAGCTGGGTGAAGCCTATTGCTACCAGGTTTCCCCTACTTCTCTGGTGACAGAGGCAGCCATAATGCCCTCTGGAACATAATTCCATTGGCTGGAGAAAAACCCTCCACCCCATCCCTCACAGTGGCTGCCGCAAGCCCCCCGCCCGAGGAGAGTCTGAGCTCAGACCTGCCTAACCCTGTCCACACCTGAGGGCATTTCTCTACCCACCTGGTAGCCAATCACAAAAGACGTAAACTCTTGGGAGCTTTATGACACCACTCATTGCCTGAGAAACTGAATATTTATCTTGGCCAACTTAGGGCAAGCTTATATCCACCTTCTACTATTGTAGCTGGTGCCCTCTTGAAAGCACCACATCCTGGCTGGAGGCCAACCAACTCAGGACATTACAACAATTCACGACAGAATAACTGCTCTAAGAAAGGAGAAAACAGCTAATTCCACTGGCTGAAAAATCTTGACTAACCAGTGGTCTTCGGTCTGTTCACATGACAACTGCACTGCTAGCATAACCAGCATTTGAGAAAGCCACCACACTAAGTCTATCTACAACCAAGGATTCTCACAGAGTCTACTTCACTCCCCTACCACCTCCACACTGGACCCCAGCAATAGATCCAAACTAAGAAGAAATCTCTGAATTGCTAGATAGAGAATTCAGAAGGTTGATTTTAAGCTACTCAAAAAGATACCAGAGAAAGGTGAAAAACAACTTAAATAAATTTTTTAAAAACACAGGATATGGATTAAAAATGCCCCAGGGACGTAGATATCATAAAGAAGAAACAATCCAACTTCTGGAAATGAAAGACACACTTAGAGAAATACAAAATGCACTGGAAAGTTTCAACAATAGGATCCAACAGGTAGAAGAAAGAACTTCATAGCTCAAACAACAAGACTTTCGAATTAACCCAGTCAGACAAAGACAAAGAAAAAAGAACTTTAATAAATAAACAAAGCCTCCAAGAAATTTGGGATTATGTTAAATGACCTAAGAATAATTGGCATTCTTGAGGAAGAACAAAAATCTAAAAGTTTGGAAAACATATTTGAGGGAATAATCAAGGAAAACTTCCCTGGCCTCGCTAGAGATCTACACAACCAAATACAAGAAGCTCAAAGACCACCTGGGAAATTTATCACAGAAAGATTATCGCCCAGGCACATAGTCATCAGGTTGTCTAAAGTCAGGACAAAGGAAAGAATCTTAAGAGCTGTGAGGCAAAAGCATCAGGTAACCTATAAAGGAAAACCTATCAGATTAACAGCAGCCTATAAGCCAGAAAAGACTGGGGTCTTATCTTTAGCCTCCTCAAACAAAATAATTTCCAGGCAAGAATTTTGTATCCAGCAAAACTAAGCTTCATAAATGAAGGAGAGATAAAGTCTTTTTCAGACAAACAAATGCTGAGAGACTTCACCACTACCAATCCAGCACTACACAAAATACTAAAAGGAGTTCTAAGTCTTCAAACAAAACTCCAAAATACACCAAAATAGAACCTCCTTAAAGCATAAATCTCACAGGGCCTATAAAACAGTAATGCAAAGGAAAAAAATAAGGAATTCAGGCAACAACTAGCATGAGAAATAGAACAGTACTTCACATCTCAATATTAACACTCTCCACTTAAAAGATACAGAATGGCAGAAAGGATAAAAATTCACCAACCAAGTATCTTCAGTCTTCAAGAGTCATCTAATGTGTAAGGACTCACAAAAACTTAAGGTAAAGGAGTGGAAAAAGATATTCCATACAAATGGAAAACAAAAGCAAGCAGGAGTAGCTATTCTTATATCAGTCAAAACAGATTTTAAAGCAACAACAGTTAAAAAAGACAAAGAGGGACATTATACAATGATAAAAGGATAACTCCAACAGGAAAATATCACAATCCTAAACATATATGCACCTAACATGGGAGCTTCCAAATTTATAAAACAATTATTACTAGACATGAGAAATGAGATAGACAGCAACACAATAATAGTGGGGACTTCAATACTCCACTGACAGTACTAGAAAGTCATCAAGACAGAAAGTCAACAATGAAACAATGGACTTAAGTTACACTAGAAGAAATAAACTTAACAGATATTTACAGAACATTCTACTCAACAACTGTAGAATATACATTCTTCTCATCAGCACATGAAACATCCTCCAAGATAGACCACATAATAGGCCACAAAACAAGCCTCAACAAATTTAAGGTAATCAAAATTATATCAAGTCCCCTCTCAGACCACAGTGGAATAAAATTGGAAATTAACTCCAAAAGAAACCTTCAAAACTATACAAATACATGGAAATTAAATAATTTGCTCCTGAATGATCTTTGGGTCAACAGTGAAATCAAGATGCAAAATTCTCTGAACTGAATGATAATAGTGACATAACTTGTGAAAACCACTCGGACACAGTAAAAACAGTCCTAAGAGGAAAGTTCATAGCATTAAATGCCTACATCAAAAAGTCTGAAAGAGCACAAATACAAAATGTAAAGTCACACCTCAAGGAACTAGAGAAACAAGAACAAACCAAACCCAAACCCAGCAGAAGAAAAGAAATAACAAAGAGAGCAGAAGTAAATGAAATTGAAACAAAAAAATACAAAAGATAAATGAAACATGAAGCTGATTCTTTGAAACGATACATAAAATTGATAGACCATTAGTGAGATTAACCAAGAAAAGAGAGGATCCAAATAACCTCAATTAGAAACAAAATGGAAGAAAATGCCACTGATATTACAGAAATATAAAATATCATTCAAGGCTAATATGAACACATTCACAGGCACAAACTAGAAAACCTAGAGGAGACAGATTCCTGGAAATATACAACCTTCCTAGAATAAATCAGGAAGAAATAGAAACTGTGAACAGACCAATAAAAAGCAGAAAGATTGAAATGGTAATTTTTAAAAAACTGCCAATGATAAAAAATCACAGGTTCACATGGACTCACAGCTGAATTCAATCAGACATTCAAAGAAGAGAATTGGTACCAATCCTACTGAAACTATTCCAAAACAGAGAAAGAGAGAATCCTCCCTAAATTATTCTATGAAGCCAGGATCACCCTAATACCAAAACCAGGAAAGGACATAATAAAAAAGAAAACTACAGACCAATATCTCTGATGAAAATAGATGCAAAAATCCTCAACAAAATACAAGCTAACATAATCCAACAGCATATCAAAAAGATCATACATGGTGATAAATTGGGTTTCATGCCAGGGATGCAAGGATGATTTAATACACACAAGTCAATAAATGTGATAGATCACATAAACAGATTTGAAAACAAAAATCATATGATCTCAATAGATGCAGAAAAAGCATTTGACAAAATCCATCATCGCTTTTTTATTAAAACCCTCAGCAAACTTGACATACAAAGATCATAACTTAAGGTAATAAAAACCATCTATGACAAACCCACAGCCGACCTTATACTGAACGGGGAAAAGTTCAAAGCATTCCCCCTGAGAACTGGAACAAGATAAGGATGCCCACTCTCACCACTTCTATTCAACATAGTACTGGAAATCCTAGCCAGAGCAATCAGACAAATCAGTAAATAGGAAGTCAAACTGTCACTGTTCACCAATGATATGACTGTATACCTAGAAAACCATAAATACTTATCCAAAAAGCTCCTAGATCTGATAAATGAATTCAGTAAAGTTTCAGGATACAAAATCAATGTACACAAATCTGTAGCACTGCCATATACTAACAGTGACCAAGCTGAGAATTAAATCAAGAACTCAACCCCTTTTATAGTAGCTGCAAAAAAATAAAATACTTAGGAATATACCTAACCAAGGAGGTTTACTGGGGGAACCAGCCCCCAATATTTCAAAGTATGTTCTTTTCTATTTTCCCTAAGTGTGGGCCAGTCTGAGAAATAAAGAGAAAGAGTACAAAAGAGAGAAATTTACAGCTGGGTCTCCGGGGGTGATATCACATGTCAGCAGGTTCCATGATGCCCACCTGAGCCGCAAAACCAGCAAGTTTTTATTACGGATTTCAAAAGGGGCAGGGGTCTATGAATAGGGAATGGGTCACAGGGATCACATGCTTCAGAGGGCAATAAAAGATCACAAGGCAGAGGGCAAAACTAGAATCACTGATGAGGTGCCACATCCCGCTGGGCACACATTGTCATTAATAAGCATCTTAACAGGAAACAGGGTTCGAGAGCAGAGAACCAGTATGACTAGAATTTGCCAGGCTGGAATTTCCTAATCCTAGCAAGCCTGAGGGCACTGCAGGAGACCAGGGCATATTTCATCCCTTATCTTCAACCATGTAATTCAGACACTCCCAGAGTGGCCATTTTAGAGACCTCCCCCTGGGAATGCATTCTTTTCCCAGGGCTATTCCTTGCTGACAAAAGAATTCAGCGATATTTCTCCTATTTGCTTTTGCAAGAAGAGAAATATGACTCTGTTCTGCCTGGCCCTGCAGGCAGTCAGACCTTATGGTTATCTCCCTTGTTCCCTGAAAATTGCTGTTATCCTGTTCTTTTCAAGGTGCCCAGATTTCATATTGTTCAAACACACATGCTTTACAAACAATCTATGCAGTTAACGCAATCATCACAGGGTCCTGAGGTGACATACATCTTCAGCTTACAAAGATGACAGGATTAAGAGATTAAAGTAAAGACAGGCATAGGAAGTTATAAGAGTATTGATTGGGGAAGTGATAAATGTCCATGAAATCTTCACAATTTATGTTCTTCCACTGTGGCTTCAGCCGGTCCCTCCATTCAGGGTCCCTGACTTCCCGCAATAGAGGTTAAACACCTGTACGAGGAAAATTAAAAACACTGCCGAAAGAAATTATAGATGACACTAACAAGTAGAACCACGTCCCATGCTCATGGAAGGGTAGAATCAACATTGTGAAAATGACCATACTGCCAAAAGCAATCTACAAATTCAATGCAATCCCCATCAAAATGCCATCATCATTCTTTACAGAGCTAGAAAAAAACAATCCTAAAATTCATATGGAACTACAAAAGAGCCCACATAGCCAAAGCAAGATTAAGCAAAACGAATGAATCTGGAGCATCACATTACCTGACTTCAAAATATACTGCAAGGCTATAGTCACCAAAACAGCATGGGAATGGTATAAAAACAGGCACATAGACAAATTGAACAGAATAGAAGTCCCAGAAATAAAACCAAATACTTACAGCCAACTGATCAAACAAAAACATAAAGTGGGGAAAGGACAGCGTATTCAACAGATGGTACTGGGGAAATTGGCAGTCCACATGCAGAAGAATTAAACTGGATCCTCATCTCTCACCTTATACAAAAATCAACTCAAGGTAGATCAAAGACTTAAATCTAAGACCTGAAACCATAAAAATTCTAGAACATTGGAAAAACTCTTCTAGACATTGGCATAGGCAAAGAGTTCATGACCAAGAACCCAAAAGCAAATGCAAAAGAAACAAGATAAATAGATGGGACCTAATTAAACTAAAAAGTTTCTTCAAAGGAAAAGAAATAATCATCAGAGTAAACAGCCCACAGAGTGGGAGAAAATATTCGCAAGCTATACATACAAAAAAGGACTAATATCCAGAATCTACAAAAAACTCAAACAAATCAGCAAGAAATAAACAAATACTCCCATCAAAAAGTGGGCTAAGCAGAGGAACAGACAATTCTCAAAAGAAAATATACAAATGGTTGACAAACATATGAAAAAATGCTCTACATCACTAATTATCAGGGAAATGCAAATCAAAACCACTATGTGATACCAACTTACTCCTGTAACAATGGTCATAATTTAAAAATAAAAAAAAATAGACGTTGGGGTAGGTGTGATGAAAAGAGAACACTTCTATGCTACTGGTGGGAAATTAAACTAGTACAACCACGATGGAAAACAGTACAGAGATGCCTTAAAGAACTAGAAATAGATCTACCATTTGATCCAGCAATCCCACTACTGGAGGAAAAAAGTCATTATATGAAAAAGACACTTGCACACACATGTTTACAGCACCATGATTCACAATTGCAAAAATATGGAACCACCCCAAATGCCCATCAATTAATGGGTGAATGAAGAAAATGTGATATATATATATATGTGATATATATATATGTGATCTATATATATAGATCACATATATATATGATCTATATACCTTAGAATACTACTCAGCCATAAGAAAGAATGAAATAACATTTGCAGCAACCTAGGGGGAATTAGAGACCATTATTTTAAGGGAAGTAACTCAAGAATGGAAAACCAAATATTGTATGTTCTCACTTATAAGTGGGAGCTAAGCTATGAAGACACAAAGGCATAAGAATTATATAATGGACTTTGAGGACTTCCAGGTATGAGTAGGAGCTGGGTAAGGGATAAAAGACTACACACTGGATACAGTGTACATTCGTCAGGTGATGGGCGCACCAAAACCTCAGAAATCACCACTAAAGAACTTATCCATATAACCAAACACCACCTGCTCCCCAAAAACTATTGAATTAATTTTTCAAAATGATTTTTTAAAAAACTTTTATTGGAAGGACCCTCCGGAGTTCTGAGGAGGAGGCCTGAGCATATGTGGGGAAGGCACAGATGAACACATAGGAGGGATCTCTAAGAAAACAATGGCCACCAGGTCACTGCTAGACTCACCACAGGGCCTTCTAAACCAGGGGGCCCCTCCAAGAGCATACCCTGTGGAGTCAAAGGTTAAAACTCACAGGTGACAGGGCCAGCACACTAAACCCCACTTGCTTCTCCTCTTTCCACCACCTCAGCCCTGTGACCAGCATAACTTACAGGTTCCAGCACTGCAGGCTCTCTCTTCTCTCCCTTCAGACCCCGGGGCCCATGGGCAGCCTGAGGGAGACACACATGTAACCCCAGTGGGGCCCATGAGCAGCCAGGACACCAGGCCTGCCCCCATCTCAACTCCAACCTCGATTTTGGGTCCTCTGGAGACCAGACCAGCCCTACCCACAAGCCCCACAGGCTTCCTCTAAATACTTCTGTTCACAAAACTCTCATGCCTGCCAAGGAGATCTCAGGGTTCCCTGCACCCCAGTTCCCAGTCCCACCTCAGCAAACACAACCTCTCCAAATCCTGAAGAGCCTCTTTCAGAAAGAGGACTTTGAGTCTTTCAGTCTTTCTCCAAAAAAGAAAAGGTATATGCCCTTATGCACAAAATTTTATTTAGAATTTGAAGGAGTTCAAAAATGTAAAAACCCTGCACAGGTTAAGTATCCATACTCCAAGTAAATTTGGAGAGCATTTCCCAGAGATATTCCAAACTCAGGCCTCATAACTGCCTTTTGCAAAACATATAGTTCTTGGGCTCAGTTATCCAAGCTCCAGAGCAGCCCCCTACAATACACCCCACAGTTCCTCTCCCAGCAGGATGCTTTGCCCTTCTTCTGGCCCTCATGTACACTCCAAGCCAACCAGTTCCCTCCCTTGCACACCTCCATTCAGATGCCTGTTCCCAAATCCAGGCCATAGCCAAGATAAGGGTGGGGAGAAGGTGAAACATTCACCACCACCCCAACTCCCCAAAACAAAGATCTTCAGAATGCCCCTCTCCACCTTCATCCTGACAGCAATGATCCGTTTCAAAATTCTCCCAGATCCCACATCAACCCCAAAGACCCAGACAGCAGCATAAAGGAAAGGCAGCAGAAGCTCACGGGTGCCAAGAGCAGGAGGTGTGGGATGCAGCAGCAGGGTAGAAAAGGCAGCCATAACTGCAAGGCAGGCAGAAGATGTAGCAGAGTAGACAGGAAGCAGTCCAACTGACAGAGAATACTGGAAGATATTAGAACAACTAAGGGACACAAAATAAAATGACAAACACTTGGATGCAAGAGTGATGCCAGGGCCAAGGAAAATTAAACATGGCCAAGATGGCCACAAAACAAACTGGACAAACAGGAAGTGGCTGTACCGACAGGAAGCAGCTGTACAGACAGGAAGCAGCCAAGAAAAGAGGATCTGGGAAGTGAACCTTCAACAATATGGCTACCATGACCCAGAGTGAAAAGAAAGGCACAAAACAGGTACAATGGGACTCCTGCAGAGGGAATTATGCATGCAAGGCTTAGTGGGTAGATGAGCGGGAGGTACAGAGTAGATGGAATCAGATGAGTGAATAGATAGATGGGTGGAATTGAATACGTGGTTGAATGAACGGTTGGATGTGAAGTGAGTGGGTGAGGAGATGGGTGCATGAGTGTATTGAAGGAGAGAGTGGTTGAGTTCCAGGAAGGATAATGGATAGATGGGTGGCTGAACAGATGCATGCATCCTTGTATGCATGGGTAGATGGGGTGTGTGAGTGGGTGGGTGAGTGAATAGATGGATGGATAAGTTGAAGAGGACAGATGAACAAAAGCATAGTCGAATAGATGTGTGTAAAGAAGGGGAGAGTCGTTAAGCAGGGGGAGGATGGACAGGTGAGTGGATATAAGCCTTCATGCATGAGTAGATGGGTAAGTTTGTGATGCATAGGTGGGTAAATGGTTGCGGGAGTGGGTGGTGGATGTGTGCATAGGTGGACTGGTGAATGAGTGAATGGATGGGGTGGATGAGGAGAGAGATAGGTTCAAGGGATGGATAGATGGAAAGATGAAGACTGAAGGATAGAATAAGTGGCTGTGGACAGTCCTGCCACATAAGTGGACATCTAGTTATTCTGCAGAGATCAGCAGTCCTGAAGATAGGAAATGCAAATCAAAATTCACAAGAAAAAAAATGAAGGCTTAGGAAATAGGAACATTGCATACTGGGGCCAGAAGAGGAGTGGGCACAAAATAAGGGACCAGAAGTCACTCCTTTCTCTGATTTTTGTGGTAACCTCAAAGACTTTCTTCATCTGGGATACAGGCACCAACAATTATCACCCCACAGGTGTCCAACACTGGACTAGTTCTTCAGGGGAGAGGCCGGGTGACTCACATCTTGCAGTCAACAATGAGGGTGACAGACTGGCCCTTCATGGCCATAGCCACACGGTGCCACCTGGTCATGGAGTGAGAGGTTCAAGTGACTGACTGAAGCAGGGGCGTCAACAGGGTTGGAGATCTGTTGATGAGAGTTGAAACCAATGACGATGAGAGCAGTAATCACAATAGCTGCCATTTATCAAGTGCTTACAGTGCAACAAACACTGTGCCATCACTTTCTCACTTGTTTGTGCCAATTCTATTTACTGTCCATCCTAAGATGTAGAAACTGAGGCTCAAAAAATTTAAGTAACTTGCCCAAGGTACAGGCTAACACAACTTGCAGAGAAGGATGCACTCTAAGCCCAAACTCTGGGCTAGAAGTGACTGAACTTTGGGCAGTGCGTAGGTGTGTTGTGGCCAAAAGAAGGAACAGGGTTTCACAGTTTAGAGTGTACAGGTTCTAGGGCACTTTCTCACAAAAGTGTGGGCCAGGCAGACCAGAGGAGCAAACAGACTTACTTGCCAACTACTAGGGTGAGGCCTCAGAAGACCGGCTAAGCAGGTTGAAGTCGTCCAGTCTGATCCTCATACAGGAAGCTGACAAGTTGGCCTGGCTCCAGGCTCAACTGTTGGACACCTGGGCACTGCAGAGAATCAGGAGGGGAGCTTGGAGACCAGGACGGGTCCAGAAAACAGTCAGGAGAAAGAAATCTTTAGGAAATCCTCCTGGTGCCCGAGAGAAATACACACAGAGTGAGAGGCAAAGAGAGCCACAACCCCTTTCCTCCTGGTGTCTGATTCCAGACCCCACCCCATTACCTCCCTCACCGTGTCACTACACTTAGGAAGAGGTAGAGGGTGGGTGTGCTAAGTTCGGCAGTTTATGACACTCAGTAGATAGACAGATACCCCTTGCCCTCCAGACACCATCAGGGAAGTAGGGGAAACTCAGGCCCAGGAGCAAATCCACAGGGGGTGCACCTGGGAGAGTCCATGAGGGTCAGGGGAAGGGACATGCCCTCAGGAGGGAATAAATGGGGGACTTTGTCTCAGAAGGGAGTGCAACTTGCGCTTGTGGTCACAGAGGGCTGCTAAGAACTCCTCAACAGGACAGTTCAGTTATGGGAACTGGGAAGGGGTAAGACTAGGAAGAGAGGAGGCTGGAGAAGTGTGTGATGTCGCTGAACAGTGTGCAGCAGGAGGGAAGGGGTGCAGATGAGAAGAGAACTTGAAGGGTCAGCAATTCCATCAGCCTTTGGGGTAGAGAGCACATGAATTGAGAAAGAAAGCTGAGATATAGCTTGTAAAACAGCTGGAATTCAGATCTCTCCTAAGTCCTCTTCCTTTCACATATTTTGTCACCTGCCTCGAGACACACACAGTTACTGTCATCCCTGGGTTCAGTACTGTAAGCCCAGACCCATCTTCCCTGCTCCCTTTATACCTGATCCTCCTATTTCTCTGCCCTGTTTAGGTCCCAGGCAGAAGCTAGGTGGTCATCTCTGTGCCCTCTCTGGTCCTCCAGGTGAACAGAACTTAGCATTCAAGGAGTTCCCTAAAGTCAATTAATTTCACCCCCAAACCCCAGCTGACTTTGAGGGCATCTGCATGCATCATGTCGCCAACATATCCTGACAAGGGGAAGGGCCACATTTCTGAAGCCAGAGAAGAAGCTCAATTCTGGAATGATGGGGATGAAGGAGAAATAATTGCTCACATTATGTAAAACTGCTCTCTGAAAGGATTTCAAAACCAAGGTAAGATTTCTGAAATGACTTCTGTTGAACTTCTGACTCCGCTCTACTTCCTCCTTCCTGGAAATCTTTACTTCCTTGGCTTATGTGCCAGTATATTCTACTAATTCTTCTGCCTCTCTGCTTCTCCATTTTCTTTGAATAGTTCTCTTTTGACATTTTGTTCATTATATATTTTCCATTAATTTAGATTTCTTAAGATATTTCATTAAAATATGATTGACTTTTATTACTGAGTTCTTTTGGTATCCTCCTAAATTTTGCACCTAAGGTAAGTGCATCCCTAGTCCCAGCCTGGCTTTCCACACTGTCTCTTAATATCTAACATTCTCTATTTATTTCATTCATTTCATGTAAATAATTGTAAATCCTTATAGATAGAATTATAAATGTGTGTAAACAATGAAAAATTGAAAACAGAGAGAATATATCCTATGTCCTACTGGATATTAACATATACTACAATGTCATAGTAAAAAAATAGTATCAAAAGCCTACAATATGTCGAACATTGTTAGATGCTAAATATTCAAATAAAAGTAAGACATAGGTCTTGTCCTGATGTTTACAGTTCACAGAAGAGAACACAAGTGACAAGACAACAGCAGGCCCAGATGGATAAGTGCAGATATGGGGCAGGCACAAGATGCTGCTGTCAAGGCATCAGGGAAGGCTTCCTGGGGAACAGATGGCTTCAATGTAGGCAGTCCGAAAACAGGGCAGAAGCCACTTCTCACACAGGAGGAAGCAGGTTCAAAAGTGTGGGCCCAGTGTGGCAATGACATATCTGAAGAACTTCAGCTGCTTCAGTATGAATGGAGCCAGCTTTGGATGTGGAACAGCAGCAAGAAAAAAGGAAAAATAGACAGGCAGGGGCTGGATCATGACAGATGTTACATGCAAAGCTCAGGAGTGGCTACTCTGTCCTGGAAGTCATAAGGAATCATTGAAGGATTTTAAGCAGGAGAGTGATGGCGCATTTGCAATTTAGGAAGATCACTACGGCAACAGTGGGCAGCATGAGTGAAAGAAGTTGGTTCAAGAGGCAAGACTAATAGTGCCTGAACAAAGAGTGAGGAAATGGGCATAGGAGTAAAATGATGGAAGAAGAGGACTTAATTTGATTGACATTAAAGGGATTATTGGTGAGTGATGTCGGTGGCATCCGACTTAGAAAACTCCCAGATAACTCTTATTCCTAGACTGGCCAATGCAATCATCTCTTTTGTGTGTGTGTGTGTAAGTGTGTGTCACTTTTCTAAATTATTTTGATTGACAAAAATTATTTATATTTATCATGTATAATATGTTGTTTTGAAATGTATGTACATCATGGACCGGCTACATCAAGCTAAAGAACTTATGGCTCACCTCACATACTTATTTTTTGTGGTGAGAACACTTAAAATCCACCCTTTTAGCAATTTTCAACAATACATTGTTAGCAACTATAGTCCATGTTATACAATAAAACTCTTAAAATTATTCCTCCAATCTAAATGAAATGTATCTTTTGAAATGTATCCTAAATGAAATGAAATGGATGTATCCTTTGACCAACATCTCCCCAACCCAATGCAAACATCTTGATTCCATTCATTAAAAAGGGTAATGAGAGAAGACAGCCTGACTGAGAGAAGAGACTGAGTTCAGTGTGGGGCTATTGCACTTAGAATATCTAAAAGTTATCTAAGGAAAAATAATATGTAAACATTTTTGTATGATGGGTGGTCTCAGTAGAGGAGTTTAAGCCAGAGAACTGAGAGTCATCAAGCATAGGTGCAGGTTAGATGAGCTTTTCCAGGAAGAGTGCCAAAAATCAGAAATGCAGGGATCTCAGGGTATGATGAGAGAACATAATAATTAAGAGGAGATTTCAAAGGATGATAAGGAGGATTCAGTAAATAGGAGAAAAATAAGGACAGAGTAGCTCATTAGAAAGAAGTGGATTATGGTGCAAATATTATCAGTAACTCAAGTCAGAGGCACTGACAAGAACCCACTGGATTTGACCTTCTACAGAGGTTTCTGATGGCCGTGATGAGAGGATCCTCAGGGGTGTACTGGAGACAAAAGTCAGAAGCTTAGCTCCAAGTGTGAGGACACAGAGAGAGTGTCTCTAGGGTAGGATGCAGACTGAAGGCAAGGTTGTTTTTTATTAGTTGGTTCATGGTTATGTTGCTTTTTTCCCCCGTAGGTTATAGTGGTACAGGTAGTATTTGGTTACATGAGTAAGTTCTTTAGTGATGATTTGTGAGATTTTGGTGCACCTATCACCTGAGCAGTATCCCTTGCCCCCTCCCACCTTTCCTCTCAGGTCCCCAAAGTCCATTGTATCATTCTTATGCCTTTTCATCCTCTTAGCTTAGCTCCCACATATCAGTGAGAATATATGTTTAGTTTTCCATTCCTGAGTTAGTTCACTCAGAATAATGGTCTCCAATCTCATCCAGGTCGCTGCAAATGCCATTAACTCATTCCTTTTT
The DNA here is from genome assembly GCF_000001405.40 of Homo sapiens. Lineage (NCBI taxonomy): Eukaryota > Metazoa > Chordata > Mammalia > Primates > Hominidae > Homo > Homo sapiens. The sequence goes on from NT_113891.3 coordinate 4,522,075, forward strand.
ATGGCTGAGTAGTATTCCATCATATATATATCACAGTTTCTTTACCCACTCGTTGATTGATGGGCATTTGGGTTGGTTCCATAATTTGTGATTGTGAATTGTGCTGCTATAAACACGTATGTGCAAATATCTTTTTCATATAATGACTTATTTTCCTCTGGGTAGATGCCCAGTAGTGGGATTGTTGGATCAAATTATAGTTCCACTTTTAGTTCTTTAAGGAATCTCCTCACTGTTTTCCACAGTGGCTGTACTAGTTTACATTCCCACCAGCAGGGTAGAAGAGTTCCCTGATCACCACATCCACACCAATATCTACTGTTTTTTTATTTTTTTATCATGGCCATTCTTGCAGGAGTAAGGTGGTATCACATTGTGGTTTTGATTTGCATTTCCCTGATCATTAGTGATGTTGAGCATTTTCTTATGTTTCTTGGCCATTTGTATATCTTCTTTTGAGAATTGTCTATGCATGTCCTTAGCCCACTTTTTGATGGGGTTGTTTGTTTTTTCTTACTGATTTGCCTGTGTTCATTGTAGATTCTGGATATTAGTCCTTTGTCAGATGTATAGATTGTGACTACTCTGTGGGTTGTCTGTTTATTCTGCTGATGGTTCCTTTTGCCGTGCAAAAGCTCTTTAGTTTAATTAAGTCTCAACTATTTATCTTTGTTTTTATTGAATTTGCTTTTGGGTTCTTGGCCATGAAATCCCTGCCTAAGCCAATGTCTAGAAGGGTTTTTCCAATGTGATCTTCTAGAGCTTTTATAGTCTCAGGTCTCAGGTTTAAGTCCTTAATCCATCTTGAGTTGATTTTTGTATAAGGTGAGAGATGAGGACCCGGTTTCATTCTCCTACATGTGGATAGCCAATTATCCCAGCACCATTTGTTGAAAAGGGTGTCTTTCCCCACCATATGTTTTTGTTCGCTTTGTCGAAGATCAGTTGGCTGTAAGTATTTGGGTTTATCCCTGGGTTCTCTATTCTGTTCCCTTTGTCTATGTGCCTATTTTTATACCAGTACCATGCTGTCTTGGTGACTATGGCAGGGAACGTGAGCTTTTTCCCCGCAATCCTATACTGGCCCCTTCTACTGCATAATTATTTTCTTCTCTTGAATTTTACATGCTAGTCTTCTATTTACATTTTAACATTTATATAAACAAATGATGCCACTTTTACATTTTCTTTATTAGATTAGGAGGTCGTACAGGATCACATTTATAGGTCTTTAAATTAAGGAGTAATATTCTTTGAAAGTTTATGAAACTATTCAGTATAAACACCACAGAATCAGATGTTTTGGAAAATGTAGGGTCTTTTATGACATTTTTTCATTTCTTCCTCATTCACTGTATAATTTTTAGTCTCATTTTTCCAAAGCAATTACAGATCCGTTGATCTAATTTGACCTTAAGAGCCCTGCTGTAAAGGCAGGTCATATCATCCCCATACTGAAGACAAAGAACTGAAGTCCAAGACAGGCAGTGTCCTTCAAGCTGCATACTTCCATGGTAGTGTAGGTGGTGTGTCCATGCTCCCAGGTGTAAGGCCCCTAGACTGAGCCCTGCTGACCCTGATGACAGTCCTATGGAAGGAGCCAGTATCCCCCGCACATCTCAGGACTCACAGACATGTGGGAGGAAGAAAATATGAATGTGCACTAATCTGAAGCACGGCCTTGAACAAAGGCAAAACAGACTCCAGGCCTCATTTTCAGTTCTGGGATGGATACTCTAATCTCTCTAAATCATGCCACTGAATGACCTTTTACACATTGAGATAGCATTTCTTCCACACCAGGCCATGTCCTGTGGGTGTGTGAGGTGTGGCAGAATTGGGGAAATGATAATCCCTGTAGGTGGGCCAGCAGAATATCTGAGATCACCTTCAGAGCAAAGAAAACACATCATCTCCCCAAAACTCATGACTCTGACTGGTTAAAATGAGTGTCAGTGTTCTCCATCTGTCCTCGTAACAGCATCACTGGCTCTATATTGTCAGATCTTTAATACTAACTTTCTGCCCAGTGAGCAATGACTCATACAAAGCTCAGTGCCCATTGGTTCTTTTCTCAGAGTCTGTCCAATCCTAGGGTCACAGAAGACTGCTTGGGTTCATGGTCTCTAATATTTCAGACAGGAGCTCCCTTTAATGAGTTCTTGTTTTCCTGACTGCAGCTCTCTTCATTCTGCCAACCTTTTCCAACTCCATGATGATCCTGCAGGTTTCAGGGGGCCCCTGGACAGTGGCTCTGACAGCATTACTGATGGTGCTGCTCATATCTGTGGTCCAGAGCAGGGCCACTCCAGGTAAGAGCAGAGCTGCTATTCCTGGAGGGTCTGGCTCAGGGAACAATTCCTAGGGGACTTTCTCTTTATGGAACCAGACTCTGAGACAGCATGTGGGGCTCCTGCCACGGCCTAGTGTCCTTCTATCACAGCTGGAGAATCAAACTCACCTCCTATAGGATAGGTTGCTATCCACCAGGTCTATTCTCTCTCCAGGAACATGGACACAGTAAATAAGGGGAGGTGCTCAGGGGTCAAGTTGCTTGTCTATGGGGAAATGGGGCCAAGAGGTTCAGGATAACCTTGGACAGACAAGGTTTCAGAGAGAGAGGTTGGCAAGTGCAGACTCCTGGGTGTGCTCACATCTGCATCCAACCTTGAGGGGACTCAGGCAGAGAGCCCTTAGCTGGTGTGTCCAGACTACAAGTATCACTGAGGATTCAGTGCTCACAGAGAATGCCTCTCATTCTCCAGGGTGGAGCAGGAGCCAATGCTCCCTGGACAATGAAGGCAAGATGGGAGGGAGGGGGACAGGTTCGAGCCCCTAAAGGCACTCTTGTTGAAGGTATTTCTCCCAGCCTCCCCAGAACTTGGTTAGAGTATTAGGATGGGTTGAAACCTGTCAGAAGAATGAGATAAGGATGTGTGAGTACGTGAAAGAGATTGAGTGTAGGTTATCAGACAGCCAAGAAAGCAGTAACCAAGGGAAAAACCTCTGTCTCCTGCTGTCTCCTTGTGGCTGGTGTAATATTATGGCTTCTATGACCCATTGTTTTTCTCTCAGGATGTTCTTACTTTTCTGGTCCAAATTTACACCAACACCCTGAGAGGAAGGACTGCAGAGTAGGTGTCTTAGTTTTCCACTGACTTCCACCTTTCTGCATAGACCCTCCCTCTGAGACCCTTCCACATCCACCTAGGACACCCCTAGAAAGTGCTGTTCTCATGTCACCTCCTCATTTTCCAGGGTAACAGTATTCGAATCTCCTGAGGACAGCCCCTCAAACCCCAAAGCCCCTCACCTATTACCTCAGGTTCATTGTCCGGGAAAGGGTGGACAAACTGCACTTGTAGTCACAGGGGTGCTGAGAACTAACCAGCAGAATGGCTCAGCCCTGGGAACTGGAGAGGGGTGAGGTTGGGGAGAGAGGAGGCTGGAGCAGCGCTGGTGACACTGAACAGTGTCCAGCAGGAGGTCCATAGCAACAGTGTCCATAGGCAGAGTTGTTTGTAGGATGAGGGGTGGTGTTGGGAAACGCCATGGAAACCCTCAAGGTGCGGGGTAGCAGAAAGCACAGGAGGGAGCGTGATGATGGTGGGCAGTGAACAGGTGGACGGGCAAAGACTGGGTTGAGGTTGGTAGGGGAAATGAGATGAGGCAGTGGAGCCATGTGACAGGAACCGAGGGTGGGTTACCAGAGCTCCCCGTGTAGAATGAATGTCCAATCAAAACCTGCTGGAGGGAGAGCTGGAGCCATAGGGGAGTGGGTAGAGTGGGCAGGGCCAATTCCACAATTCCCTGCATGCTCTTCCAACTCCACACACATCTCCATCCTCAGAGCACAAGAGGAAAGGCACAAGGAGCCAGGCTGTGGCTTAAAGTGAGAGAGGGGAGGGTGGAGAAAAGCTTGGCTGAGACAACACCTAGGGAGCAGGAGATGACACGGCAGGTGAAAAAACCAGACTCCTGGAGGCAACACCCTTTTGTCTCTGACAAGCTTTAAAATGGGCTTTTTACAGCTGAGTTTCTTACCTCACCCCACCCACTACCCCAAGCATTAGGGCCACACTCCCGAGTCCTCCTGTCACACCAGCTGGGCACTTGCAGAAGCTCATTGTGCATTTGAGTCTTTGGGTACTCACTCTTCTGTTAATCTAACTCCTCAAATAAAATCCCTAGCACAAAAGAGAGGGGGGAAGATCCAGTCAGCAAACAGCCAACAAACACTTTTCAACCATTAAGATCTGGTGCCCATGGAAAGTCTTCTTGAGGTTTTCCAGTAGCTCATAAGCTGATCCAGTTCCTCTTTCATATGCATTTATTTAGAATTTTGCTCCTATTCAAACAGGTCACACAGTGAAAAGAGGAAGGGAACTAACATAGATTGAGCAGTAACAGATACAATACTATGTATTTGACATATGTGAGCTCATTTGGTTCTCACAGCAGTTTTGCAAGGTAAATAGTATTATTACTATTTTGCCTTTCAAGAAATGGAGAGTTAGAAGGTTGTTTCTTGTCCAAGATAACTTAGTAATCAGTCGTAGTGCAAGAACTGGAATCCCTACCTGTGACATGTTCCTTTTCTTACCCATATGGACTCCATTATATCTTTCTGCAATTATATTTTAATATAACCTATTCTGAGTGAGAGATGAATTCACTCAGATCATTGGTTTTCAAATTGTGCTCTGGGTAACTCAATTGTCAAAGATTCCGCAAACAGGATAAAGTTTTCCATATACAAAAAAAAAATGAAGTTTCAAATTCCACCATATACTCATCACTTATATCTGCTTTGCAGGTAAAATTCCGTTTAAAAAGTTAAATGTTGCAAAAGAAAGTTTTGAAATTCTTACTCTTGACTAAAACATGTTCTCTTATTGGTGAATGAGGAAGAGGAACAAAGACTAACAAATTAAAATGAGAGGATACACACTCAGAGTGGGGCACTTGAATAGGGAGGGGCAGACTAAAGGGGCTGGGGGCGATGGGCCTGGGTGTTTAGGGGGCTGGAGCCCAAGGCACTAGGAGAAGAGGCGGGTTAAGATATCTAAAGTCCTGGGATCTTGCCTTAGAGATGACACTGGAAACTACAGGCCGAGTCTACGGTGCCGCTGTGCCCAGCCCCACCCCTTCTCTACTGTCCTCTGCCACCAGCTGTGCATCTTCTATGAGGGGTGAGGTTAATAAACGTGAGTTGCTAATTTGTAGAACATGAAACAGGTGTCCAAAACAAACCTTAATTTGCTGTGTGCAAATCACAGCACCTTAATTTCCCCACTGTGACCAGGAACAGATCAGGTCTGAAGAGGCTCAGACATGTGCTGGGTCATTGCTACTTCTGTATACACATGCACCTGCCGGACACTGCCCATGGTGCTCCCTAGGAAGAACTGCAGGTGGAAAAGGCTGCCACATTTCTTTATGTAAAAATGACACCATCAATGCCTCTAAACCTAAAGGAGTCCAGTCACTTAGCTTTCTGGTTGTTCTGGTGATTTTCATTGATTAAGATATTTTCCAGGTGTTTTGAGATCAAGTCTTTCTACAGCCATGTTTGAAAGTGAAAATTAACTTTCAGGCTATATAGTCTTTCTTATGGCAAACTTCAAGAAGTTTTAAGAAATGCATTTCTGGCCAAGTGCGGTGGCTCACGCCTGTAATCTCAGCACTTTGGGTGGCCGAGGAGGGCAGATCTCGAGGTCAGGAGTTCGAGACCAGCCTGGCCAACATGGTGAAACCCCATCTCTACTAAACATACAAAAATTATCTGGGCGTGGTGGCGCACACCTGTAATCCCAGCTACTCAGGAGGCTGAGGCAGGAAAACTGCTTGAACCCTGGAGGCGGAGGTTGCAGTGAGCTGAGATTGCACCACTGGACTCCAGCCTGGGCGACAGAGTGATACTCTGTAGAAAGAAAGGAAGAAAGGAAGGAAGGAAGGGAGGGAGGGAAGGATACTCCATTGAAAGAAGAAAGAAAGAAGGAAGGAAGGGAGGGAGGGAGGGAGGGAGGAATGCATGGAAATGCATTTCTGCATTTCCAGCATGCAGAGATGTCCAGCATGCAGAACAGCAAGAGCAACTTGAGGTATTCTCAAGAAACTGGCAGAGAAGAGAGAGAACCTAGCTGTAGAAAGGGAAAGAAGGAATGGAGGGCTTCCTGGAGGAGGTGGCATTTGAGCCAGGACTGACATCAGGATGGAAATGTCAGGCAGGGAGTTGGGTAGGGGGAGCAGCTCTGCCCTCCAGGTCCCCAACTCCTCCTATCCCTACTGTTTCTCTGCCTGAGGGACCCTCCCCCTGATGAGATTCTGCTCCTCCCTGAGACTCCGCGTGAAATGTCTCCCCCTCCTCCTCCAGCCGCCAGCAGAAAGGGCTGCTTTCCCTTCAGCGTGCGCCCCTCCCTAATGATCACTCAGCCACCCTGAGCAGTGAGTCTCATTCTTTTCAGTAAATCCTCTCGCTGCGTGGTGAGAAAACTGATGCCTGGAGTCTGTGACCTGCCTAGGACCACAGAACTCGGTAGTAGGAAAAATCGTATTTTTAAATCCAGTCCTGAGTGGGAAGATTTGAGGAAATAGCTCATATTGAGGAGGGGGGTGTTGTTGGGAGTGGCACCACCCCCATCTCTCCCTGCTCTTCACAGAGAATTCCGTCTACCAGGAACGGCAGGAATGCTATGCGTTCAATGGGACTCAGCGCGTTGTGGACGGGCTCATCTACAACCGGGAGGAATACGTGCATTTTGACAGCGCAGTGGGGGAGTTCCTAGCAGTGATGGAGCTGGGGCGGCCCATAGGCGAGTACTTCAATAGCCAGAAGGACTTTATGGAACGGAAGCGAGCCGAGGTGGACAAGGTGTGCAGACACAAGTACGAGCTGATGGAGCCACTCATCCGGCAGCGCCGAGGTGAGGGCTGTGGACCAGGGCTCCTGGGGCAGCCGTGGGGGCCGGGCCCAGGGAGTAGGGGCAGCCGGGCCGGCCTAAGGGACCTTAGTGCCAGGAGGGAAGGGGACTTTGAGCTGGGGATTGATGGGAGGAGCCCAACCGGAGCTTGTCAGGAGGGTGAGCACGGAGATTGGGCTGAGCATGGAGTGAGGAGGATGGAGGGAGAGAGACCCCTGGGACTTCATCAGGCCTGGCAGCTGACTGCATGTGGGGTGAGGGGAAACGAGGCCACAGGACATCGTGCAGGGGTGCGGTGTGGAGATGAAGGTGGAGATGGCACAGCAGGCCACGCAGAGAAGAAACCTGCAGGGAGATGGCCGGGTTTGAGGTGCTTGAGGGGCCAGATGGGTGGTCTGATGGGCAGGTGAGAGAAGAGTTTGCAGCGGGGAAGGGGCCTGGCCTACATGAGACCACCCAGGGAGAGGGGACCCATCGGGAGGAGCATAGGACTGGATCCTGGGAACTGGACATTGTGATTTTGTAACGGCTCCATTGTCTGGGGTATATACCCTGGTTCTTTGTCATGGCCGAGAAAATTCACGACACAGACACACGTGAGGAGTGGGTTTGGGAGTGGAAAGTTTAATAGAAAAGAAAAGAGAGAAAAAATCCTTCCTCGTGCTCAGAAAGTGGGTTGCCCAAAAGAGGGTCTGCGGTTTGTGGTGGAATGCAGTCGGTTTTGTACAGAGGTTGAGGAGGCGGTGATTGATTTACACAGCGCTCAGGGAATTGGTTTGACCAGTTGTGTCATTTACATAGCCCACGAAAAGACTGACTCTCCCACCCTAGTCTTTTATTATTCAAATACGGTCTCTAACTGGTGGTGGACAGGATACCTGTACATGTGGTTTTACCTGGAGGCTGCCATGACACTTGTAAACGTGGTGACAAGGAAAAGAGAGTGGGAACCGCCATATTGGATGTACCTGACTTCCAGGTACAGCTGCCAGCATTTACATATAAAAGCTTCTAGTTTGCACATCTATGCCTGAGTTTTCAGGCTGCTTTCTGTTAGAGAAGAAATGGTTTGGGGCTGCTTTTTATTAAAGGAAAATTCCACTGAGAATTTTTACCCTTTCTAGCTGCCTAAAAATAATTTCTTAATAACTCCTGTATTATTTCCTCCCTCAGGAGACGTAACCATAACTGCTGTTAGGGGGTGTTGGACGACGATTCTTTCTGGCTACTTCCTGCTGAAAAGGGGCGTCGTGTTGGGGGGCTGCAGTTGGGGCTCCTCCTGAGGTTGATCTAAGGCTTCTTGGAAGAATGGCATGTCCATGTGTGGCTTTGTTTGCAGCACCATTTGAAGTTTGATTGCTTCTAGGCAAAAAGAGATAAATTTTACAAGAAGGTTTAAAATATAGGGTTACCATATGAGTATTAAGATTACCACCTATAGACTGTAACTATGACAGTAGAGTTTGATACCTGTTACACCAATGGATTGTAATACTGGTTTGTCTCCACTAGATGTCGCTGTACATTACCAGAAACGTTAATATAAAAGCATCATTTCCTTTGAGAAAAACATGTTTCCCCCTTGACTTGCTATTAGGGCATAATTTTTGGTTTAGGCCATTCTTTATAACTTATGATATGATTGGGAGAAAAACGTTATTGGGTGGCTAAAATAACTTTGGTGTTAATCTTGGCAATTCCTTTCCTTTAATTATTAAATTTCTTAATTATTAAATTCTTTCATGACTTTCACAGACCCTCTTACAATGTACTCAACTTTCTGACTTGTCTTAAACAACCAGTCATTTCCTTTTAGGACAAGAATTTACTATACAAGATCCTTTCTTATATAAAATCCCTTTATTTGTAACCTTCTTTCCATAGCTTAGAGTGCACCATTTACCAATCTTCAATAAAAAAGTCCTATCAAACTTAGTGATAGTAAAATTTTCATGCTTACTTCTTGTCTGTAACTATTACTCCTGCTATAAGCAAAACAAACTTGACCAAATCCTTCCTGCAATTATTAATTCTGTCATAAAGATGATAATTAGGCAAAATATTACAGGAATTAGAATTTTACAACCAGAATTCCACATTGTGGGTGCCACAGTATACAGTTCTATTGCAAATAACAGCATGATGATAACAATTCCCACAAAAGTGACGTAGTAAATAATTTCCATTTAAAACTTTACTTGCCAAGATATAATGTTTCCCTTTGGGGATTTACAAAGTAACAAATGCAGTCCCATGTATAATTAAAATCTCTCTGCAAATATGCATTAAAAAAAAGTTCTAATACTGAGCAGTGAATTTTGAGAGGAAAGGTAGAAATGATAAAGAGTACCTGGTGAGGTAGGAATGGCGCTAAGGCGAGTAGCCCTCACTCATTTACTTACCTTTTATGATTTTCAGCTTAAGATCTTCTATATCTCCACATTGATATTCAGGATGTTCCTCTGGGCTGTCAAAGGTTGCTCCCTCAGCTTTTCAGGCTTTGACTTGAGTGTGATATATTCAGAGGTTGATACTTGTAACTTTTACTGCTGGGGGGGTTGAAAGAAGAATTGTGTAGGGCCCTTCCCAGCCTGGCTTAGGGAAGGAGAGAGAGATGAGTTTTCACCAATACCAAATTTTCTGGCTAAGTAAAGGTGGTCCAATTTCCTGGGGTTGGCCTTTGGCTAGTTGTGTCAATTTCTGTTGGAAGTGAGCTAGAGAGGTTACATTTTTAAACAACTTAGAGGTTTTCTGCCTGAAAACAATCTCTGAGCACACTGATGATAAGTTTTATCCTTTCCTATGTGAAAAAGCTTGGTGAAGGATTTTAAGGACTTTCCATTGACTGGAGGCCAGTAAATGGAGTTTGTCATCCTCAGGGCTGGAATACCCTTAAGAAGTGGCTTATTTTATTTCTGCAGGGGAATACTGAGGTTTAATTTCTTTTATGGAGGCTTCCGAGATTAAAAGGGCTTGAAGTGTGTTAATGCCTTGAGGCTTCCCTGCCGCCTGCTTAGCTCCCTGCTCAGCTAACCTATTTCCTTTGGCTACTTCATCTGTTCCCCTTTGATGTTCCCTATAATACATTACTGCTATTTTTCGTGAAAGGAAAACTGAGGATAATAACCTGTTAATTTCCTGGTGATATTTTATAGGAGATGCTTTAGTGGTAAAAGAATGTCTTTCCTTTTAAATAGCAGCATGAGCATGGAGAACTAAAAAAGCATACTTGGAGTCAGTGGAAATGTTAGCTATCTTTCCCCTGCTTAATTTAAGTGCACTTGCAAGAACTATTAGTTCAGCTAATTGAGTGCTTGTGTCTGGGGAGAGACATTAGAGTGACTATTGCTTGTCCTGCCTTATGTATTTCTTGCTTTACCTGCTGTTTGTTAGCTAAAGTCTCCCCTAGAGGACAGTAATCCTGCTACATTATGTGGGGTGTAAACAGTTAAATTATTTCCTAGGGTTAATTTGGAGGCTTTTTTGACTAGTAGAGCCACCGTGGCAATGGCTTGGAAGCATGTGTAAACAATAGGTCCTCCTAACTGCAATTAGGAGGTTGAGAAAAATATTGGAATAGAGTTTTTCCTGAGACACCCCTTACACTCATGCTATGGGAAGAAGAGAGGCCTGGATTAAAGAGGAGAAAAGAGAGAGAGACTGGCTCGAGTGTTTAGAAGGAGGTCTACTTTCCTTCCTTCAATTTCCAGAATCACCTGGTGGCTCCCGTGCTGTAATGGCAGTTTGAGCCACTGGAGCTGGGGTTTGAGCCCCGGGACCCATCAGTCCTGCTGGACCATCTGTGAGACTGGTTCTGACTCCAGTGACCTCCGTCTCCGGGGGCAGTTTGATTTCCAGTGGTCTCCACCACAGGCTGGATAGGGTTGAGGTGGCTTCCTCTTGCTGTTTGGGCACTCCTTTTTAAAATGCCCTGGCTTGCCACACTGATAGCAACTAGCGGATGCACCTCAGAAATCTTGGACTTTGCAAGCTTGCAAAGCTGCTACTAGAGCCTCTGTCTTTCTCCTGAGCTTTCTCTCTCTCTGGGGGGCCTCCTCCTGGTCCCTATTATAAGTGGCCACCCTCAGGAGGTTCCCCAAGGTGCTATCTGGTCCTATAGCTTGCTTCTACAGTTTCCTTCTAATATCAAGAGCTGCCTGTGTAATAAACTTGTCCTTTACAATGAGCCATCCCTTGACTGAATTAGGGGCTAAAGAAGTGTGCTCTATTAGTGCCTCTCTCAGCCTTTCCATAAAAGCTGCAGGATTCCCATCTGGCTTTTGGTCTATCATAGACAGTTGAGAGGAATTAAGAGGTCAGGCCTTAGTTCTTCACAGACCCTCTAATATGTATATTTTAAAAATGCTTCCATTTCTATTCATTTGCAGAGCTATTGGGGTCCCAGTTGGGGTTGTCGAGAGGAACTGCTTCCCTTCCTACTGGGAATGGTGTTTCTGCTATTTTTTTTCACTTTCCCTATCTCTTTTCTTCCCTTTTGGTGTATTATAGGAGATATGTTGCTCATCTCCAAAATTATCTGCTGCCTGCAGAGCTGCCTGCTTTTCAACTGCGGTTAGAGTTTGGTTTAGGAGCAGCATAACATCCTTCCATGTGAGGTGAAACACCTGAGTTAAATTCTGGAAAGCTTCTATATACCTATTGGGGTTATCAGAAAATTAGCATAAGTCTTCCTTTGTTTGCCTAAGGTCCTGTAATGAAAAGGGAGCTTGAGGTTGAAGGGGGCCAGCCCCTCCACACCTGTGGGTATTTCTCATCAGGTGGGACGAGAGACTGAGAAAAGAAATAAGACACAGAGACAAAGTATAGAGAAAGAACAGTGGGCCCAGGGGACCAGTGCTCAGCATACAGAGGACCTGTGCCGGCTCTGGTCTCTGAATTCCCTCAGTATTTATTGATCACTATCTCTATCATCTCAGTGAGGGGGATGTGGCAGGACTATAGGGTAATGGTGGGAAGAGGGTCAGCAGGAAAACGTGAGCAAAGGACTCTGTGTCATAAATAAGTTTAAGGAAAGGTGCTGTGCCTGGATGTGCACATAGGCCAGATTTATGTTTGACTTTACACAAACATCTCAGTGCAGTAAAGAGCAGTATTGCCACCAGCATGTCTCACCTCCAGCCATAAGGCGGCTTTCTCCTATCTCAGTAAATAGAATGTACGATCGGGTTTTACACCGAGACATTCCATTCCCAGGGATGAGCAGGAGACAGATGCCTTCCTCTTATCTCAACTGCAAAGAGGCCTTCCTCTTTCACTAATCCTCCTCAGCACAGACCCTTTATGGGTGTCAGCCTTGGGGACAGTCAGGTCAGGTCCCTTCCCACAAGGCCATATCTCAGGCTGTCTCTCTCAGTGGGGGGAACCCTTGGACAATACCCAGGCTTTCTTGGGCAGAGGTCCCTGCGGCCTTCCACAGTGCATTGTGTCCCTGGGTACTCGAGACTGGAGAATGGCGATGACTTTCACCAAGCATACTGCCTACAAACACATTTTTAACAAAGCACAGCCTGCACAGCCCTAAATCCATTAAACCTTGAGTCAATACAGCACAGGTTTTCTGCGAGCACAGGGTTGGGGCTAGGGTTACAGATTAACAGCATGTCAAGGCAGAAGAATTTTTCTTAGTACAGATCAAAATGGAGTTTCTTATGTCTTCCTTTTTCTACATAGACACAGCAACAGTCTGATTTCTCTTTACTTCCCCCACATTGGCAACCCTAAATAAGGGGAATTCTCAGATGGTTCCCTTGGAAACTGCCTTTCTAATTCTGGGGGATTATTTTCTATAGGCCTACCTGATATGCCTATTTAAAAAGCTGGGCTGATCTTACAACGCTTGCAGAGGTTTAGTAAAAAAGCCATGCCCTTGTGCAAAAGAAAATGAGTCACTTTTCTCTTCAAAGTCCTGAGGTTAAAGGAGTTCCAGTGTTTCAGACTGCACTCCAGAGGGGTGCAAGCTGAAGCTGGTCTGTCACCCATCTAGAAAAAGAAGTGAGAATAAAAGTATCCTTTCGTCCCCATTCTTTCACTGTGACCCAGGGTGGAGGAGAAGATAGTGGAAGTGTCCTCCCTACTGTTTTCTCTCCTTGGTTCCTGGGTCCTGGCAACGTGTTAAATGTACCACCCACGGTTGTAGGCGTGGTCCTCCAAGCCGTGGAACTGGATAAACTAAGTGATGGGATTAACCATACTTTACCCACACAACCTTAGCTTATCCACCTTATGTGATCCCCTTTGACGTCCTAAATTTGTGTGATCTGCCTGGCTCCCAGAAAAATGGATCTCCAGAGAGACTATGTCATCTTTGGGTAGGCTCCTTTAACGGAGGCAGTGTGCTAGATTGCCTGCCATTACGGCCCATGCTAAAACATTTACCCTTAGCAAAATGGCTCTGGTTAACTTCCGAACCTAAAATCCCCTTGCTAATTAAGTACTATCCTAATTGGAGACGGAAATGAACGTAGGAACCTAATGGCTGTTTTTCCTGCTGATGAGACAGTATCAGAACTAAAATTTCACTACAGAGGACATTTTACTCCAAACTGTTGAAGACAGTGCTTTCTCGTTCACAGAAGAGGCTTTTCTAGCGGCACGAAAGAATTTGGAAGCGGCAGTGTTACGGTAAAAAACCGACAAGGTGCCTGATGAAGAGGATTTTTATTTCCACTAGGTGGTGCTGTTGGCTTAGCACTACCATGTGCTCGCCAGAGAGGATAGAGAGTAACAGTTACTGCCTGTGGCATTTGCCGATCTTCCCTAACAGGAGTGTTTCCCTGAACTGTAAAACTTCCCGCAAATTGCACACACAGAGAGAGAGGACAGGAGACACAGTGACCACGGATACAAAGGAAAGGAAAATTTTGCAACGGGTTAGCTGGAGATCCATTACCAACACCTGGACAGGCTGTCGGAGGCTGCGTTCAGTCCAGAAGCCTTTGAATAACACCAGGGTGTGCCCTGGCCAGAAATTTTCAGTTGCCCCAAGACTTTCCCAGCCTCATGCGATGGTGAAGTTCTCCATGAAAGGAAACTGGTATGAAGAGATCCTTGAGATTAAAGAACAGATTTGACGTTTGCTCTATACTCACCACTCCGATGTTTCTATCTTCCATTCTGATTTGGATCCCGGATGAGCTCCCAAAATGAAACAGCTCCACTGTCTAGGGTATATACCCTGGTTCTTTACCATAGCCGAAAAAGAATTCACAGCACGGACACACACAAGGAGTGGGTTTAGGAGCGGAAAGTTTAATAGAAAAGAGGAGTGAGAGGAAAAGCTTCCTAATGCTGATAAGGCAGGTCACCCAAGAGAGGGTCTCCTGTTTCTGGTGGAAAGCAATTGGTTTTGTACAGAGGCTTGAGGAGGCAGTGATTGATTTACATAGGGCTCAGGGGATTGGTTTGACCAGATGTGTCATTTACATAACCTGCAAAAAGACTGGCCCTCCCACCCTAGTATTTTATTATACAAATGCGGCCTCCACCTGGTGGCGGCCATGATACCTGTACACGTGCTTTAACCTGGAGGCTGCCTCGACACCTGTAAACGTAGAAGGAAAAGAGGGTGAGAACAGCCATATTGAATTACCTGACTTCCAGGAACAGCTGCCAGCATTTACATAAAAGCTTCTAGTTTGCATATCTATGCCTGAGTTTTCAGGCTGCTTTCTGTTAGAGAAAAAATGGCTTGGGGCTGCTTTTTATTAAAGGAAAATTCCACCCAGAACTTTTACCCTTTTTAGCTGCCTAAAAATAATCTCTTAATAACTCGTGTATTAATTTGGCCAAGAGAGAAATCCCGTGAAGGAGACCAAAAAGCACCAGTGAGCCTCTCACTAAACAAGGACCTTTGTCCTAGAGAAGAGGAAAGAATGAAGGGGGAGGAGGAGGAGGCTCAGGAGGTCACACCATTGATCCCTCTGTTCCTGGGAAAGTGAAAGGAAGGTCATCTGATAAGAGGGAGAAGATGCACACATTGAGTAAGGATGAGGAGAGTGACATGGGTTTAGGAAAGTTGCTGGCGTAATTGGTTGAGAGAGGTGTCCAAATAAAAGTAATACAATTTGCAAAATCTGTCACTAAGACTTCATAGAGGCCCAAATCAGCGACATGGCAGCATTTTCTTTCATGGTAATCAGCTGCCAGATTGCAGAGACCCCCTGATGCCAGACTAAGGAGTGTGGATTTCTCCTCTAGGCCAGCAGGTCCCCAACCTCACTGCTCAGAAGACTCTCCTTGAGATCCTCTGTGAAGCAAAGATTCCCCCAGACTCACTGCCTAGAGATTCAGATTCCCTAGGTGGGGAAGTCTGGAGATCTGTGTTTTTAATCAGCTCCCAAGTGATTCCCATGTAACCAGATAAGTGTCAGAACACTGAAGATTTTTGAAAATCTTCAGAAATCTTAAAATGACAAGGCTGGAAATCTGTTTTCAGAAGACTGTGAAGTCAGTTGGAGAGAGCAGGAACCAGAGGCAGGGAGATGAGATAAGAAACTGCTATTATTGTCCAGGGAAATCATAATAAGGGCATGAATTAGAATAAAGAAAAACACAGGGGTAGGGGAGACGGAGGAAAGAGGAGGATAGAAGTTCTGGCCATTCCAGTGTGGATGCCCACCCAAATCTAGAATTAACTGAGCAAAGGCAACTAGAACAAACAGGAATCCTTGCCTTGGTGAAATATATTTGAACTGGGTCAGAAATGAGGCCACTGGGTATCAAGCCTTTAGCTGCAGCGCCCCCTGGAGGTCTCTGATGTGCTCCAGGCTGACCAGCTCCCGTCAAAGAAGATGGAGCAAAGTGCTTCTCATGGAATGTTCTGGGACCTTAAAACAGACAACCATATATCCCATGACTTTCATGCTTCCCAGGACACCTATGGGGAAGAAGTTCCACTTAATCTACAGTTGGGATTCAGACATGGGTTGACCAGTCTGATGGACGTTGAGTTTATGGAGGTGGTTGAAGTAGAACGAGAGCCAAGTGCCTCTGAAATAAAATCACATCGAGGGAAGAGGCTGTGAATGTGAATAATCCTGGACACAAGGCAAAAATACCATAGGGAGTAAGGGTTGTGGGTTAGTTCAAGACTGTTCATTTACCTGGCCCAGGCCCATGTCAGTGTATTTGTGTTCTCAAGAACAGAGTAAATAAGGACCTAGAAGCTCTGATTTGGAACATTCCTGTAATTGAGCTGTTCTCTAGGGGCAGTTGGCCCTTTTCTGCCTTCTGTGGAGGAAAAGGGTACTAGTGGCTGAGGTCCAAAGGAAAAGCTGCAGGTGGTAGCGTGGAAATTGATCTGTAAGCGGCAGAAAAAGAGGGGGCAAAAACAGAGAGGTGCCAAGGCACAGCCAACACCTGGTTATCTGAGAACCTCAATGGATGTGGCAACACAGTGCAGAGGAGGAACTTAGGGAAAAGGATGGGATTTCTACTATTTAAGCATGTAGGGGCTCAGGATATTATGTAAATAGGACGATTTTGAGTGTTTGTAGGCGAGGCCAAAAAATCCATAGGTTACTTGCAGAATAAGTCATGTCAAGCTCACTTTATTTTCTTGATATATTTATGAAATATAGTTATTGGATTAATAGACCATGAGAATGTCGTTTATATATATATTAATTTCAAGAAATCATTTGAGCAAATTTTTCATCTTTTGCATCAGGATAGAGCACTCAAAAGATAAGGTAGTGTCGCTGCTGATTAAATATTCTTTGTCCAAAGGCTGTTAATCAGTGGCTGATAGATAAGATTTCTTTTAAATGTGCTACAAACTGGTAAGTTTGTGTGCCTCCTATTCTTCTCAATACTATTTCTATAGTTTCAATACTCCCCTTATCCGCTGACCTAATCACATCATTCCTACTTTTTTTTTTTTTTTTTTTTTTTTTGAGATGGAGTTTCACTCTTGTTGTCCAGGCTGGAGTGCAATGGTGCGATCTTAGCTCATGCAACCTCTGCCTCCGGGGTTCAAGCGATTCTCCTGCCTCAGCCTCCTGAGTAGCTGGGATTACAGGCATGCACCACCACACCCAGCTAATTTTGTATTTTTAGTAGAGACAGGGTTTCTCCATGTTAGTCAGGCTGGTCTCGAACCACCTGCCTCAGCCTCCCAAAGTGCTGGGATTACAGGTGTAAGCCACTGCGCCTGGCCATCATTCCTATTTTCAACATCTAAAAATCAATTCCATAATGAGCATGTCTAAGAAATAATAAACTCAAATGCTATTCCACTTTTCCACTTCGCCACTCCTAGTCCAGCCTAGGGTGAACATCCCCCCTCCAAGAAGGAGCCCCGGCAGCACCACGACCTGCTTGTCTACCACGTGACAGATTTCTACCCAGGCAGCATTCAAGTCCGATGCTTCCTGAATGGACAGGAGGAAACAGCTGGGGTCATGTCCACCAAGCTGATCCGTAATGAAGACTGGACCTTCCAGATCCTGGAGATGCTGGAAATGATCCCCCAGCAGGGAAACATCTACACCTGCCAAGTGAAGCACCCCAGCCTGGACAGTCCTGTCACCGTGGAGTGGAGTGAGGGTCTGATGACCCTCTAGACTCCACCTCTGAAGAGCAGGGGACTCTCTGGCTCTGGGGTCCACTCATCTGGTTTTATGTGTCTATACCCTGGGACCATGTCCGACCCCATTTTTCTTCTATACAAGACCCTGAGTGTAGTTTTAACCTGGGGACAATGGAGACTTGCCTGCCCCCGGCCTAGGAGGTCCTAAGGATTCATAGTTCCTCTCCTTGTCCAAGAATCTAGGGATGCAGACACCTTCCTGAACTGACCTTACACATGGGAACTGTTGTCTTCCTTCAGCCTTTTAGCTTATTCTAAGTTATTTTGAGAGGCAACTAATTGAATCTGAATTTGTCTGTTGTTGAGGTCACACCCTCTGTTCTAGAATTGAGAGAGTGACTGTTTCTCAATTTCCTGTCATGCAAGGTGTATTCCCCTCGCTCTCCTCGTGCCAATATTCTGCATCAGGCTGCAGGATCTCAGACAGGACATGAGCAGGGGTGCAGCTGCTGGAGGTGACTCTGAACCTGAGCCTGTTCTTCCTAGAGGCACAGTCTGATTTTGTGCAGAGCAAGATGCTGACAGGAGCCAGGGGCTTCATGCTGGGGCTCATCATCTGTGGAGTGGACATCTTCACGCACAGAAGGAGCAAGAAAGGTGAGAAATCCTGTGAGGTGACCGATACCCACCTTTCTCCTGACTTGCTCACCCTTCTTCCATGATGAGGGGCTGAGACAAAAAAGCAATGCCAGAGAGCTTGCTGAAATCACATAGTCAGGAAACAAAGACAGCTTCTAAGGAGAGAGGAATCCCAGCCTGGCATCTTAATGCAGCCAGATGCATAAGGTCGCAGTTACTCAGGCTCCTGCAGAGCGTCCATTGAGTGATGGGCAATGGAAGTGTGATGGAAACATTTCTCTAATTGTCTGAGGTGGTTTCAGTAGCTGAATACATTCTCTTTCTTCCTTTCATTTCAGTTCAACAAGGATCTGCATAAACAGGCAATATTCCTGCTTTGATTTCCTTGTTGGGGGAGTTACAGGAGGACATAAGTCCTTTCTGTACATTGTGACACTGAGCTCCTCTAGGAAGAGAGTCTCAGGCCTGAACCCCTGTTTCAACCTCAGCCCTGGGGTGAGTGGGGAAAGAGCATTGCATGGCTCCATTGCTAAAGGAAGCTCAGATCAACTCTGTTCTTTATCAGCCTGAGATTCAGCCTCTCACCGTTGTTTTTCTCTCCTGGGTCTTAAAGGAAGGGGGCCAGCAACCTGGGATTACTGTTTTTACCTCCACAGGGTTCCTGACCTTGCCTAAAAGACTAATGTACCTTGGAACAAGCATTTTCTGTTTCTTTAGTCCCAGTATCTGCTTCGAGGACAGACCCCCAGCCTCCCAAGAGGATGCTGCTGCTGAGTAGTTGCACTGAAGCCAGTTTCTATGATTCTGTTCCTGGATTCAATGCATGATTTCTCTCATGGGGCCTCCAACCAAGTTCCTTTCTCCTTAGTGCCATGAATAATCAAAACCCAACATGATTGTTTTCTGTTAAGAATATATACCAAGTCATGTCTCATCACTTTTTTTTCTTGAGGGTTTTGGCAAACAGTAAGAGTTAATAAAGAAGTTCATTGTGGTTTAGACATAAGAAAGAAGAAAACCATGAAAATCCATCCAAACTATTGTATAAGGTGGCCCGTTGGACATAGACCTCTCCTGGATTTACTATATTTCAGTGAGCTGCCCCATCATCATGTTTGGTGTCTTCATCCATTTAGGTCTGAAACCACTATTCTTAGCTATTCAGTGGTGAACAGACTGCAAATCTGTGTTATAGGGCCCATATTAACATAGCACTGATTCAACATATAACTTACTAAGAGCATGTTTTAGCATTACTGTTAAGAAATTAAATAAGCATCAGAATTTAAAACAATAAATATAATCTAACACACTTTCAACACTTTCTTTGCATGCCATCACAAATACTCCTTAACCAAATGTTGCTTGGCCTTTTGAATGCATCAAGTAGACGACATTTATCCTCTAAGTCTGCATTCATTCACCAGCCTAGACCTCCTGAGCTAATAATTCATACAGAGAGAAACGCCTCCCCATTGTTGAAAGTGCAAAGCAATAGGTGTGGCACTCTTTCAAACACTGATCTTTTTTTTACAATCCAAAATTGTTATGTGTTTTGCATTTCATATTAAGTTACTGTAAATCAAGGTAGAAGACATGTTTGGTCTAAGCTTTCCTTTTCGTGTAGAGGATGGATTCTTAACTCCTGATACACATAATGAGCACTCAGTGGCTCTCTGATACATCCAGTTGTTGGCTTCCTTCTCCCTGACTTCTCACAAGCAGCTTCTGGGCCTTGTGTGCCCCTGGGCACCTATCCCTGGTCAGTTTCCCAGAGCTACCCATGTTCCTCTCACTATCCAATCAGAGTCATCTCCTTCCATTTTTGTCCCCTGGACACATGCTGTAGGTGTCAGCAGTACCCAGAGTGGAGTAAACAATCTCCAGACTAACTCTTGCAGGATGCAAAACTGAGGTATCTGCACCCATAATGCACCTGTATCCTACAATTACAAGTCCAGGATATGCATTCCTAGGAAACTGAGAATATAAGGAGTCACAGAAAGGCATCAGATGTGTCTAGCTCTGACATACACAGGTATTTATTGAACTCTGGGATTTCTTAGGAAAAATGCAGTGCAGAGAAAGGTTCCTGATGAGACCACAGCATACAGACCATCCAGTGTGGGCACCACCTTGTCACTACACTTTAAATTCTTCATATTGATTGAGGGCTATCTAAATGTCAGACCCTTTGCTGAGTGCTAGGTGCAGGAGGATCATAGGCAGCCAGGAGGTAGAGGGGTCTTGGGGTACATAAGTCATTGTGGTTGAAGAGCAGAGATTCAAAAAAAAGTTAGGCCTGGAGATTTAAAGGAGACCAAAGCTGGTGACTTCCTTATGTCAACTTCTGACTGAGAAAGTTTGACACCTGGAGTAGAATAAACACAGTGGGGTTAGGACTGCCAGCTTAGTGTTTTGTCCCCCATCCCTTTCCATCCCTGGTCCCTTCATTTTCTGCCCCTCACAGTGTGAATAAACTGTCACAGATGCCAGACCATCTCCTTCTTGTCCAGGTGCACAAATAACTGCTCATCTTCATCAGATTCAAACATATACTCCCCAGAGGGTCTGTGTGTCTGCACAAACTCTGCATACGTTGACACATGGTCTGCTGCTTGAAAGGGAAGAAGACTGCAGAATGAGGAACACATAGGAAAGTACACAGAATACAAGAAGCAAGCAGGTAATGGGAAAGTTTTTAAGAATGCAAGGGAATAACACAGAAAATGAGAAATGCAAAAATGAATGAAAAGAAAAGGAATGGGGATAAACAATGATAGAAATGACTCATAGAAGATTTCAGTTGTTTCCCTGGTCTCTGAAGACTTACACAACCCTCACATCATTCCAATAATGATAACACTGAACACAATCAGAAAATATTCACTGAACATGTACCATGTGCTCAACTTATTCATTGAATCCTCACACTTCCACGTAGAAGTGTTCAAAGAAGGCCGGGCGCAGTGGCTCACGCCTGTAATCAGCCGGGCATGGTGGCAGGTGCCTGTAGTCCCAGCTACTCAGGATGCTGAGGCAGGAGAATGGCGTGAACCCGGGAGGTGGAACTTGCAGTGAGCCGAGATCGCGCCACTGCACTCCAGTCTGGGAGATAGAGCGAGACTCCTTCCCAAAAAAAAAAAAGTGTTCAAAGAAAAACTTCTGGCCAGGCACGGTGGCTCATGCCTGTAATCCCAGCACTTTGGGAGGCCGAGGCAGGTGGTTCACTTGAGGTCAGGAATTCAAGATCAGCCTGGCCAACATGGTGAAACCCCTTTGTCTCTACTAAACCTCTTTGTCTCTACTAAAGATACAAAAATTAGCCAGGCATGCTGTCTGTAGTCCCAGCTACTTGGGAGGCTGAGTCAGGAGACTCACTTGAACCGGGAGGAGGAGGTTACAGTGGGCTGAGATTGCGCCACTGCACTCCAGACTGGGTGACGGAGTGAGACTCTGTCTCGAAAAAAAAAACAGAAAAAAGAAAAAAAGAAAACTTCAGCTGAATTCAATTTAAAAGAGTCAAATTGAGCAATGAACGATTCGTGAATCAGGCAGCCTCCCGAGGCAGAGTAGGCTCAGAGACTCCATTGCAGGCATGTGGTGGAAGATTTATGGACAGAAAAAGGAAAGTGACATACAGAAAACAGAAGTGAGGTACAGAAACACCCAATTGGTTACGGCTGGGTGTATCCTTATTTGAACACAGTTTGAACAGTTGGCTACATATGATTGGCCGAAACTTGGTGATTGACACAAGTGTAGGCTGTTTACACCTCCACTTGTTATAGTTCACGATGTACAGAGAAACCTTTAGGCCAAACTTAAAATATGTAAGGAGGCAGCTTTAGGCTAAACTTGATTTAACAATTTTCCTCTTTTGGTAATCTTCTCAATTTTTAGAGATTTACCAAAACTTTAGTCATCGATGCCACTATCACCATTGTAAATGTACTTATTTGGTCTTGAAACCCCCTGGGAAATAGCAGAACAATGAGTTTTGTAAGGGGGAACAAGGATTTCAGGTTATTTTATTTTATTTTAATTTTATTTTTGTAAGGGTTAGATTACAGGGTACCTCCTTTTGTTGGAACATTCTGTTTATAGGAGAAAAAAACAAAACCTGGTCTGTTTTAGGATCTATGTGTTTCCTTAAAGTCTTAGTTTAATCATGTCACATTTAGCACAAGTGACTCCATTTTGGTTTGGTCTGGTCTGTTGGGGCTTAGTGCATTTAGCCTTTCATTAAAGTCCAAAACAATGGCCTCCCATGATTTTGTTTAAAAATGTCCCCTTTTTGGTCAGGTTCTCACTTAGGTGAGAATGTGACCAAAGCTTAGGGCCTTAGCGCCACTCTCAGTTACCATCATTTTGGGTTTCCAGTCTCAACACATCATTCATAGGTTAAAATGCCATCATGGTCACACATTTCTTTCAATCTTGTCATTCTAGTTGAAGAGAGACAATTTGACATTCTAGAGATGGCTGCATGCAAACATTTAAAACTTTCGAGAGAATACAGTGCACCAGGTAGACTACTATTATGACTATCAGGAGGATAATACCAAGAGTTTGGAGTATGCGCCTTACACAGGGTCCCCATAAACCAAACCACCCAAAATTAAATAGATCAAAGAATGAGCTAAATAAAGAGTTTACTCATTTAAGCAGTCTCTTCATTAATTACCTACAACTGAATCTCTGTACACCTGACGTGATGTATTTCTCCATAGGCCACAAGTGCCAGCAGCTGCACAGATACTTCTCTGTTTAACCAGTAAGTAATCTACAGCAATCCTACTATTAAGCATAACTTTCACAAAAGAATGTAAAATCTGTTGTGTAACCATCGCCCTTACAGTAGACTCTGTTTAGAGCCTATCATGAGGGATACATTTCTAATCATTGCCTGTTTTACTCCAAATCATGGTAAAAAGGACCTAAGGAAAAATGCCCTTCTAGAAGACTGAAGGCCTCCTGGCAATGTTCTCTTTAACCCATGATGTGGAATAGGGGAGTGAATCAATGTTCTGTTTCTGACTGATTATGAGGCAACCTATGTACCATTAAAATTTCTCACCTACACTGGGCCTTCATCTTTCATCTGTCAAGGTGTGAGGTTATCCATGTATAAGGCTGGCTGCAAAACCCTTCACCAATAAAAGTATACCTACCCCATAAGTGCACACAACAGACCCCCTTTTCACTTCTACTGTTCATAGAGGCATAAGCAAGGGAAAAAATACTCAGAGATAAGAGCCTCCATATAGCAGAGAAGTCTTGATCTGTGATCTTGGTGAAAGCTGTTCACATCAAGGATACCATCTTCTTCTGGGAAGAAACTTCCCTGGTTAGCTTTACCTTACGGGTTCCAATGGGTGTATATTTCCAAGAATGTGGAGGGATCCTTCTCAGTTGTGAGATCATGAAGCCAAAGTTCACGGTTCTGATGTTTACTGCAGTGTGGATGGCAAGGGCAGTCTTTCTCTGATGTTCTCAGAAGATCCAGTCTTCAGGTTCTAGATTGTGAAGGGGTTGATTGTCCTCAGTCAGTGAACCATAAAAAGCTTTCTTTACCTGGTGAAAATACACTGTGAAATAATAATCTACTGTTATAACATCAGTTCACTTGTATAGGAAAGCTTTTACACAACCAGAAAACATGCATTGAAAATGACAATTGACTGAAATCTCTTCATAAATGTTTAAATGGCTCATGAGGTAGCAGAATGTACCTGAAGCTTTGATTGTCTTCCCAGGAATATGGGTTTGGCAAACCAAACATTGGTCATAAACTATTTTAGCAATTTAGAAGTCACCACACCAATATGCATTTAACTTGGATCATTTTATCTTTTCCATGATGAGTCATGGAATGCAGAACTTTAAATTATAAAAGCTTTAAAAGCTCAGGAAGGATAAGGCAGCCACCTTGGTTCTCCATGAGTCCATGCTTGACACGGTTGTTTCTCCAATTGAGGTGCATAGCACTGATAACTGATGGGTTATCATAGGTAATTTGAGTTAGACCACAGAGTTTATTCAAATTGTGTATCTAAACAATTTCAGTATTGGGTGATTTAGCATGAAAGACTTGCAAAGTATTTTCTTGGTATTCAATTAATTTGTGTTCTACTTGGGATGGCAGTTTTATAAACCAGTCAGTCTTTTAAGCTCCAGGAAGCAGGAGAATGGCGTGAACCTGGGAGGCGGAGCTTGCAGTGAGCCAAGATCGTGCCACTGCACTCCAGCCTGGGTGACAGAGTGAGACTCCGTCTCAAAAAAAAAAAAAAAAGCTCCAGGAATTCTTACCCAGTAAAAATGATATGATTCTAAAGTTATCAGAAACCTGTAATCAAGAATACTTTTTGGGGTCCTTTCCATCCTTTCAGGAACCTCCTAAAAGACACCATATTCTAGAATTGTGCCTACTTGTGAAGTTTTCAGAAATTGCACCAGCATTAAGCAATTAACTGTGGAAATGACCTTCCTTCCTTCCCTCCTTCCTTCCTTCCTTCCTTCCACTCTCTCTCTCTCTTTCTTTCTTTCCTTTATTTTGAGACAGAGTATCACTCTGTCACCCATGTTGGAGTGCAGTGGTGCAATCTCGGCTCACTGCAACTCCGCCTTCCAGGCTCAAGCAATTCTCATGCCTCAGACTCTCCAGTAGCTGGAACTGCAGGTGTGCAGCACTGCACCAGGCTAATTTTTGTATTTTTAGTAGAGACTGGGTTTCACCCTGTTGGCCATCCCCAAAAGGATATTTAGCCTTAGATTTTGAGAGGGATCTATCTGCTTTTGATTCCTGGTGTTTCAGGAGGAAAACCGAGTTATATCCCAAAGCAGGATCGTAGTGCCTCCTCTGTTTTTCCCAAGGAGTCCCAGGCTGTTAGAAGTTACCTTAGGTCCTCTCATGTGTGCAACAAAAGTGGCAAGAAGACAAAATGGAGAAAAACAATTCAGTTGGCTAAAAAGAAAAAAATAATTAAAAAAAAACAAAGATCCAAGAAGAGAAAAAACCAAAAGGCCCTTTAAATATACCTATAGCTTGGATATCCACTTTTAATTAAGCTGACTTTTAACTATAGCGCTCTTTCTAAAAAAAAAAAAAAATTATTTGGTTGTTTTTAGAGACAGAGTCTTGCTCTCTTGCCCAGGCTGGAGTGCAGTGGTTCAATCTCAGCTCACTGTAACCTCCGCCTCCCAGGTTAAAGCGATTATCCTGCCTCAGCCTCCTGAATAGGTGGGACTACCAGTGCGAGCCACCACATCCAGCTAATTTTTGTATTTTTAGTAGAGACAGGGTTTCTCCATGTTGGTCAGGCTGGTCTCGAACTCCTGACTTCAGGTGATCCATCCTCCTTGGCCTCCCAAAGCGCTGGGATTGCAGGCATGGACCACTGCGCCCAGCCTAAAATA
Organism: Homo sapiens; assembly: GCF_000001405.40. Taxonomy (NCBI): domain Eukaryota; kingdom Metazoa; phylum Chordata; class Mammalia; order Primates; family Hominidae; genus Homo; species Homo sapiens. The sequence continues at coordinate 4,547,605 of NT_113891.3, forward strand.
ATCATTTTAAATCTCTCATTACTTGACTTTAGCCAGGCCAAACAGCCAATATGTCTGGCTTTTGAACTTTACCAAAGGTAATCTCCCAGGTGAAACCAATAAGCTTTAACAAGGTTATGACTTAACCACAAGTGTACGAAGTATTTTCAAAAAGGTAGCAAGCAATTTTTACAAACTCTAGAATTTCCAAACGTAGCTCAGAGAAAGGAAAATTCAAGACGAGAGTCAGAAGTTGTTCATGAGGGGAAGAGAATCAGCAAATAGCAAAGATCAGAAAGATATCAAACCAAACAGGTCTCATTCCCTGAGCTGGAATTGAACCCTGCCTGGCTGCCATCATAAGATGGCAAAGCTTAGCCACTAAGCTACACCGTTGGTGGTTTCCATTGTTCCTCCCAGAAGGAGGAGCCTAAGAGCAGCCAATTTTCAGCTTGCAAAGGCTTTTAACTGCTCAAGATAATTTTTAGAGCTAACTATGACATGAACTCCAAAATTCCTGTCCTCCAGAGGGTGGAGACCAAAAGAAAGTACCATCATGTGATTATAAGGTCAAGCTCCCAATGACATAAAACAAGATGACAGGGAAACCTTATCCAGTGTTTTTTTGTTTCAGGGACCTGCAGTTTGTAACTGACCAGTTTGCCAGGCTGGCTTGAACAGCAGACTTCTGAGAGTCCTAGGCCCACATTTTATCCTATTTAACCCCTTTTATGACCAAATGACACAGAAAGACCAATTTATAGCACAAAGCACACCAGATTTGCTACAGCTTAAGATTGGCTCACAAATACCTTTTTTTTTTTTTTTTTTTTTTTTTTTTTTTTTTTGAGACGGAGTCTCGCTGTCGCCCAGGCTGGAGTGCAGTGGCGCGATCTCGGCTCACTGCAGACTACGCCCCCGGGGTTCACGCCATTCTCCTGCCTCAGCCTCCCGAGTAGCTGGGACTACAGGCGCCTGCCACCTCGCCCGGCTAATTTTTTGTATTTTTAGTAGAGACTGGGTTTCACTGTGTTAGCCAGGTTGGTCTTGATCTCCTGACCTCGTGATCCACCCGCCTCGGCCACCCAAAGTGCTGGGATTACAGGCGTGAGCCACCGCACCCAGCCTCACAAATCCTTTTTATCATTAATTAAAATTTTGCAGAGGAGACAGTGATTTTTACTACTCCTACAACCGTTTCCACACAGAGAGAGAGGCCAGAAGTCTGACTGCTAAGAAATTCTTACCCTTTTGCCAGCATGCCAGGCTTCTGGGTTCCCTCTTTCTGAGTGGCCCTAGCGACCCTGTTAGCTGCACATAGCCTGGGGGCCAAGACACAACACAAAGGAAAATCATCTTTTCTGATTTCAGGGAACCATAGGCAAAAGCCTCTCAATTTTGTAAGATGCTGCCCGAGAGATTGCATGAGGGAACTGAATTAACATTTTCCCTTCCAGCCACACCAAAATACATGTGACAAAACATAGACATTAGCCACTCTGCTTAGTGCCCAATATTGAACTGGTAAGGCTTAAACTTGCCCCTGGTGGGGCTCTGCTATCTTTAATCTATTCAAAGTGGGGTGGAATGACCTCCAGCCAGAAGTTTCAACATGTGATCTCTAGACAAGATATAATAGAAAGCTGGAAAAAGGAGGCCGGGCGTGGTGGCTCACGCCTGTAATCCCAGCACTTTGGGAGGCCGAGGTGGGCAGATCACGAGGTCAGGAGATCGAGACCATTCTGGCTAAGACGGTGAAACTCCGTCTCTACTAAAAATACAAAAAAAAAAAAAAAAATTAGCCAGGCGTGGTGGCGGGCGCCTGTGGTCCCAGCTACTCCGGAGGCTGAGGCAGGAGAATGGCGTGACCCTCGGAGGCGGAGCTTGCAGTGAGCCGAGATCGCACCACTGCACTCCAGGCTGGGTGACATAGCAAGACTCCGTTTCCAAAAAAAAAAAGAAAGAAAGAAAGATAGAAAAAGGAAAGAAGAGAAAGGGAGAAAGAAAAGCATTGTCTGCAGCAGGGTGGGGAAGGCAAAGAGTTCAGGGAGGACAGAGAAGGACCCACCTATTGCAGTGACACTAAATTAAAAGTTCAGGGCCAGGTGCGGTGGCTCATGCCTATAATCACAGCACTTGGGGAGGCCAAGGTGGGCGGATCACCTGAAGTCAGGAGTTCGAGACCAGCCTGACCAACATGGTGAAACCCTGTCTCTACTAAATACAAAAAATTAGCCGGGCATGGTGGTGGGCGCCCGTAATCCCAGCTATTCGGGAGGCTGAAGCAGAAGAATCACTTGAACCCAGGAGGCGGAGGTTGCAGTGAGCTGAGATTGTGCCACCGCACTCCAGCCTGGGAGACAGAGTGAGACTCCCTTTCAAAAAAAAAAAAAAGTTCAGGCAGCTGCTTGTCAGTCATGAAGGATCTTTTCCAGCCGTCTCATCAGCTCTCAAGTTTCCCGCTTTGGGGAGAAAAAAGTTCCCCATGTCCCATGATCCTGTACATACCTAATCCTGTCACACACAGCCATCAGCAAAAAGCGCAAGGCAGATTTAATTTTTTAAATCAATTAGTTGTTTAAGCTTTTTAATTCTTTTTTGTAAAGTCTTTAAATGCAAATATTGAAATTTTTTAGAAGCTTCTGCATATCAATAGGCATCCCTACATGAGACTGTACATGAGACTAATTTGGGAGCCCTCATTTTCAAATGCACTTCAGTGCAGTGTTGTTCTTTTGGAATGTTCTACTGCAAGTTATCTTTAGTAAAAAAAAAAAAAAATTTTTTATTTGAGACACAGTCTCTGTCACCCAGGCTGGAGTGCAGTATTATGATCTCAGCTCATGGCAGCCTCCACCTCCTGGGTTCAAGTGATTCTTGTGCCTCAGCCTCCCGAGTAGCTGGAATTACAGGCACATGCCACCGTGCCTGGCTAATTTTTTTTTTAATTTTTAGTACAGACAGGGTTTCACAGTGTTGGCCAGCCTGGTCTCAAACTCCTAGCCTCAAGCAATCTACCCACCTTGGCCTCCCAAAGTGCTGGGATTACAGGTGTGAGCCACCACGCCTGGACAATTTCTGTAAGACGTTGCTCCTTCCAGGGCCTAATACTTATGCATGTATAATCCAGAAGGAACTCAGTTCTTCAGAAATTCAGTATCACATTTTTTACCTCAAATACTGGCTTTGCTCTCAGGTCCCTTGTTCAACTTAGCCAATGATTTTTTTTCCTACCTAAGTGCACAAGAAAAATAAAGGAGTAGAACACAAAAATCTCTGTGAATTTCCAAAAGCCAAATTTTACACCTTTGCAATATTGCCATTTAATACTGGTTTCTTTCTGATCCAGTTAGATGTAAGAGGTCTCTAACCGGATCCAAGCCAGTTAATTACTGGAGCCAATCCGATCCTGGACTCAGTTCAATTTCTTTCGCGACTTTCAAACCCAATCAGGATCAGAAATTTACTCAAAGAAACTCAGAGAGCTCAACACACAAATCTGTGGAGCTTCGGAATCTGCAAGAGAACTTACCACGATCCCCAGCTGCTCCGAGAGAGAAAGAGACACAATGCCTGGAGGGTACCTCGCTAGGTCACTCAGCGCTTCTGGGGGTCATTAGAAGCTCTACTTCCAACCCCACTTCTGACACCACCTGATAAAAGAAAAACTTCAGCCGAATAAATTTTAAATGAGGTTAATTGCACAATAAACAATTCACAAATCGGGCAGCCTCCCAAGCCAGAGTATGCTCAAAGTCTCCAGCACAGCTGCGTGGTGGAAGAAAGTTTATGGACAGAAAAAGAAAAGTAACATACAGAAAACAGAAGTGAGGTACAGAAACAGCCAGATTGGTTACAGCTCAATGTTTGCCTAACTTGAACACAGTTCAAACAGTTAGCTACATATGATTGGCCAAAACTCAGTGATTGGCACAAGTGTAGGCTGTGGTCTGTTTACACCTCCACTTGTTATAGTTCATGATGTACAGAGAAACCTTTAGGCCAAACTTAAAATATGTAAGGAGGCAACTTTAGGCTAAACTTGATTTAACAGAGGAAATTATTTTACATATTGGGGAACTGACCACAGAAGTAAAGTAACTCACCCAAGTCACACAACTCCTGGTAGAAACAAAATTGCGTAGTCCCCCTACCCCATTCGCATAGGATCTCAGAACCCCTACAGGACCAGACATAAAAAATACTGATATAGCCACAGAGAAAGGCAGGGAAGTAGGGAGATGAAATAAAAATCTTTCAGGGAAAAAAATAATGAAGGACATGAAAAGACCTCCAGAGTCTTAGTGCTATTTATAGACTTCAAGTTATGTTCTTACTTTTAGAATAAAAATGGTACCTTATATAATTTTATCAAAACACTTTCATTTTAAGGCATAGTAAATTTAAAAGTGTTGTCATGCGCATAACATTCACAAAATGTTCTTGTTGAATGTATATTTTCAAGTGTAGTTCTACCTGGAAATAAAAGTTGTTGCATTTGAAACACCTATGGGATAGTATCTTAGCTTTACCTGATGTATAAGACGCAGCAAAAGGTTGACAACAAAAAAGTCTATTACTATTACAGTAAAAGAATAAAGATGAGAGAGCATGGAGTCCAGCCTGGAAGAGGAAGTGAGGCGAAATGACACTGCATGGTTGTTGGTCCTAAGCAAGGATTTCCCCTCCAAGCCCAACACGGGGAAAACCAGTCCTCTCCTTGGATGCGTCAAGTGACGGCAAGTTCAGTGTCACACACGGATGTTGAGGGTCCTCCACTGAGTTTATGGGCTAGAGAATTACTCACCTACAGAAACGAAGCCCAAAGAAAAAACAGATGAAAAACATGATATACAAGCTGTGCTACAGAGATGTCGTTTGTTCACCTTAGGTTACTTTGTTTTTATTATATTCACAAAGCCTAAAACTAAAGGTCCGTGCATTTTAAAGCAAATTCCACCTTCAAATGTAAATTTTCATTCTGTTAAATAAACACTCATTGTGAATTTTCACTCTTTAGGCACTAAGGATGTAACTCAGAAGACCTGGGCCTTGTCCTCAAGCTGCTTGAAATCCAAAATCCAAAGAGACAAAGAAAAGAAGATTGCTACATGTGTATTTTATTTTGTGTTTTTTAATCTTTTATTTCCATAGGTTATTTTGATCACCACTGAGTACCATAAGATATACACTGGAGCCACTCAGGAGCATAAAGAGGGCATTTTTGAAAAATGAGATTTAGGAAAGGTTCCTAGGGATAGTGTTTACCTGAGGTTAGCAAAACAGAGAAAGGGGAAATGACATGTCCAGCAGGAGAAGCAGGCTCAGGAGCAGAGAGGCATGAAGTTGCAAGGAGAACTGCAATTCTTCAGTGTGACTGAAGCCAGGGGAGATGTGCGCCGGGCGGCACTGTAACCTGCCTTGTGTGCTGATGGCAGGTGTTTGCATTTTATCCCACAGGACATAGGAAGTTGTGAAGCATCTTAAGCAGGACAGTAACATGATGAGATTTGTGTTTGCAGGGGGCAGCAGTAGGGAGGATGGGTTGGAGGAGGCTGGTTTGAAAGCAAGACCAATAGGACTCTTCAGCCATCAGATGGGAAGTCATGAGGGTGTAGGCAGGGGCAGGAACATGGGGTGAGGCGGACAGCGGATGGGTTTGAATGGCAATAATGAAATGAAAAGCCACAGGAATCACTAAATCATGTGCCAGAAGTAGGGATATGAAGGAGTCCAGAATACCCAACGTGGAGAACTGGGGCATCAGTGACTGCAAAGGTGATGAAAAATGAAATAATCGGGAGAAGGTAAGATGTTCTGTTTGGAACATGCTTAGTTTGAATTTCTGTGGGAACAAATGGAGTTAATCCGAGGATAGTGAGCTAAATGGATGGGTCCCAGGCTACGCTAGGTTAGTGACACAGACTGGAAGGAAGTTCATTATAAGTGAAGTTCTAAATTTGGATCGGGTCACTCAAGAAAAGTACATAAAGTCAGAATAGCAAGGGTCTGAGTGTGTGCTCCTGCATCCAGACAAACACAGACATGAAAAAAGAGGCTGAAAAGGAGAAGACTAGAAAGTAGGAGGAAAACAAAGAGGAAGTGGGTTCATAAAAGACAACAGACAGGAGAAAACAACCAGGAAAGAGGAGCGGACGCATCACAAACACACTCATGACACACAAGAGATAGAGACAGAGAAGTGATCACTGGTTTGGGTTGTATAAAGGTCACCCTGAGAGCAGCATCAGAGACATGGGGAAGAAAAAGGGAGAATGCAGTGGGTTGAAGACTGAATGAAATGAGAGAGAGTCACTAACGGGCTGGGTGTGGTGACCCACACCTGTAATCTTAGTGCTGTGAGAGGCTGAACAGGAGGATCACTTGAGGCCAGGAGTTTGAGACCAGCCTAGGAAATACAGTGAGACTCCATCTCTAAGGGGAAAAATATATATATATATCTATATATATAATTATCCAGGTGTAGTGACAGACACCTGTAGTCCCAGTTACCCAGGAGGCTGAGGTGTGAGGATCCCTTGAGCCTGGGAGTTCAAGGTTGCAGTGAACTGTGATCACGTGATTGCACTCCAGCCTGGGCAACAGAGCAGGACCCTGTCAAGAGAGAGAGAGAGGAGAGAGAGAGAGAAAAGAAGAAGAAGAAGAAAAAAAAGAAGAAGAAGAGGAGGAGGAGGAGGGAGAAAAGGAAGGAAGGAAGGAAGGAAAAAACCCCACATTGCAGACTCCTATTTGAGGAAGCTGACCTCTACAATCTACGAGAGAATCTCCAGAGGAGGTTGCCAAGCCCTGGCTCTTCTTTCTTCAGCGAGAGGACGTGGGGGAAAGGAGACATTTATGAATCTCTTTGAGTCTCAGTCTTTTCATTTCTAAAATTGTGTTAATAAAAGCCTTTCTGAAAATGGTGTTGTGAGGAAGGACATGAGGTTTGGCACTTAGGAGGTGTTCAGTAAATGGTGGTTATTATTGTTAGAATGAGAGAAAGCAAAAGAGAGCCTCAGGCAAAACAGTAAAGAACAGAGAAAAGAGAACAGGAAAGGAAACAGCATCTGTGGGCTCCAGAAGCGCCCAGAGCCCCCACCCTCCCTCGCCCACCTGCGCACTCACCCCTGATGGCCCAGGTTCCGAGAGGCTCAGCAGGGCAGCCAGGGCCATGGCTCGCAGGAGGATCCTGGCTCTGCGCTGGCTCCTTCAGTCTTCAGGGTGTATTGCAATGGCCACTGTGCGCCAGACCCCAAGGAGAAAATGAGGCAGCGCAGGGACGGAGGAGCTCCGAATCCAGCACTCCTTTCCCTACCCCTGTCCAGGGAGAAAGGCTGGAGATGAAACAGCCTGATGGGGCTCAACCAACCAGAATACATCAGAAGGGACGCGTCTGTGGCTGGGGAAGGAAGATGCTAGAGCTGCTGGGAGGAAGTGGGAGAATTGTCAGGCACCAGCATGGCCCAGGAAGTCCCTGACTACTGCAGAGTGTAGGGGTAAGTGAAGAAAACGAAAATTAGGACATCATAATCGCCTTCTTCTTAATGAGGAAATACATTACACAAGTTGGGATTTTTTATTTGTAGTTACTTCTGTGAATGGATGATATTTCTTCACAATTTTACATTGATTCTTTGCATCATAAAGGAATTAATTTGTTACCATTTGATATTATATTGACTCTTTTATAGCTATGATAATTTTGGAGAAAATCTTTGATGTTTTCAAACATATAAGGAGAAGGAAATAATATTTAATTATTTAATTAGTAATTATTATTTTATTTCTTCTTCATATAAAAATGTGGTGAGGCTGGGCGCACAGCTGAATGAAATTTAAAAGAGTCAGCTGGGCACGGTGGCTCATGCCTGTAATCCTAGCACTTTGGGAGGCTGAGGCGGGTGGATCATCTGAGGTCAGTAGTTAGAGACCAGCCTGGCCAACATGGTGAAACCCCATCTCTACTAAAAATACAAAAATTAGCTGGGCATGGTGGCACGTGCCTGTAATCCCAGATACTCGGGGGGGCTGAGGCAGGAGAATTACTTGAACCCAGGAGGTGGAGGTTGCAGTGAGCCAAGATCACACCATTGCAGTCCAGCCTGGGCAACAAGAGCAAAACTCCGTCTCAAAAAAAAAAAAAAAAAAAGAATGTGGTGATACAAAGAACCCCACTTTAAATTTTATGTTTAAGAACAATTTCTTTTTCTCCTTTATTTTCTGTGTGTGTGTGTGTGTGTGTGTGTGTGTGTGAGAGAGAGAGAGAGAGAGAGAGAGAGAGAGAGAAAGACAGACAGGGTCTCATTCTGTTAACCAGGCTGGAGTGCAGTAGTACGATCTCAGTTCACCGTAGCCTGCACCTCCTGGGCTCAAACAATGCTGCCACTCAGCCTGCCCAGTAGCTGGCACCACAGGCACATGCCACCATGTGCCTGCATGTTAATTCATGTACTTCCTCTTTCCCAAGTTCTCTAGTTTATAGCATGTCCTTTCCTGAGGAACATAAATCACATGTTATTGTCTGCCTTTCATCCTGAGAGGAAGGAGATAATCACATGGCCATTTTATGCTTGAAGGATTTGGTGATCACTGGGTCCAATGAAGAGCCTCAGGATGAGTCAGTGTGGTTTTACCCAGGCATGGAGAAATTAACTTCTTGATGATGATCAAGTCTCCTTATTAAATAGGAGTGCAACTGATAGAGGATTTTCTTACATTTGCTTTATTTCATGTTGCTGCCCAAATTCATGCTGTACCCTCAGCAGCAAGGATTGGGACCATTACTCCTGGCGTTCCCAGATGGAACAGACACCAAGCCTGGCTTTGCCACTGAACACAATACAGGACTGATAAAGGTCAGTTCTTAGGAATATGCTTCCCAAATGTAGAAATCAACATAAGATCCCAATTTTAAATAATAGGTATAATAGCATAATATATTATTTTATTTTATTTATTTAGAGATGGAGTCTCACTCTATCACCCAGGCTGAAATGCAATGGCATGATCTCAGCTTACTACAACCTCTGCCTCCAGGGTTCAGGTGATCCTCCCATCTCAGTCTCTAAAGTACCTGAGAGCTAATTTTTTGTTTTTGGTAGAGATGAGGTTTTACCATGTTGGCCAGGCTGGTCTTGGACTCCTGAGCTCAAGTAATCCACCCACCTCAGCCTCCCAAAATGCTGGCATTGCAGAAGTGAGCCACCATGCCCAGCCGCATAATACATTATCATTCTCTTTATATATAATTTGTACTAAGTTATAGATACACACTTATTCCATAACTCTATGTTCACCAGATCACCTCTTGCAGGTTGTACAGTGAAAATACATCCTTAGTTTCAAAAGATGTGTGTATACCAGATTTTTCAGACATACGCTTGGTTTTAGAATACAGTTTACTATGATTTTTGTAATTCATCTTAATTGATGTTTAATACCGAGAGAGAAGTCATATTGTCTCCAGTCATTTCATGTTATGATGTGCCACTAAGTCCAAATTTTATATAATAGTAATCAGGAGGCCGGGCACAGTGGCTCACGCCTGTAATCCCAGCACTTTGGGAGGCCAAGGCAGGCAGATCACCTGAGGTCGGGAGTTCAAGACCAGCCTGACCAATATGGTGAAATCCTGTCTCTACTAAAAATACAAAAATTAGCTGGGTGTGGTGGTGGGCACCTGTAATCCCAACTACTTGGGAGGCTGAGGCAGGAGAATCGCTTGAACCCAGGAGGCGGAGGTTGCAGTGAGCTGAGACCACACCATTGCACTCCAGCCTGGGCAACAAGAGCGAAACTCCATCCCCCACTCCCCAAAAAAAAAAAAAAGTTATCAGGAAAACTTATAGTTGCTACAATATTATTAGATTAATACGAATTTTCAAAAATGGCAGAGCCTTAACCAAGCTTAAAGAGTTTTTCTTTCTTAACTGAACTTCTTGGATGTGACTACATGAAATTTTGATGAAATATGGTCATAAATTATGATGACAAGTTAGTTTTGGGGGATTTTATATATTACCAGATACCAATGCCAGAGGAAGAGCTATGTTAGGGGTCCTCAGAGCCACCCCAGGTGAGATGATGCCCTAGGAGGACTCACAGGGCTCATCATATGGTCCTACTCAGGGCTCTGATTCATTACAGTAAAAGGATGCAAAGCAAACTCAGCAGAGGGAAAGGCACACGGGGCAAAGCCTGAGAGAAACCAGGCTCAGGCTTCCAAGGATCCTGTCCCCCTGGAGCCACACAGGACACACTTAATTCCTCCCACAAGGAGCTGGGATGCCATGTGTAAAATATCGTCTACCAGGAAGTTCGTAACAGACCAGCACTAGGGCCTTTGGGGGCTTTGGGGGCCTTTGGGGGCCTTTGGGGGCTGAAGAAGTCAGACTTCTTCAGAGAAACAGAATTTATTGGATATATATAGGTAGATAGATGAGTGGGGATTTATGCTGGGGATTCGCTCCCTCAACTATGGAGGCTGAGGAGTTCCACGTTAGGCCTTCTGCAAGCTGCTGAGACAGGGGAGCCTGTAGCATGGCTCAGTCCAAGTCTGAAGGGCTGAGAACCGGGGGAGCTGGTGGAGTAACTCTGAGTCCAAGACCAAAAACCTGGGGGGCTGCTGGTGCAAGTCCCTGAGTGTGAAGGCCAGAGAACCTGGAGATCTGATGTCCAAGGGGAGGAGAATATAGGACTCCCTACTCCAAAACAGAGAGAGAGTGAATTCACCTTTTTTCTGCCTTTTTGTTCTATCCAGGCCTTCGGCCGACTGAATGGTGCAGTGAGCTGAAATCACACCACTGCACTCCAGCCTGGGCAACAGAGTGAGACTCTGTCTCCAAAAAAAAAAAAAAAAAAGAAAAAGAAAGTCATATATTGGTACAGAAGATACTCTTAAATCCTACTTTTCTGGAAATATTGGTTATTATAGAAGATATAGGACTAAATTCATTTTAAAATTTTTATTTTGAAATTATTATTACAAATGTTTTATGAATCATATTAGCATATAGGCAAGTTTTGGAAAGCCAAATTTACAAACCAGGGATTCAGATGAGTGTTCTGTGAAATTTTTAATTTTTGCAGAACGCCATGAGAAATTACACATTTTCTATTCTATATTTCTTGTAGGAAATAGAGGCTGCCCATCTCTCAGTGCCACACATGAGAAAGGGAAGTTGTCATTTTATATATCCACTGTTAAGCATCTTGGTAAAACAGAAGAAAGCAGGCTGGGCCTGGTGGCTCATGCCTATAATCCCAGCACTTTGGGAGGCCAAGGAGGGCAGATAGCTTGACCAGCATGGGCAACATGGCAAAATCCCGTCTCTACAAAAAAATAAAAAAAACAAAAAATAAATGTAGTCCCAGGTACTGAGGAAGCTGAGGCAGGAGGATCACTTGAGCCTGGGAGGTAAAGGCTTCAGTGAGCCGTGATAATGCCACTGCACTCCAGCCTAGACAGCAGAGTGAGACCCTGTCTCAAGAAAAAGAAAAACAAGAGGGAGGCAATCTACTTTGTACCCAGAGAATTTTACATGCAAGGAATTTGACTATGAATGAGCCTCCATTGCTTAAGAGAGACTTCACTATTTGGGATTTTAAGAAAGAAATACACAAACAAGCAAATCTCATCAGCAGAGGACTGAGAAACCAGTGTTTATAATACCCAGTGATTAATGTAATATTGTCTTCAGTCATCATTAAAAGGGACTTAGTTTAAAAGTCATTTCGATTGATCGCCAACTCAGAGTCCTCAACATTTCACCTTTTGCTTTATGAAAAGAACTAGTAGATTAATTTAGAGTTTGACAAGGAGAAGCAGGTCTCCCTTGATTTTCTGTTTGGCCAAGAATTTATCCTAACATGGTACCATCAGAATACTGTCAGAAAGCTGTGAATCAACTCAGATTTCTCACCATTGAGTCAAGCCGTGAAGCCAGCTGTCTTGGGGGTAAGGATTTCCATACAGAAACACTGTAAGTAAATAATTTAGCACTTGTTTCCTATTCCTTTTTATTGGATAACTACAGAGAATTAAAACTGTGGGTTGTTTTGAATTCACAAAAGAAACGTTTTAAAGCTTTCGAGGAAAAAGCCAGATTATCCATTGCAAAGCATCGAAATTCAAAATCATGTTAAGGCTATAGAGAGATAGGAACCTATCCCCACCTAGTGGCCAACACTGAAATCTGGGCTTAGAACAGGAAACAAGGGAATTTGTCAACAATTTGGGAATACTCCAGCATTCTTTACAAAAAAAAGTTAGAGAAAAAGTTAAGCACACAAAGAAACACAAGTCAAAATAAATACGACCAAATACATAGGTTTTGGCAGCACATAGATTTCTGTGGTTTTGCTCTGCTTTTAGCAGCGGCTGTAAAAAGCATTGCACACTAAGCATTGCTAGACTGCCAAACAAATCTAATTACATTTTTTTGTTTGGTTTTTTGTTTTTTTCAAAACCTCCTAACCTCTGTGACCTAATTATGTTTTTAATGAGTTGAATGTAAAAACAAACTAACATCAACGAATACAAAATTTCAGTTAGACAGGAGGAATAAATTCAAGATATGTACTGTACAACATGGTGACTCTAGTTAATAACAATGTACTGTGTACTTGAATATTGCTAAGTGAATAATTTTAAGTGTTCTCACCCAACACAAAAAATATGTAAGGTAATGCACATATTAATTAGCTTGATTTAGCCATTAAACAATGTGTGTGTGTATATATATATATATATATATATATCAAAACATCATATTGTATACCATAAATAGATTCAATTTTTGTCAATTAAACAAAGAATTAAATGAATACATATATTTTTGTTGTACAGATGTATGAGGGATTGATCAATAAAGATTCTAAAATATTTGTTAAAAGTTACAAACTGAGGGAAAGCCTTCGACATCGTATTTGCAAGAAAGAAAGTGTACATAGTTAGACAGTCCTAGTATCTGTAAAGTGGGTGTGATCATCGGAGAGCAATCCCTTGAGCAGTGCTGTCCTATACAATGTTCTGCTGTTAGGGAGATGTTCTATATCTATCCAACCGAGCCGCCACTAGCCACAGGTGGCTCTTGAGCACTTAAAATGCTAGCAGCTGGTGAGACGAAGGGGCTGAAGTTTTCATTTAATTTCAAATTAAGGCAGAACCACCTATAAGAGAAAGTGCTAAAGAATTGGAAAAATGAAAAAGAATTTGAGAACCCAGTGGGAATGGAGCTAAAGTGTATGGTCATGGCTCATTAGATTTGGGGATATCGGAATCCCAACAGCACAATGGGCTCATTAGAAAATTAACAAGGTTACAAAACAGGTTAAAGGAAGTATCAAAAATAGTCCAATTTTAGCAGATACAGAAGCTGCAAATTTAGCAGTAGTTTTGGCAAATCCTCAATTCATGTAATTTAACAGTGCTAGGGACCAAACCGAAGGGGAATGCCAAGACAAAAAGCTTATAAACGTTAAGAGCTCATTTCTCTTAGAACATACAGAAACAGGGCACTTCCACACCTTCGATTCATTCTCCAAGCTTAAAGAGCTTTGCCCTAAAACCAGATCCTCTCATACGATGGGACAAACAGCCCCAATGTTCTTCCCTCCAGATCTGTTCCAACCTGTGTCTGGAGACACTCTGCACTCACGTTAAAACAGTTTAGACAAAGGACAATGTTTAGGAATTCCAGAAACTTTGGGATATAACATCAATGGCAACTTTTAATTAGGAAAACCCAATCTAATAAGAAGGGCTATTTTGAATACCAGGGTATGTGGAGGGGAAAGTATGAAGGTGGAAGGTTATGAAACATTAATGGGAGATACAGAGAACCAAGAAAGCTTCTATGGTGATTTCTCCTGCCCCTGGGCATGTTATCTGAACTTACGATTGCAACTGTGGGAGCTGGAAAAGCTCTTAAGAACCTCTAGAATTCCACTTCCCCACAAAACAACGTAATATGAAATAGTGACAAATCCCTAGGAGAATATGTAAAATAACAATTATGATAACATTGTTGGAGAAATCTGAGATAAAGAGTAGGACTCTTTAACAACTCATTTTGGCCAGTCAAAAGGTAGGTGGAGCTTGGAAGTGAATTGTGAATTACACCGATATTAAGAAAAGCAGCTAATTCTGAAGTAGTATTAAGTGGCAGTGACTATTCTAATCACTTTAAATATTTAACTCAATTATGAAAAAAATGTGATTAGCACTGTACATGATATTATTTCCTTAGTAGAAGATCTTGCTAAATCAACCCTTGATTAGCATTCATGCATCAATCTGGCTGATGTATCCTTTTCAATCCCAATAAATTATATTCACCAACAGTCTGCCTTCACTTGGCAGCCCCAACCTTTACTAAGTTGCCAGAGTAAATTCTCCCACCTCCGAGGTACAATCCATTGAGCAAAATTTAAACAGCCTAAATCCAATTCAAGAATTAACATTGTTTTATTATCCTAATGACACATTAACCAGGAGTGACTTGAAAAAAGCTGTGTCCATGAGGAAACTTTTTGGGGTAATAGAAATATTATCTTCATTGTAGTAGTAGTTACACAATGAATATGTTTGTCAAACTCATAAACAACTGTACAGCTATGGTTTCACTGTATTTAAATTATATCTCAGTAAACCTGATTTTATTTATTTATTTATTTATTTATTTATTTATTTATTTATTTATTTTTGAGATGGAGTCTCACTCTGTTACCCAGGCTGGAGTGCAGTGGCGCAATCTTAGCTCACTGCAACCTCCCCCTCCCAGGTTCAAGCAATTCTCCTGCCTTAGCCCCAAGTAGCTGGGATTATAGATGCGCACCACCATATCCAGCTAATTTTTGTATTTTTAGTAGAGACGGGGTTTCACCATGCTGGCCAGGCTGGTCTCAAACTCCTGACCTCAGAAGATCCGCCCACCTCAGCCTCCCAAAGTGCTGGGATTACAAGTGTGAGCCACTGTGCCTGGCCTGAACCTGGTTTTTTTTAAAGCAACTGCATCAAAAACCTCTGTCTTCCATTATTAATTTTATGAGTTAAAAGGAACAGACTATAAAAGAGCACAAATTTTGGTAAAATTTTGGGGAGAAAAATTCTGCCCAAGACCAGGTAAAAGCCTTTGTGCTTGAAAGCCCCCAACTTGAAAAAGAGGAACAGAAATTAATTGGCGTGTTTGAATTATGAAGACTGCATATCCCACATCTGTATTAAACTTGGGTCTCTTCATTGAATTATGTGGGTCCTTAAAAGAGCCTCAGAGCTGTGCTGTCTAATATGGTAGCACTAGCTAGCTACCTGTGGCCATTTAAATTAAATAAAATTAAAATTGAATTTCAAATTGAGTTTCTTAGTGCACTAGCCATGTTTCAAGTGCTCAATAGCCACATGTGAATAGTGGCCACCACATTAAATTGCATAAATGTAGAACATTTCCATCATCACAGAAAGTGCTCACAGACTTAGAGGCCAAACTGTCTTAGAGGCCAAACAGGTATATAGACCACTGGAGTTTAATGACTTAAGTATTGAATACAAAATTAGGTGGCATATGTCTCTGAAAATTCAATTGGCTGATATTTCTAACCATTAAAACCATCTTGAGATGGCCAGGTGCAGTGGCTAATGCCTGTAATCCCAGCATTTTGGGATGCTGAGGCGGGTGGATCACCTGAGGTCAGGAATTCGAGACCAGCCTGGCCAACGTGGCAAAACCCTGTCTCTACTAAAAACACAAAAAAATTAGCTGGGCATGTATCTGGGGAACCCACCCCCAATATTTCAATGCAGGTTCTTTCTATTTTCCCTAAGTGTCGGCCAGTCTGAGAAATAAAGAGAAAGAGTACAAAGAGAGGAATTTTACAGCTGGGCCGCCAGGAGTGACATCACATATCAGTAGGTCCATGATGTCCACCTGAGCCACAAAACCAGCAGCTTTTTATTAAGGACTTCAAAAGGGGAGGGGGTGTACAAACAGGGAGTAGGTCACAAAGATCACATGCTTCAAAGGGCAATAAAGATCACAAGGCAAAAGGCAAAGCAAAGATCACAAGGCAAAGGGCAAAATTAGAATTACTGATGAGGGTCTATGTTCAGCTGTGCACATATTGTCTTGATAAACATCTTAAACAATAGAAAACAGGGTTCGAGAGCAGAGAACCGGTCTGACCTCAAATTCACCAGGGTGGGGTTTTTCCCCACCCTAGTGAGCCTGAGGGTACTGCAGGAGACCAGGGCATATTTCAGTCCTTATCTCAACCGCATAAGACAGACACTCCCAGAGCGGCTGTTTATAGACCTCCCCCCCAGGAATGCAATTATTCTCCCAGAGTATTAATTATCAATATTCCTTGCTAGGAAAAGAATTTAGCGATATCTCTCCTACTTGCACGTCTGTTTATAGGCTCTCTGCAAGAAGAAAAATATGGCTCTTTTAGCCCAACCCCACAGGCAGTCAGACCTTATGGTTGTCTTTCCTTGTTCCCTAAAATCGCTGTTATTCTGTTCATTTTCAAGGTGCACTGATTTCATATTGTTCAAACACACATGTTTTACAGTCAATTTGTACAATAGTGGCCCTGAGGTGACGTACATCCTCAGCTTGTGAAGATAACAGGATTAAGAGATTAAAGTAAGACAGGCATAAGAAATTATAAGAGTATTACTTGGGAACTGATAAATGTCCATGAAATCTTCACAATTTATGTTCAGAGATTGAAGTAAAGACAGGTGTAAGAAATTATAAGAGCATTATTAGGGAAGTGATAAATGTCCATATTAAATGAAATCTTCATAATTTATGTTCCTCTGTCTCGGCTCCAGCTGGTCCCTCCATTTGGGGTCCCTGACTTCCTGCAACAGGCATGGTGGCAGGCACCTGTAATCCTAGCTACTTGGGAGGCTGAGGCAGAAGAATGGCTTGAACCTGGGAGGCAGAGGTTGCAGTGAGCTGAGATTGTGCCACTGCACTCCAACCTGGGTGACAGAGAAAGACTCCATCTCAAAAAAATTAAATTAAATTAAATTAAATTAAAAAGTCTTGATCCACGTTGCAAATATCCTAGTGGTGTACTAACAAAGCCAGAGGCCTCCTCAGACAGCCAGACACCTCAGAGGCAGACATATATGCAGAGGTAACTAATGGTGGCCTCACGAGGAAAGGGGGCAGCTACTCCATGAGCACAAGCTCTAGATACTTAGCCTTCAAATACTTCAAAAAACAAAACAATCCCTCGGGGAGAGATTTCCGAGCAAAACAAAACAGCCCATTTGTTTTTAGACTCCTGCTATAATGCTTTGCCTAAAGGTATTGGCCAAGGCAGGTGGATCACTTGAGGTCAGGAGTTTGAGACCAGCCTGACCAACGTGGTGAAACTCCATCTCTACTAAAAATACAAAAATTAGCCAGGCATGGTGGCACATGCCTGTAATCCCAGCTACTCAGGAGGCTGAGGCAGGAGAATCGCTAGAACCTGGGGAGCGGAGGTTGCAGTGAGCTGAGATCCACTACTGCACTCCAGCCTGGGTGACAGAGCAAGACTCCCTCTCAAAAAAAAAAAAAAGAAAAAACGAAAAAAAAGAGGGGTTGTCCTTATTTCCCCTTTCTCCTTCAGCTGACTGGAACACAAACATGAAAGCTGGAATTCAAGCAGTCATATTGGACCTGAGAGAGAAGAGCTATGTTGAGGCTGGTGGAAGAAAAAGATAGATAGAAGGAACCTGAGTCTCTGACACTTAAACACTACACCAGCCCTAGGGTTGCATGTGAGAGAGAAATGAACTTCTATCTTGGTGGAGACACTGTTGTTTTCAGGGTTTTCTGTTTCTCACAGCTGAAGCTAATCCTAACCAAGCAGAACAAGCACAAAGTCATCAAAACATAAACTGGAGTTTGCAAAGCACATGTCACTTCCAAGCATCAGATACAGTAAAATGATGAGATGTTTTTCCCAAGCCCTGGCTCAGGACCCTCCCTAACAGCTCCCCGACAAGCCCTTTGTCTTCTTAGTAATCATGCCTTGCATGGTGCCTTTTCCAACATCATGCCCCTCCGTGGAGCTCATTAGTAAGGAGCAAGTGAGATTCTTTTTATTTATCTAATCAGTGAATTCCAAAAACTGACAAACAGGATAAAGAAGGAATACCAGCCACTGTTATGAATGTCAATAAGACATTTGTTCAGTTCAGGACCATCTCAATTTCAGAAGGGACCTGCATAGATTTATTTGCAGTAATAAATCAATAACACAATTCAGTGGCAATTATACTTCCCAGTTTCCCACACTGCATCTATAGCTTCCAGGTGCAAGTCTTAGTATCTTCAAAGCATTTGCAATAGCCATAAAATGGCTCTTTCATGACAGCAAAGTGGTGGCAGGCATTTCTACAGCTAAGGGGTGCCGAACACGTCTCATGCGTCTTTTCTTTATTGGTGAATGTCATGTTTGACAGTGATGTAAATGGAGCAGCTATTATGAAAAACGTGCTTATAGTTTAGCCAAAGAAAATATGTAAGGGTAACATTGTAGGAGGGTGGAGTGTAAACATATGAAGAGTCTGGAACCCTGATGGCATCATTAAATGCTCAAACCAATGCTGGAAGCTGTCATCCTCAGATTTCTTATGAGAAAAATGAATTCCTGTTTATTTTAGCCCCTGTTTTTTGGGTTGTCTGGGCCTGCACTTGCAAGCATTTCTGCTGGATGCAGCAGGTCCCAGGAGGCCCTTTCAGACCTAGGGCATTTGGTTGCCTTTCCCACTCTGTGCCTTTGCTTATTTCTTTTTTTTTTTTTTTTTTTTTTGTGACAGAGTTTCACTCTTGTTGCCCAGGCTGGAGTGCAATGCCGTGATCTTGGCTCACCGCAACCTCTGCCTCCCAAGTTCAAGCGATTCTCCTGCCTCAGCCTCCTAAGTAGCTGGGATTACAGGCATGTGCCACCATGCCCGACTAATTTTGTATTTTTAGTAGAGATGGGGCTTCTCCATGTTGGTCAGGCTGGTCTCAAACTCCTAACCTCAGGTGATCCGCCCGCCTCAGCCTCTCAAAGTGCTGGTATTACAGGTGTGAGGCACCACACCCGGCCATCTTTTCTTATTTCCTTTTTTTTCTTTTCTTTTTTTTTTTTTTTTTGAGACAGGGTCTCATTCTGTCTACCAGACTGGAGTGCAGTGGCATGATCTCGGTTCACTGCAACCTCTGCTTCCCTGGTTCAAGTGATTCTCCTGCCTCAGCCTCCCCAGTAGCTGGGATTACAGACACGTGCCACCACACCTGGCGAATTTTTTGTATTTTTAGTAGAGACAAGGTTACACCATGTTGAACAGGCTGATCTCGAACTCCTGACCTCAAGTGATCCACCTGCCTTGGTCCCCCAAAGTGCTGGGATTACAGGCATGAGCCACTGCACCTGGCTGCTTATTTCTTACGGGATCTCTCCAGTTTAGAGCAGAGGTTCTCAACACAGCCTGCACTTTGGAATTGCCTGGGGAAATTTTACACAAGTCCCTTTGCTCACGCCCCAAATGGGTTGAATCCAGATCTCTAAGGGTGAGCACAGGTGGGCATGACTATTTTTAACAGTTCTTCTAGATTAGTGATTCCCAATTTTTTTAAATCTCAATTTGAAAAAAATCTCTCAATGTTTTAAGAGTATAAACCCCTTAAATTACTGAAAACACTGAAAAGCTTTACTTACAATATTGTTATTGATATTTACTGTATTCAAAATTAGAACTGAAAAAGATTTTTAACATGTATTAATTCTTTTTAAGATAGCAATAACAGGCAAGGCTCAGTGGGTCACGCCTGTAATTCCAACACTTTGGGAGGCCAAGATGAGCAGATTGCTTGAGCTCAGGAGTTGGAGACCAGCCTGGACAAGATGGCAAAACCCTGTCTCTACAAAAAATACAAAAATTAGCCGGGCATGGTGGCTGGCGCCTGTAGTCCCAGCTACTTGGGAGGCTGAGGCTGGAGCATCGCTTGAGCCTGGGAAGCGGATGTTGCTGCAGTGAGTTGAGATCGTGCCACTGTGCTCCAGCCTGGGCGACAGAGCAAGACCATCTCAAAAAAAAAAAAGCAATAATAAACCACTTTTGTATATGCTTAAATTTGTCCATAATAAAAGTAAACAAAAAGGACTTTAAATAAATTATGGAAAATGTAGATCTTTAAAGAATTAGAAGACCATCAACTTTATTTGGATCATGAGTCAAACACACACACACACACACACACACACACACACACACACAAAACCTACAAAACAATCTTGGAAATCTGAACACTGACTGGATATTTGATGACAATAGGAATGATTATTAAAATTGTGGTAACAGAATTGTGATTACATTTTAAGAGTAAACCAGTAAAATCTTTAACAAAGACACAAGGAGGGCCCATGGATCCATTATGTACAGTAGCCACAGTGCCTAGGGCCCACAATACTCCCATGGCAATGTTTACATTTCTTTTAAAATAGAAAAAAAATTAAGGTTGAAGAAAATATTTTAATATATAATATTAATATAGTTGCCTGTGTATCAACACAATCATAAGTATGATTTCAAATTTATTGTTTAGAAAAGTGCATAGGGCCCGCAGAAGTCACAATGCAGCCCTGGATATAATGGCCATGAAAGTTTATGTGCTGAATCACAAAGTGGCAAAATATGAACTGGCAGAGATGTCGGCCTCTGAGGTTAGAGAGGTCATGGCCACAGCTGCTGAATGTGACTTTGGGTTGCCCATCCAGGAGATTGGGTGGCAGGGAGAGCAAATGTGATCATGAAGGGGCTGGTTGTATCACGCTGGTCAAATGCATACAAACGAGTCTGTTTAGACAGAAGCGAAGAAGGGAAAGCAAGCGGACACCTCCTGGGGGCCTCAGGATCCCACATTATCTGGAAACAGTGCCCCCAACACCCCTCCACCTCCACCAAAAGGCATCCTACATACCTCTTGGTTGGTACACTGGGCCCTCAGCCACAGAAAATTGGTTCTCAGGGACAGAGATAACCCAAGCTAAGCCAATCAGATTGTCTCTCCATGACTTTGAACCATGGGGCCCAGAGACACAGAGGTCAAGAGCAGCTCTGCTGAGCGGTGGGTATCCACACTCCAGGGACAAAGTCCATGAGCCCCTGAGGTTCCCAGAACTGCTCTCAGTCTTCCCTATTGAGTCAACTCTGTCTTCAAATCCTGAGAAACCCAATATTTTTACAATCAATTCCTTTTGGAGCTTAAGCTATTCTGAATCAGATTTTGCGATTTGTAACAAGAAAATAATAATAGTAAGTATAGAGTTTTAACAGCACTAAAATCAAAAGTGGAAAAGGGACAGCAGCATGCCCCAGACACCCGCGTGTCAGCAATAACCAAGACATGGAGATGGAACCAAGACAGCTTGTCAGGTCCCTCCCCTCACTTTCCATTGCAAAGGCTGTCACTAAAGGGGGAATTATTCCTTTACAGAGCAAGTATTATCCCACTTTGCAGGTGAAGAAACTGATGCTGAGGTTAAGTGTGCAACTCAGAAGCAAAGCATCCCTGACAAGCTAAGGGAAGGAGAACTCTCAGTTGGAAATACAGAGAGGCCTGCTGCCAGCTAGAATCAGTGCCACCTTTGGCCCTAAGTCTGCTCAACCCACCCAAAACTAGACCACCTGCCACTCAAACTCTTTTGTCTGAGTCCCTCTCTCCCCAGGGCCCCAATCAAACAGGGTGCTATTTCTCATCTTCTCCCTAACCCTAATGTCTCTGAAACATGTTTGTTGGGTTTGGGGTTTGTTTGTTTCTATAGATTTGCAGTTCTAAAAGTAAGGAAAACCTGCAGGTATTAATACAAATAACCACAACTGGGAAGGGATGGAATTATAAGAAATCTCTCCCAGCATTAGTAATACCAGTATGCCTTATTTCATGAGGAGAGCAGGCCGATTACCTGACCCAACAATATAGCCCAGGCCCGGGGGAGATGTGAACACAATGAGGACTATATCTCTATGACCCACATTCTTTGGCCTGAGGCTCTGCCGGAGTCCAAGCCTGTTATAGGTGAAGTGGCCAAGACCTGGAACATGACCTTTACATGAGCTGCTGTACAGCCAATGTGGCTTTTATCTGTTGTACTTTGGGAAATCATCCATGCCTCAGGAACCAAAAGTCCTTCAACCTAGAGTAAGGCGTTTTTAATAGAAACAGAGGCCAGATAGGCCAGGCGCGGTGGCTTACGCCTGTAATCCCAGCACTTTGGGAGGCCGAGGCGGGTGGATCACGAGGTCAGGAGATCGAAACCATCCTGGCTAACACGGTGAAACCCCGTCTCTACTAAAAATAAAAAAAAATAGCCGGGCGTGGTGGCGGGCACCTGTAGTCCCAGCTTCTCAGGAATCTGAGGCAGGAGAATCGCTTGAACCCGGGAGGCGGAGGTTGCAGTGAGCCGAGATTGTGCCACTGCACTCCAGCCTGGGCGACACAGCGAGACTCCATCTCAAAAAAAAAAAAGAGAGGCCAGATAATCCCAGCACTTTAGGAGGCTGAGGCAGGGGGATCTCTTGAGCCCAGGAGTTTGAGACCAGCCTCGGCAACATGGAGAAACCACGTCTCTACTAAAAATACAAAAAATTAGCTGGGCATGGTGGCACTCGCCTGTAGTCCCAGCTACTCAGGAGGCTGAGGGGGAAGAATCACCTGAGCATAAGAAGTCAAGCCTATAGTGAGCCATGATTGCACCACTGCATGCTAGCCTAGGCAAGGGGAGTGAGACCCTATCTCAAAAACAAAAAACAAACAAAAAAAGAGAGGCCAGAGCGAAGTACACAAACTGGATTGACCTGCTCCTGCCAACTGAGGGAAAGCCAGACAGGGTGATATGCTGGCTCTCGCTGAAGCTGAGAGCTGTGTTCATTCTACCATCCTGGCCGTGTGGGGAGAGCCCTAAAGGAGAAGCCCATGTAGATATCCTTGGTCTTTATTCAAGGACTAGCAGGACAGGTCTTCCCTACTGAGATGGCAGTCTGCTGTCAGTGCCAGTTCCCATGAAACTACTCTGAAGATGAAAGAAAAGATAACAGAAGGCCAGTTATAAGCACTTAAGGTGACTTCTGCTTACTCTAGGTTTGAGTTGAGAAACATAGCTATGGCCTACACATGTACAGTCTGTGAACTGCACAGCTCGACAGAAAGAAGCTCCAGTGTGGCCCTGATGCTCCCTGCTGACCACACCACACTTGCAGGAAAATGGGCTAAACAACCACAAAACAAGGTGGCCACCAGCTACTACACAGAAACTTATTTCTGAGGCAGCTGGAGCCCTTTGTTTGTTTGTTTGTCTGTTTGTGATGGGGTATCTCTCTGTCACCCAGGCTGGAGTGCAGTGGCAAGAGCATAGCTCACTGCAACCTCAAACTCCTGGGCTCAAGTGATCCTCCTGCCTGAGTCTCCTGAGTAGCTGCAACTACAGGCACATGCCACCATGCCCAGCTAATTTTTAAATTATTTTTTTGTAGAGAAAAAGGGCCGTGCGTGATGGCTCATACCTGTAATCTCAGCACTTTGGGAGGCCGAGATGGGCAGATCTCTTGAGCCCAGGAGTTCTAGACCAGCCTGGGAAACAGGGCAAAATCCCATCTCTACAAAAAATACAAAAACTAGTGGTACATGCCTGGAGACCCAGCTACTCGGGAGGCTGAGGTGGGAGGATGGCTGGAACCCACGGAGGTCGAGGCTGCAGTGAACCATGATCTTGCCACTCCACTCCAGCCTGAGTGACAGAGACCCTGTCTCAAAGAAAGAGAGAAAGAGAGAGAGAGAAGGAGTTTTGCTTTGTTGCCCAGGCTGAGAGCCTTGTTTTGACTCACTCCCTCCTCTGTCTCATCTCCACCCCCACCTGTCCTGGTCCATTCAAAACTACAAACCTCAGCATGCAAGACAGCCAAGGGAGGGCAAGAACAGCTCTGTGTAGCCCATGGCCTTCTAGGATATGTGGTGCTCCCAGGTACAGTGATATAAGTGGTCTGTAAGTTATTTTTATTTTATTTCACAAGTTATTTTTTAACCATAAGTTACAGATGCTAAAAATATAAGCCCAAAGCTGAAAAGCAGCTCCAAGGGTGTGACAGGCCAGAGGACCCACCCCACAGCCCTCCCTCTATACATGATCTCCCACGCGGTGGCTCACGCCTGTAACCCCAGCAGTTGGGAGACCGAGGCGGGAGGATCATGAGGTCAAGAGATCAAGACCATACTGGCCAACGTGAGGAAACCCCGTCTCTATTAAAAATACAAAAATTAGCCAGGCGTGGCAGTGCACACCTGTAGTCCCAGCTATCCGGGAGGCTGAGGCAGGAGAATTGCTTGAACCTGGGAGGCAGGGGCTGCAGTGAGCCGAGATGGCGCCACTGTACTCCAGCCTGGGCGACAGAGCGAGACTCTGTCTCAAAAAACAAAAAAAAACATGATCTCCCTGTGCGCCCCATCCCAAACCCTCCTCTCCTTCGCCACCATGCCAGCGCACAATTCCATCATATCACTTGCCTTTTCAAACACCATCTATGACTCTTAGTTTTTGGGTTCAAGTTCAACTCCTTCCATAAGCAGTCAATACTTTTCAGAATTTGGCCCCTCCAACAAGAGTTTATGTTCTGCCCCAATCAAACCCAAAGTAGTTCCCTAAAGCCTCTGCCTTTCTCTTCCCTATCTCCTCCCACCCCACCCAGAAGCCTCCATTGCCCACCAGCCAATGGAGACACTGCCACTACCCACAGGCCCAGAGGCCTGGGCACTTGCCCTGTTCACACCCAGCCCCACCCCAAAACCCCGCCTCTACAGCCCTGCCCTTAAACCCCTCCCACCCTTCCTTAGAGCCTGGCTCTAGCTTTCTGGAGGGGAGGAAGAAGTTAGCTGCCAAGAGAAGGCTGTGGGCCTGGCCTCCTCAACAGCAACTTGGCACAGACTCCCTCGTGAAACTGTTAGATGGGGTTGGTTGGCAGCACTGTGTAATTAAATAGGCTTTTGTGGATTGGCCTGGGGACTTAGCCGCCGTATATAAATGTTATTCGAGTGACTGTACAGCATTGTTTCCATGCAGAAAAGCCCTCGGAACTCAGAGCATCTGACCAAACGTGACCTTTGGGAAAGTCCTCTTGCTGTTCGGGGGGCGACCTCTGCGGGTTTGGCTCCAGCTGCAGAAAGAGCGCCAAAGAAACCTCAACTCCAGCCCGGCTAGGCTGGGAGTGGGTGCGGGAGAAACAGATGGGGGGCACCTATTTAGATCTGATCTTCTCTTAATGTGACCCTGAGAGGGAGGGAAGGGGGTGTCTGAAGCCCCTGGGCCTTGGATATTGAGATGGAGAGCATGGGTGATCCCAGAAAACCTATCCACCACCGGACCCCTGACAGATGAGATCAGGGGCTTCTTCCTCCATTCGGCCTTCGGGGTCAGGGGGTTCAGCGGGTGACAAGGGAGAGGCGTCTGAGGGACCGGGATTATTCAGCTGACCCGGTGCGGGGCCGCGTTCTCAGCGCGGGCACTAGGGGGCGGCAGAGGCGGAGGCGCCAGCGCCGAGGAGAGGCTTCCACCCTCGAGAAGTTTTTCCGCGCACCCGCCCGGGCCAGAGTGGCCGTCTAGACGCCCACGTGGGGCTTCCTGCGATCGAGAATGGGTTGGGACCGGGACGGCCAAGCCGATGCTGTCGGGGACACGCTGGGAGGAAGAAGTACGGGGAGGAGGGGCGGGGGCGCAGCCTACCCGGGCTCGGGCTCGGGGTGAAGGGCAGCCCTGCCAGGCCCGCCCCGAGGCCGCGGATGCGAAACCGGGACACAAAGGCACGCACTCTTGATTCTGGCGCCCGCGAGGAAGAGGGTTGAGGAAGAGGAAATTGGGATGAGGCCCTGGAACACGTTTTAATGCAGCGCCCTGACAGGCAGGAGCCAGGCAATACTGCTTGGGAATGTGAAGCCCCATGGGCACCAGCTAGGGGGTCCCGGCTGCGCGGCCAGCCTTGGAAGAGAGGACTTCTTGGACACCTAACCCGGAGGGAGCAGAGCTTCTGAGTGCCCAGGAGAGGGAGGCTAGGGAAGTGGGGGACAGTCAAGAGTGGGGGGACACAGGCAGGGACTGTGCGACTCCACCCAACACAAAGACTCAACGAGTATGCACGTGACTACACGTGAGTGTGGAGGGCTTGGCCACAGCCCTGTCTTCATGACAGCACAGCACAAGGCTGATGGGGAGGGATAAGGTGACCAGAGGTACAGATGCAGTAAATGTCTTGGAAGTGGGCCTCAGCCTCCCCATTTACAGAGATTAGACTGGGCTATGTAGCACCGTCCCACCCACACCCAGAAGCAATCGCACACCGGTGTCAGAAACTGGAGCCATAGGGACCCCAAACCCCTACCTGGTGTCCCTGGGGCATTGTTTGTAATTTTATGCTAGTCACCCAGGCTTTGTAAACTCTGGGCCCTGACACCCCAGCTGGACAGGGCTTGCAGGGTATCTGGATTAAGCCATACAATTCTGGTAACCACTTAGCTGGGAAGAGGAAGCATCAGATGGGTGTCGGGGGAGACTGAAATAACAACACAAGCAGTGACACAGACACCTGGGAGGAGACAATCACATTATTTAACCATCAGTCAGCATGGAAGCTGGGCACAGGGTCCTGGGAGTCCCTTCCATATGCCACACATTAACCCTTTAATTGCAGGATCAGGGAAAGTGAGGGGTGCCCAGGGGAGGGACAGGGGTGGCAATGAACATACTCAGTGGCTCAGGGCCATGGCAATTTACCAGCCAATATAGAAGAATTTTAATATTCCAGCCATCTGCGGGATGCAGCCCTGCACACACCCCACACTATTCCGTTTCTTCCCTGGGGGAGCATCCTGGCCCTCAAGTAGCAGGCAGTGCCTGCCAAACCCAGACCAAGTGGAAGAGACAGTGGGCACATGGGCCAGGCAGCCAACACCTGTGGGTTAGAGAGCCCCACCCTGGCAGAGTCAGAGCCCTGAGGCCAGGGAGACCACATATTCCAACTTTCACAGTGGGTGCGACAGGTGAGGTGGGAGGAAGGTGGGAGGGAGGTGGGGTTCAGCCCTGAAACCCCCCTACACACAGTCACTGAGGAAAGTCCTGACTCCAGGATGTGGGTGCCGGAGCCCACCCCCGAGACCCCTGTCTTCAACATCTGCTGATTTTTGTTGGCGTTTCTCTTTTTTGTTATTTTGCTTTCCACACTTTAAATAATTAATACAATTACTTTTAAATACAAAATACGCCATGTCCTTTCTCTTCTCTTCCATTTGTTTGGGGTGATTGGGAGGTGAGTTTTAAATAAGGGTCTCAGCTCTCTAACGGGTAACAGGCTCCAGGTGGGAGGGCCAAGAGCCCCAGATGCCACTCCTCCCGTGGGGTGTCCAGGCAACCACTTCACCCCTCCCCTGGCCTGCCCCGACTGAGGGCTCTCCACGCCCTGGCCCAGGGCTCCCTAGATAGTGAGGAGCCCTCTTGGGAGGTGGCACAGAGCTGATGTTGTGGGATTCCAGGTGGGCCTGGTTCCGAATGGACAGGATCAGACAGAGACGGTCCTATCCCATGAAGCAGACAGGCCCCAGCAGCACCCCTCCCCGCCTCGGTGGGGCTCCCAGGTCTGAGAAGGAGGCATCCAGCACTGGCAGCTGCTCCAGCACAGGCGTTCGCACCTCCAGCACCGTCCGGCCTTGCTGTGTCTTCAGGGGGAGACAAGGAAGAAAGTGTGAGCAGGATGGAGGCACCCCCCACCCTCTAACCTCAGGCCCAGGCTCACCTCTCCTCTGAGCACCTTGGCCCCATCAGGGTGACTCAGGATGTACAGACTGGCAGTGTCTGTGTGCCCATGCGTGTGTGTTTGCTTCTCCCCCACCGTGTGCCTCTGCTGGGCAGCCATGTGCCAGTCTGTGTACACGTCTGCATTAACCTGTGTGACGCTGGTGTTTGTACCCAAGTGAACCTCACCCGATGGCTTCCATCCTTTCCACCTTCCTCACCGGCTTTTGAGCTCCCTCAGGCATCCCTGACAATCCAGCAGGACGGACTCCTCCCTGCTCCCCCTGGGTGCCCTGCCCAAGGGGTCTTCCCACCTCCTTCCTCCAGCCTGAGTCTGAGATCAGCCCCCAACCCAGCTCTTCCTGTTCCCACCTGGCAGCCATCTCTGAATTCTTTGACATAGGGGCTAGTCTCCGGGCTCAGCTCATCCTCATTGGCCCCACGGAGTCTCAGGGGACCGTCACGGGCTGCTCCAGAGCAGGGGTAGGAGACGTCCTGGTGGGCTGAGACGCTGAGCAGCCGCAGGAAGGTGAGCTGGACCACACCCACTGGGGAGCCCTCTGAGTCCACGTAAGAGAACTGGAAGGAGAGAGAGGGCTGGCCTCAGAGGGGGAGAGAGAGGGCTGGCCTCAGAGGGAGACAGAGACGGGCCTCAGGAGCATCTACAGCACCAGGACAGCTGAGCCAGAGTCATGAGCAGGGAATGGCTGGAAGGCAAGGGCTGGGAAAGAAGTGAGGGGCTGAGTGGGAGCCAGGAGACTGGGGGTACACGAAAGGCAAAGTGAGCATCAGAGGACCGGTGAAAAGGAAAAGAAGAAAGAGCTAAGAAGTGGAGAAGGGGTGGCAGGCTCCGGGGGGGGCAACAGCCAGGGGACTGTCACCAAAACCCAGAAACCACTAAGCCCTGAGGGGGTGCACTATGGGGCAGGGGAGGGGCAGCGAGGGGCCAGCTCTCACCTGCGTGACGTCATCCCTAGGCGTCACACAGGTCTCACCCCCTGCTGTGAAGTTGCAGAAAACTCGGAAGGCATCCCGAGCACAGCCCTGGTTGGGGTCGACCCAGTACTCTCCTGTTGGGTGAGGGAGAGGGGAGGTCAGGGCCACCTAGGTCCAGGCTCCAAGATGCTCTTTGCCCCCACATTCCCTCTTCCCTCCCAGCCCTCCCCATCATGCTCTTAGTCTCCTGGTCCTCCTCCCTCCCAGAGCCCTAGAATCTAGCCCTACTGCTGGATTCTACTGCAGCATCCTACTGCTGCAGCTCACTTTCATCACGTGACACCTCTGCCCCCAACAGTAACCCCAGGCCCTCTGACTGGAGGAGGTCCGAGTATGGACAGCCTCATACTGGGACAACATGTGGTTGCAGGCGCTCACACAGATTCATCTGTTCAGGTGCAAACAGGTGTGTGCACGTATGTATGTTTATCTGCTCCTGCAGACACTGGGCTGATAACCAACTGGTACACACTGACCCAGATCAGTTGCTAAAGTATTGGGATACTTCTGACCTGGTTAGTAAATAGCTGCAGTTCCCAGCCCCTCAGCCCTCACCCTTAACCCAACACCTTCACCAAGACTCCCCCAGCATCCATTCTGCTTGTTCAGTACCCATGCTGTTGGGGAGATGTTTGTGCACCCTGAGGCTAGCACTGACCATCGGGAAGCTCTGGGTGGCACAGCTTCAGGTCCTGGCAGGTGCGAGCAGGGCTGTCCTGGGTCCCTGTTGGCCGCCTCATCTGCTCGATCTCCTCCCGCAGGGAGTCGAGTGAGCCAAAGATCTCCTCCAGCCCCCCAGGACTGCCGGGGGCTCCCCCGGTCGGTATGGCCTCATCTTCCTGCATCAGACGGCTTCCATCCACCGAGCGCCGAGTCTTCTTGGGCATCTGAATGGGCAGTGGCTGGATCACCTCGCCTGGGGGACCCTGGGTGCAGGGACAGATGGAGAGGGCAAGAGACAAGGTTGGTGTGAGGGTGAAGTGTGGCAGCAGTGGAGCAGAGGGGTACGGCCCTGGGAGCAGCCCTGACTCCTCACTCACCGGGTGTCCTGGAGGGCCCTGCACACCCTTCTCTCCCTTGGGTCCGCCTGGGCCCTGACAAGGAATAAATCAGGTCATGGAGGGGTCAAGAGGTCAAGCATGGATCAAGGTCACAGAAAGATCAAATCAGCCTCCTGGCTGGAATAAGGGGCTCCTTGGGGGGAGTCTATTTGTCCTGGAGAGACATCATCAAGTCCAGAGGGGGTGGAGCAAAGGTCAGAGCTGAAGGGGGTCACTCACTGTGGCTCCTTTGGCTCCTTTGGGGCCAGCAGGTCCCTGTGAAATGAGGAACAAGAAAGAGACGGTCACTGCAGGGGAAGGACAGGACTCAGAGGAGCGGGGAGGCAAGGTCCCAAGTCCACAGGAGCCTCGGGTTACTACAGGAGGGGCAGTCCTGTGGGAATACTAGGACATTCAGAGCCCTGGAAGTATGGGGAGGAGGTACTGGTGGTGACAGGACAAATGGGGGACCCTGAGGACTATGCTTGTTAGGCTGGTAGTTCCATGGAAGTCGTTGGGAGGCTGTGGGTGGGCAGCAGAGGGGTTTAGGGGATTTTGTGGAGGAACAGAGGCAGTACTCACGGGGAGGCCGGGGGGACCTCCAGGACCAATGGGGCCGGATGCTCCTGGGATACCCTAGGAAGGGTAGTGGCTGGTTCAACTGGGTCCTCCTCCCACACCCTCATGAGCACCTGCTCGCTTACCCACAGCTGAGTCCCAACTCCAACTCCACCCCTCTCCACCCCACTCTCAACCCCCACAACTTCCGGGACCATGCCCTCTACTCACCATCTCACCCTTCTGCCCAGGGGAGCCCTGAGGCCCAGGAAGTCCCCGATCTCCCTTCTCTCCCTGCTCACCCGGGGGCCCAATCAGTCCAATGAGACCTGGGTGGCCCTAGAGAAGGGTGCAGGCAGTCAAGAGAATGCAAAGAGGAGTCATGTGGATGGGGGAGAAGGGCCAAGAGGACATGGAGAGGGAGCCGGGCACAGGGTCCGTGAGTGGCCCTCACTGAGCAGGGACTCCCTGGGACTGGCTGCCGGAGGCCTGAAGCAGAGCAGTGGGCACTTGGGTCCCACAGGTTTCAGGGGCGAGGGTGATGGGAGAGACACCTGGCCACGTGTCTGTCTGTCACTCACCTTCTCTCCCTTGGCTCCAGCATCGCCCCGGAGACCAGGCAGCCCTGGGGGTCCCTGTGGAGAGATGGGAAGTCATTCTCTTAAGGGAGAGGTGGGACCAAGTTCTCCCCAACAGCCTCCACTTCCTCCAGGGCTTCAGCTCTGTCCCAGGGCACTGCCCTCACCCCTCACTCAGCCCAATCCCAGTCACTCACCACAGGACCTGGGGGCCCAGCCTGGCCTGTAGCTCCAGGTCGGCCTTGCTGACCCTGAAGATTTGAGGGGGCCACAGGGGTCAGGAGGAGCATCCCCACACTGCACCCCTCCCATGGCCCCTCACTCCCACCCCAGCCCAGCCCTTCCCTGCAGTGACTCACCACTGAGCCTGGGAGCCCCCTCAGACCATCAGGGCCAGGTTTCCCTGCTGGGCCTGCAGGACCCACCGGGCCTGTCTTCCCCGGGGCACCTATAGCGCCAGGATCTCCCTGAAACACACACAAGGAATGTGTCCTGAATGGCAGAGGAGTGGGGTGTGGGCAGGGGGCAGAGGGTCCAAGGTGGGAGGTGGGAGGCAGGGAGGAAGGGCCAAACTCTAGGAGCCCCTAGCGCAGGAACAAGTACAGGGAACGCCTGTCCCCATAAGGGCCCAACATGGGAGAGGTGGAGATGGGGTGGGCATCTGGAGACGGAGGCATCTGAGGGGTGGGAGGCGGAGGGGATGCTCCAGCACTAGGGCAGCCTGTCCCTCACCTTGGCTCCCTTCCCTCCTTGTCGCCCCTCGGAACCAGGCGAGCCAGCAGGACCCTGCAGGTGGAGTGGGAAGGAAGAGCACATGAGGCCGTGGGCAGCCAGGCTCAACTCTTCCCCCTTCCTGTCCTAGACACACACATACACATGCACACACACACGTGCATACACAGGGACACGCGCCGAGGGCCGATTCACAGATGTGCAGAACAGATACAGCTGTGACAGTTGTGAAAATACTGGGTAGTCTGTACATTTGGTGAAGGGCCACTTGCCCACACCCTACCTGGTGGCCCGTCTCCTGCCCCAGAAACTAAAAAGGTTCACCCCTGGCCCACAGAAAAGCTGGCCAGCCCCTCCTCCAGTTTCCATTCTGCTTTGTCAGTAACCACCACTACCCCTGGTGAAAACATACACACCAGAACCCAGGAACAAACATGCCCGAGATACCGCACACCCATCAACCCACCAGCTCCTGCACACACACTCGCCCAGTGCAATGAGATACCGCATACCCTTAAACCCACCAGCTCCTGCACACACACCCTGCCCCGGGCAATGAGATACCACACACCCTTAAACCCACCAGCTCCTGCACACACACACACCCAGGGCAATGCAGACACCAGGCACCTCCCCACCCATCCCACCTGCCATTGCCCAGCCTCCACCCACACAGCCCAGGGACTGCCTCCCAAGGTCTCAGGGGTCCACCTCACTTACTCGCTTTCCAAGTGGCCCTGGGGGTCCATTCTCCCCGGTGGGACCAGGGGATCCCTAGGGAGAGAGGAATTGGGGTGGCTGAGTGTTTATCCTCCAGCCAAGGGACCCCTCAGGAGTGGGGCACAGAAGAGGGGTAAAGAGGATGAGGCTTGGGCTCAGGGGGGTGGTGGGGTCACCAGGCACTCACAGGCTGTCCTGGCTCACCATCCTCGCCTCGGTCACCCTTAGCACCATCCTGGCCCTGCAGAAGTGAAGCAAGGTCAGAGGTGGGCCCCCAACTTGGCTGGCATCACCTCCAAAACTGTCAATACCCCATCCCCTTGCCCACCCTGCCATACCCCCAGCTTCCCAATACCCAAGCCCAGCGGCCACACAGAGGACCCCCCCCATAGAAGCCCCACCCTTTTTGCCCCTTCCCTTCTCTGAGTAAGACTCACCCGAGGGCCACCTTCTCCAGGGGGGCCAGGGTCACCAGGAAAACCAACAGGACCCTGATCCAGATGGAGAATAAGAGTCAGGGTCACAGCTCCCTAAGCCCACCCAGCACAGACGCCCACAGGCACACGCCACTGCCTCTCTAGAGGCAGTGCCCACCAGTACCCCCCAGGAAGAGGTCTCCTGCACCCCTTTCCCTACCACGTGCACTGCGTGTTGTCTAATTCCTCAAGGTATTAACTGCAGGGCATCTCTCACTTTCTCTCCGGATCCTAGACCCCAGGCATCCCTCTGGATGCCCCATTCCCAGAGCATCCCCCAAACTCCCGGGCTCCCCACACTCCAAGATCCTCCCTCACACACACCCATATTCCCAGGTCTGTCATTCACAGGGCCTGAGAGGACTCAGCCCCCACTGCCCCAAACTCACAGGGTTCCCTTTGGGGCCATCATCGCCTGTGGGGCCTTTAGGCCCTGGTGGCCCTGGCTCTCCTGGCTGCCCCGACTCTCCTTTCTCTCCACGTTCCCCGCGTGGACCCTGCAGAACAAGCGGAGGACACAGATGGCCCAGGGAATCTTGAAGATCAGGGATGCAGCCTCTGCTTCCGAGACACCTTCAGCCATCCCCTACTCCCCTCAGTGACAATGGGACATACACAGAAAGTCAAGCCTATAAGGGGAGTTCCCTAGTCCCCTTCCCTTCAAGAAAGGGGAAGAAGGGCTCACTCAGACCAGGGATCAGGCCTCATAGAGGATGGCAGGGAGCAGAGACTCTTGCTGCAGAGGAGTTCCAGCTCAAGGAGGTCACAGGAAAAGTGGAGGCAGGGTTGAGGCGGGTGACGGGGACTGGGGAGTAAGGCCTTGGAGCTGTCACTCACCTTGACACCTGGCTCGCCCTGGATCCCTGGAGATCCTGACTCTCCTGGTTCCCCCTGCAAAGAGATTAGAGTCAAAAACCTCCTCTCCTTCCCCAGCCAAAAAATTCTGATATTCCCCATATCTCATTCTCTTTTGTCTCCCCACCCAAAATTGGCAGAAATCCAACTCCCATCCCCCACTTCCATGACTGGTCCACTCACCCCCTTCCCAGTTACCTTCTCTCCAGGGGGACCCAGGTTCCCAACACCTCCTGGGGGACCTTGTGGGCCCTGGAAGAGGAACAGAAATAGGTGTCATTGCTTAGGATGGAGGTGCCATTTCAGGGGCAAAGTCCCAGATGAGCAGCCCAAGGTTACAGCAGTGAGGCAGTGGAGGCCTCCCGGGAGTAAGGGCTTCTCTTGGCCCCTGAGACGATACTAGAGTTTATGGTCTGGGAAAGGGAGGCAGAAGACCAGACACATTGGTCTCAAGGGACAGGGGCTGAGATGACTCACATCAGCGCCATTGGGTCCAGCTGGACCTCGAGGTCCTGGGGGGCCAGGTGGTCCCTGGGGGAAACAGATACACCACAGATGAGGAAGGGAAGTGAGATGGCTGAGCATGAATGGTGGAGAGAGGAGGAGGAGCAGCCAGGCCAGGGAGTTGGCAGTGGGGTGTGGGGTGGGGGCTGGCCAGGGAGGGGGGTGACTAGTATGGTGGCTAGGGTCAGTAGGGGTCACACTCACCATAGGACCCACATCTCCTGTTTCTCCCTTCTCCCCAGAGGGGCCTGGCAAACCCTGTGCAAGTATACAAAACATGGGCCCAGGTGACGACCCCACCCAAAGCACAGCCCTAGGCAGATAGGCCCCACAGTCCCCTCCCCTCAGACTCCGCAGGCCCTCCAGTCCGCATCGGCAGGCTGCTGGCAGAGTCTGGGGCAAAACATCACCCCATCCTGACCCCACCTCTCAGCCCCTGTCCTATCCCCCAACACACCTGTAGGCCAATGGGTCCTGGGGGCCCATTGAATCCTCTTGTTCCTTCATCACCTTTGGCTCCAAAGTGTCCCTGGGGTCCCCGAGCTCCGGGCTCCCCATCTGCTCCCTGCAGGGTTGAGGGAAAGCAGAGACAAGGACACAGGGATGGGTCATGGGTCGGTGTTCTCTATCCACAAATACCACACACAGCTGGGTGCCAGGCCCAGAGCCCCTGCTCCCACTCCCAGCCACAAGGGCAGAGGGGAGCTGTGGGAGGACCAGAGGCTGCTGGGCCTTCGGTGGGGGTGGAGGGGTCACTCACCGCTGCTCCAGGCTGCCCCACAGGACCAATGGGTCCAGGGGGTCCAGGAGGGCCCTGGGTAAGAAAAGAGAGTCAGAGACACCAAAACAGGGAGAGAGATCAGGTGGGACTGAGGTTAAAGGCCAGGAGGTCAGAAGTCAAGGTCATGGACACTTACATGTTCACCCTTGTTCCCTTTGGTGCCCTTCTGTCCGGGGTCCCCCACCTCACCCTGGGAGGAGAAGGCAGACAAGATATTAGAGAAAGGTGATGGGTAGAGTGGGAAGGATGACATGACAGGGGCCAGGGGTCATGCCCAGGTCAGCCATCTCATCTGGAAAGAAGATTGGTCGGGGTCTGTGGGGTCCCCTCACCTTGTCTCCATCCTCTCCAGCCACACCTGGAGGCCCAGCAGGACCAGGAAGCCCCACAGGACCCTGCACTCCATCTCGGCCAGTTGGGCCAATGGGGCCCTTCTCACCCTGTGGGACAGGAGGAAGGAGTCATGGCCTGGAGGTGACCCTCACCCTCAAACACCCCACAGGAAACTTGTCATAGCCCATCAACCCTAGGCTCACAGACCCCTCCCCAGTACCCCTCCCCAAGACCCCCACACTCACTGGGACACCTTTCTCTCCTGCTGCTCCAGGGGGACCCTGCGGGCCTGGGCGCCCTGGCGGACCAATGGGTCCCCCTGATCCTGCTGCACCTCGTTCCCCAGGGGAGCCCTGAGAAAGCAGATGGTCAGACCCCCAGGAAGGAGACACCAGCCCGCCCATACCAGAGAACCTCGGACCACAATTCCCAAAAGCTCCCAAAATCAGATGCATTCTGGCTGTCCCTGGACAGCCTCTGCCCAGCCCCACAGCCCCTGGTGGTATCAGAATGCCACTCCCACCCTTCCTCACCCACCCCTTTCCCGGGTCCTTCCTACCACTTCCGGAACCCCAGACTCACTGCAGGGCCAGGGGGGCCAGACGGACCTTCATTCCCCTTCAAACCAGGTCCACCCTATGAACCAGACATTTGGGGAAGATGAGACTTCACGAAAAGAGAAGGGTGAGAGCTGGAGAGGGAAGACAGGCTCCAAAAGATGGAAGTGGGGAGTGACATGGAGGGGGTCAGGGACAGGGTCGGGGGGGGGACTCAGGATGCTTGGTGCTTGTGACAGGCAGGGGTCTGGGAGTCACACTCACAGCAGTGCCTGGGAGGCCTCTCTCTCCTGGGAATCCCCTCAGACCAGCAGGACCATCCTTCCCTGGGGCCCCAGGGGGACCAGGGTCACCCTAAAAGGAAAGGAGAGGTGATGAGCCACAGCCATGCTCCCAAATTAAACAGAGAGCTCTCCAGCCCCCCCTCAAATCTCCAACTACCTGTTCCTTTCAGCACCCCAATCCCCAGCTCCCCCACTTCCCCTCTGCCTGGCCCCTCACTGACCTTTGTTCCTTCTTTTCCAGCTGTCCCAGGTAGTCCCTGCTCTCCAGGGGGCCCCGGGGGGCCTGGGTGACCTCTCTCCCCCATAGGGCCGGTTTCTCCTGCTGCTCCCTAGACAAAAGCAGAGAGAGTTCCTGCTCTCAGGCCCTTCATCTCGCTGTCTGCCAGAAGAGCCCACCCTGGCCACCCTAAAACACTCCTTCAGAACCCCTTTATCCCTGCCCCAAAGCTCCTGGGAAATTCCCCGGCATTCCTGGGCCACTGCTGGGTTTTCTCCTGCCCCATGTGGAGTAACTACACCACCTTGTGTCTCTGTTGGGGAACTGCCTCTCCTGGGGGACAAGACGATGAGAATGCGCCCCAAAACAGACTGAAGTTCAGGACCCCTGCCTGAAATCCCAGCCCCCACCATTGACCCCAGCCCCAGGAGTCTGGGTCAGGTGGACCGGGGCAGGGGCGTGTGACCGAGAGAAGAGGGGCAGACAGACTAATGCTAGGGTCAGGGGTCCATTCTCTCCTAGGGACAAACCTACCTGAGGTCCCACCACTCCTGGAGGACCAGGGGGGCCGGTCTTCCCTTGGAAACCCTAGGCGAGGAAGAGAGGAGAATGCAGTGAAAGCAGGTGTGGGCGCTGTGGGGCAGATTCCCAGGAGGAAGGATCCCAGGCAGGATCACACCGAGCCCTGGGCCCTGGGTCTGAGCAGCACCAGGGCAGGCTCCACTCTGCCAGGAGAACGTCCCTGTGGGCTTTCCAGACAGCTCTGGGGTTAAAGGGTCTGATGGAGCCCCCTGAGAATGGGTAGCCAGGAGCATCACTCACCACTTCTCCTCTTTGGCCTGGGTGTCCCGGCAGCCCGTCCTTCCCAGGGGGGCCCTGGAAGGGGTTCAGTTGTCAGGTGAACTCTCAGCTGGAAAGCAGGTAGGGAAGAAGGACTCAGAGAAGCGAGGTGGGTCAGAGCTCGGGGTCAACTTACCAGGGGTCCTTTCGGTCCAGGAAACCCGTTGGGACCCTGAGGTCCAGGGAGGCCCTAGAGACAGAGGTGGGGGGAGTCAGGAGAATGGGGGCAGGGGCTGAGTGGGGGAACTCAGCTTCCTTCCTGGGGTGAGGAGGGAGCTGGCTCACCCAGGCTCCCTGGGGACCTCAGGGGAAGGGGACTTTCGATCCACACTCACCCTCTCTCCAGGGGGCCCATGGGGGCCATCACCACCAGATGTTCCCTGTGGGGGGAAACAGAGTCAAGGAGTGGGAAGAGCTGCTTTCCAGCTGTCCCCGAGGTCAGGATGTTGAGGGAGAGCTGGGGCTGAGTGGGCAGGGGGCAGTTGGAGCCTTGTAGAGACCATTCACCTTAGCTCCAGACTTCCCAGTGGCACCTCGGGGTCCCCGCTGACCCCGTGGACCCTACAGAGGGAAGAGGAGTTGTCAGAGAAACCCAAATGCCCCCCTCTGGACCTTGAGCCACCTGTTTCTCTCCCCTGCACTCACCGTGGGGCCCCGTTCTCCCCGAGGCCCTGACTTCCCCGACAGGCCCTGGTGGGAATGAAGCAGAGAGAACATTACCCAGGGTGAGACTCCCCACAGACCCCCTCTACACCTCTCCAGCCCTTCCCTTCTCACCCCCTCCCACCCCCCAGCTTACCCGGGCTCCCTTCTCTCCACTGGCACCAGGAAAGCCAGGAAATCCTAGGGACCCCTGGTGAGAACGGAGAAGGGGGAAATTGAGAAGTTATGAAAGGTAGGGTTCAGGAAGGGGCAAAGGGGGTCAGGAGAGGCCACAAAGGCAGTGGCCAGGGAGACCCGAGCTCTGCCAAGAACTAAGTGGCCTTGGACAAACCCCTGCTGCTCTCTGGGCCTCTTTAGGTCATCTGTAAAATGGGGGTCAGCTAAATTCCCTCTGGGGTCCCCCACTGCCCTGCATCTGTGCTTTCTGGAATCAGGGATCAGGGAAGGGAAGAGGAGGAGGGAAGAGGAGGAGGGGCACGTATGGGGCATGGCATCACCTTGGGTCCCTGACGTCCAGGATAGCCAGGCAGACCAGGAACACCCAGCTTGCCCTGTGGAGGGACAGGAAGCAGTTAGGAGTGAGAGGAGGCCCAGATGCCACTCCACCCCTGGAGACCTCAACCCTCACATATAACAGCCAGCCCCCACCCAGCAACACACCCCACACACCCCAGCCTCTAGCCCCTCATTGCTTGCCCCACAGCTGCCTGACTTTTGTTGTCTCTCCTTCCCGTGAGTGGATTTTCCCCAATTCTAGTGCTGGGATCCCACCTCCCCTGCGCCTACAGAGGTATCAGGTCCTTCAGGGTCACTGTGATCTAGCTGCTTCCCACATGTCAACCTCAGCTCCATCTACCCCATGAGGGAGGTGGGATCTACCCCAGCACCCACTCCTGCTTCACCAAGACCAATCCCCCTGCAGGCCCTTTGCCCACCACACCCCGACTCCCGTGCATGCCCCCTTCCCCAGAGGCTCCAGGGCTCATCCTGCCCAGGCAGCTGCAGAGCAGGGCTTAGAAGCAGAGATTCTGAAGCCAGACTGCCTGGGCATAACCCCTGGCTCTGCCCTTCACTGGCCATGTAATCAACAAGCATCCCTGTGCCTCTGTAAAACCTCAGCAAAACAGTACGTCACATGCCTACCTCATAGGATAGATAGGACGCATCAGCACAGCACCTGGCATAGGGCAAGTGCTGGGGAGAGTCAGCTCTGGAGACCACAGACCTCACTGCTATTAGACTCTCTCATCTCAGAACTCCTGCTGCTTGGAGTCCGAACGCATGTTCACTCTGCCTTGAAGCAACAGCTACTCTCTAAGCTTCGTCTCCATCCAACTCTTCGTGTCAGGGACTTTTCCCTGACTTCTTATATATCCCCTCTGCCCATCAGCAGCTGAGAGATGCCATTTACACAGACAGAAGTATGACTAATGCATGGCCATCTTCAACTGACTGGCTGACTTCAGCGGCGGGCACCCATGCCCATCCTGACCCCAGTGCCCACACCCCCAGAGGACCCAGGCACAGAACCCTCATCCCATCACCTTCTCGCCCATGAGCCCTGGGGGCCCAGGGTCTCCAGTCGGTCCAGTGCGTCCCTTTGGCCCCTCAGGACCATCCTCTCCCCTGGAACCAGGGACTCCAACTTCGCCCTGTGTGAGAGGGAAGGACAGGTGAGTGCTGGGGACTGGAGGTGGGCTCTGGGCCCAGAGGAGAAATGGGCAACAGTGAGGCTGAGGAGGGCTAGAGGGGTCCCAGGAGCCACTGCAGGACAGGAAGCCCACAGGGTAGGGATAGTGTAGTGATGGGAGGGCAGGCATGACACAGACCATGGGGCTATCATCCTGTAGGGGTCAGGCTCCCAAGGGAACACAGCACTGGAACTGTGGAGTCTGGAGACTCAGGAGAATAAACCGGTGCTTGGCGTCTCCAGAGTGGAGGCTCAGTAGGACACGGAATTGGGGCCAGTGTGGGGTCTCTACTCACCCTGTCACCTTTCACGCCTATGTCACCTTTGAACCCAGGAAAGCCATCCTCACCCTGAGAAAGATAGAGGTGAGAGGGCACCACAGATGACAGAGGGCTGGGGTTCTAATGGGAATTCTGAGAACATAGGTGGAAGCAGGGGCTCGGGAGCTGGAGGGCAGTGCGGGGCAGGCTGGAGGGAAGGCAGTGAAGAGAGGAGATGGCAGGACTGAGGTGCTGGGAAGCTGGGGGCATGGTGCTCACCTTCTCACCCTTATGACCCTTCAGACCCCGAATTCCGTCCACACCCTAGAATTAGAGAGGGGATAGAAGTAGACTGATCAGGGGATGGAGGTGGGTTGGAAGGACCAAGCTCCTAAGACCCCATATAGCTCCCCTGACCACAGCCCTTTGTCTCCCAGCCTGGTGGTCAGTTACCTTGACCCCTCGAGGTCCTGGGTATCCTAGAGGACCCTGAGGTCCAGAGGGACCCTGGAAGATAAAAGAGAGGCATTTATAAAGGGGCCTCAGAGTGTCACTGTGGGGGCCTCCAGGGGTGGAAGAAATGGAAGTAACAACATTGCTGTCTGGGTAGGGTTACAGGGCACAGGAATTGAGAATGTGGCAGAGCCATATGAATAATGAGACAAGGGAATCCCAAGGACTTTGAGGCTCTAGAGTCTGAGTGGAGACTCCCTCAGGGGATAAAGACATGGAAGATCTCACCTGGTTTCCTTTGGTTCCAGGGGGACCTTCCTTCCCTGGGTGACCCTGGGAGTAAGGGATAGAAAATGTGACCAGTGGCCCCTGTCACCCTCTCTGCACCCCTCCCTACACTTCTTCCAACCCAAATTTCCTGTGACCTAGTGAAGCCAACTGTCCATGGACAAGCACCACCAGTGACCTTTCAGTGCAAGGGTCACTAAAGGAGCTCTGAGGTCATGCACTGGGGTGGAAGGCCAAGGGGAACTGGATTCGGAAGTGGGGTCCCACTCACCGGGGGTCCGTCTGAGCCAGGCATGCCGGGGAGCCCTGGCTTCCCTTGAGGACCCTGCAGGAAGACAAAGAGGCTCAGGGTCACTAGAGGGGTCATGTCTGGACACAGACAAAATCCCAGCAGACATTTAGGGTTCTCCCTACATCCCCACTCTAAACCCCCTGTCCTCCAAATCACTTAGTCACTTACCTTCTCTCCATGAGGGCCGATGGCACCCTGGGGCCCGGGAAGACCCTACATACAGGGAAAGAGAAGTCACAGGGGCCTCCCAGGGTCTCTTCTATCCAGCCTCCCGGATTCAAAGCATGAGCAACAAGGGCCTGAAACCCTTAATTTCCTGTATCCTTCCAGGGTCTCACCCATTGTGGAAGCCCAAGGGAAGTCATGAAAATTGGGGAACGGAGTAGGGGCACCGCTCACCTGGGTCCCAGGGGTGCCCTGTTGTCCAGGAGGTCCTGGCTCTCCCTGGGGTCCCTAGAAACAGGTGACCAGGCACAGGTCAGAAGGAGATGGAGATAGAACACATTTAGAGCATGGAGCTGAGTCCCAGCAGCGATAGCCAAGAAGGCAAGAGCAGGAAGCAGGCAGGGGTCAAAATGGCGGCCAACAGGATGCTGGCAGGGACCTCGGGGGATAAGAATGGGGGTGGGATCTCCTATCCATCACTCACCAAGCTCCCTTTGGGGCCCTGGGGACCATCCATGCCTCGGACGCCCTGAAACACAAGATGGGTGTGAGCAGCCTGAAGGTGGCCCGGAGGGACCTGTGGTTTTCAGAGGCCCGGCCATTCCCGAGGGTGTGACGGTCAGACCTCCAATCCATCCCAAACCCAAGCAAACACAGCTGGCCCAGGCCTGCAGTGTGTGGGACTGTGGATCTGTGGGCTTGTGGGCTTTGGTTTTGTTTTTCTTGAAGATTTATTTCCTATGCCCAGAGCCCTCGGGGCACCACGCCACATGGCCCTCCCTGTGCACGGGGAGCGAATGCTGAGGCAGGGCAGTGTGGGGCCAGAGCAGGGGGAGCTCACAGGGAATGGGAAGCATGCCGAGAGAGGAGAGGGAGCAGGAAGGCAGCTAGAAAGGTGGAGAGTTGGAGAGGTCAAGGGGTCACCTCAGGGTCAGAAGTCAGGGAGTCACTTACAGGGGGTCCAGGAATACCAGGTGGGCCTTTGGGGCCAAGGAGACCTCGAGGTCCCTGCATTCATGGTGAGGGGAGGAGACGGCATGAATGGATAAAACTGTGTCCCTTTAGTGCTCATGTCCCCCTCCTGGCTTCCCCAGAGCCGCCTCCCCCAGCACCAGCCCTTGGACACTCACCGACTCTCCAGGCAGCCCTCGAGGCCCAATCTCCCCGTCATCTCCCTGGAGGAGGAGGACACGGTAAAGCTGCTGTGCCTTCTAGACCTCCCCTGCACCCAGCCCCTACATTTGCCACTACACTTACCCTCTCTCCATCCTCACCAGGGGGACCAGGAAGGCCCTGGGCACCAGTATCACCCTGCAAAATGGGGGAACTCATAAGAGGGGCTTCAGAGCCCCCAACACAGGCAGACACCGAACCTCTGCACTTAGCCCATCCATTACTTTCACTGAGCTCCTGCCAAGCCTCCAGCCTCCCTTCCCTACCTATCCTCACTCCCATAGAAGATCTATCCCCAATTACAACACACACCCACTAATGTACTCACCCTATGGCCCTTCTCTCCAGGGAGCCCTGGGAGTCCAT
Organism: Homo sapiens; assembly: GCF_000001405.40. Classification (NCBI taxonomy): domain Eukaryota; kingdom Metazoa; phylum Chordata; class Mammalia; order Primates; family Hominidae; genus Homo; species Homo sapiens. The sequence goes on from NT_113891.3 coordinate 4,590,224, forward strand.
CAAAACCTCGGTCACCCTAGGAGGAGGAAGGATAGCCAGAGTGAGGACACGACCCTGTCCAAGCCCACCCCTCCCTACTGCACCCTGAGCTGGGGGGGTGCTGATCCTGGGGAAGCCTGGAGAACTAGGTCATCCCCAAGAAACAACTGAGCCCAGCGTGGGCTGAAGGCTACAGGCTTCAGGGAGGGGCCCAAGCCTGTTACCTTCACTCCAGGATCTCCAGGCATCCCTCGGGCTCCATCAGCACCTGCCCGGCCCTGGGAGAACAAGGGAAGTGTCAGAACAAGCAGGGCCGCAGTCCCCTACCCTGCAGGCCCTGTCTCCCCACAACACCCATCCACCCCTGGGGCACTCACCCTTCGCCCAGCCTTGCCAGGAGGGCCTGTGAGGCCCTGAGGTCCTCTGGGGCCCTGGTGAGAGGAGAGATGGGGTGGGGTTAGGAGGCATAGGGAGGGGAGTGAGGGAGACTGAGCTGGTGAACAGATATGGGGGTGCAGTGGAGGAAAGTGGTCACCTGAGGTCCTAAGTCTCCAGACTCTCCTTTCAGGCCAGGGCTCCCAGGTTGGCCCTGGGAGAGAGAAGAGAGGATGGCCGTAAGGAAGGACACAGCCAACAGTGGCCTCGGAGTGTTCCCCAAAAGAAGCCCCTTTCCAGAACTATCCACACCCCACACACAATTAAAGCATCCTCCACCCGAGCACCCTGCTCACTCACCAAGGGTCCAGGGCGCCCTGTGTATCCCATGGGGCCAGGGGGTCCACGGAGCGCCAGCTAGGGGAGCAGGGGGACAGCAGAGCTGAGGGACAGGCAGTGGGAACCCCCAGCCCCAGCACTCTCCAAATTCACCCTTCCTCTCCTGATCCTCATCCACTGCCCAGGATTCTCCCCAACCTCCCTGTTAACCCCAAACCAACCCAGGCCTCCCCTGCCGCACACTCACTCCAGCCAACCCTTCCAGTGCCCCCCAGAGCCTTCCCTTTCCAGGGAAGCAGCCCCACTCACCCTCGCCTGCTGCAGGATCGCCTGGGCCTGAGCCTCCTGGGCCGCCACCACAGGGCCCTTGTCACCCCCACCACTGCCAAACCGGAACTGAGGGCAAGGAGAGAAGGTCCAGGTTCTCTTCCAAGAAAGCCATGGGACCCTCCCAGCCAGAGGCTTTCTCCAGCGTTTCTGCCCCTTGCCCCAGGTTCTGCCCATCCAGCATTTCCCATGGCTTCCAGATAATCACTTAGAGGATTCCAGAAACTCAACTCCTGCCCTCCTCCACTGTCCAGCCTCTGCCTCCAGAAAGACTCTCTTTTGGTTCTAGAGCTCCTGAAATATAGGCTGTTCTGCCCAGTCCTAGAAGACTGGTGTTTTGTTCTAGGTCACCTAATGAGGCCCCATCTCCCCAACCCCAAAGACGAATCCCTTTGGAGTGATGATCTTTGATGATCTTTAGAGACTCCTCCATATCTTTCCTGCCCATCTGGTTCTTGGTAACATGACACAATTCCTTGTCTTCCCCATCAGCATGTTCCAAAACCCAAGAGACAACTCACTGGGAGCATGAGAGATGTGCCAGGAGGACCAGGAGCCCCATCTGATCCAGGGAGCCCTGCTCGGCCAGGGGGGCCCTGGAGTGGGAAGAGAATGCAAAAGATGGGGTGAAAGATAAGGGGACATCAAGATCTTAGCATGATTTTGAAATATCCTCTTCAACAGAATAAGTGTAGATTGCTCTAGCTCTTTCCTGAGTCTCCCACCCCCATGGGGAAAATTGAGGGTGAGAAACCAGATCAGCACCCTCCCCAACCAGAGTCTGCCCTCCTTTCTGGTTGCTGGGAAGCACAACCATCCCCTCATTCATTAACAAGCCACCTAACAGGAAATTACTGGGCATGGTAGCCCCCCGCTTGGATACCACTAGCTCCCCCGAAGCTCCCCCGTCACATGGAGGACACCCCCTTACCCTCTCTCCAGGGTCTCCAACTGGGCCTGGGTTCCCCTGGATGCCAGGGGGACCAATCAATCCCTGAGGAACAAAAGAGTAGGGGTCAGGTGTGGGCATTCAGACAGGTGTGGACACTCAGCCTGTGGCTGAGGAGTGGTCTGTGCAGAACAGATCTGGGAATCTGGGAAGCGTTGATTGGAGGGATGCTCCCGAGTTCTGAGGAGGAGGCCTGGGCATATGTGGGGAAGGCTCAGATGAGCACATAGAAGGGGTTTCTAAGAAAAGAATGGCCACCAGGTCACTGCTAGACTTACCGCAGGGCCTTCTGGGCCAGGGGGCCCCTCCACGAGCATACCCTGTGGAGTCAAAGGTTAAAAATCAGAGGCGACAGGACCAGCACACTCAACCCCACTTGCTTCTCCTATTTCCACTGCCTCAGCCCTGTGACCAGTATAACTTACAGGTTCCAACACTGCAGGCTCTCCTTTCTCTCCCTTCAGCCCTCGGGGTCCATGGGCAGCCTGAAGGAGACACACATGTAGCCCCCAGTGGGGCCCGTGAGCAGCCAGGACACTAGGCCTTTCTCCATCTCAACTCCAACCTTGATTCTTAGATCCTCTCGAGACCACTTCAGCCCTACCCGAAAGCCCCACAGCCCTCCCCTAAAACTCCCTCTTCACAAACCTTTCAAGCCTGCCAAGGAGACCTCAGGGTTCCCTGCCCCCGCAGTTCCCAGCCCCACCTCAGCAAACACAACCTCTCCATCTCCCTGAGAGCCTCTTTCAGGAAGGTCCCCAGAAACTTCCAGTGTTTTTGTTTGTTTGTTTGTTTTTCTTTTTTTTTGAGACGAAGTCTTGCTCTGTCACCCAGGCTGAAGTATAATGGCGCGATCTCGGCTCACTACAACCTCTGCCTTCCAGGTTCAAGTGATTCTCCTGCCTCAGCCTCCCAAGTAGCTGGGATTACACTGGGATTACAGATGTGCACCACCATGCCCGGCTAATTTTTGTATTTTTATTAGAGATGGGGTTTCACCGTGTTGGCCAGGCTGGTCTCAAAATCCTGACCTCAGGTGATCCGCCTGCCTTGGCCTCCTAAAGTGCTGGAATTACAGGCGTGAGCCACCACACCTGGCCCCTTTCAGGGATTTTAAACCACCCACCTTCCCAAACCCTCTTCTAGAGGACCCTATCCCATCTCCCAAACTCCCTCCCTAGAACCTTAAGAAACCTTCCACACATTTACCCCAATACATCATAAAAGAATCTCTCTAAGATTGTGGGTAGATTTTTATTTGGGGTAAGAGGAGGGCATGGACCCACATGAGAACCTGATAAAAGCTAGGCCGGGCGAGGTGGCTTACGCCCATAATCCCAGCACTTTGGGAGGCGGAGGCAGGCAGATCACCTGAGGTCAGGAGTTTGAGACCAGCCTGACCAACATGGTGCAACCCCGTCTCTAATAAAAATACAAAATTAGCTGGGTGTGGTGGCACATGCCTGTAATCCCAGCTACTTGGGAGGCTGAAGCAGGAGAATAGCTTGAACCCAGGAGGTGGAGGTTGAAGTGAACCAAGATTATGCCATCGTACTCCAGCCTAGGCAACAAGAGCAAAACTCCATCTCAAAGAAAAAAAAGAATCTGATGAAAGCTGTGAGTCTTTCTCCAGAAATGAAAAAGTATATGCTATTATGCACAGAATTTTATTTAGGATTTCAAAGGGTTCACAAGTTTAAATATGCCCCAAAGGTTAAGCATCCATACTCTAAGTAAATTTGGAGGCCAGGCACGGTGGCGCACGCCTGTAATCCCAGCACTTTGTGGGGCCGAAACAGGCAGCTCATTTGAGGTCAGTAGTTTGAGACCAGCCTGGCCAACATGTGAAACCCCGTCTCTACTAAAAATACAAAAAATAGCCGGGCGCAGTGGCACATGCCTGTAACCCCAGCTACTCGGGAGGCTGAGGCAGGAGGATCGCTTGAACCCAGGAGGCAGAGGTTGCAGTAAGCCAAGATCCTGCCACTGCACTCCAACCTGGGTGACAGAGTGAGACCCTGCCTCAAAAAAAAAAAAAATTGGAGAGCAGTCCCCACTGAATGCATTGCCCTTCCTCTGGCCCTCAAGTACATTCCAAGCCCACCAGTTCCCTCCCTTGCACACCTCCACTCAGATACCTGTTCCCAACTCTAGGGCCAGAAACAAAATAAGAACATGGAGAATGGGAGACATTCACCACCACCCCAACTCCCCCCAACAAAGATCTTCAGAATGCCCCTCTCCACCTTCATTCTGACCAAACAGCAATGATCCGTTTCAAAATTCTCTGAAATCCCATATCAACCCCAAATACCCAGAGAGCAGCATAAAGGAAAGGCAGTAGAAGCTCAAGGGAGGCAAGAGAGGGGAGGTATGGGATGCGGCAGCAGGGTAGAGGAGGCAGCCAGAACTGCAAGGCAGGCAGAAGACGGAGCGGAGTAGACAGGAAGCAGTCCCACTGACAGGGAATACTGGAAGATATGAGAACAACTAAGGGACACAGAACAAAATGACAAACACTTGGAAGCAAGAATGATGCCAGGGCCGAAGAAAATTAAACATGGCCAACATGGCTAGAAAACAAACTGGACAAACAGGAAGTGGCTGAACAGACAGGAAGCAGTGAAGGAAAGAGGATCCAGGAAGTGAACCTTCAACAACAACATGGCTACCGTGACCCAGAGAGAAAAGAAAGGCACAAAACAGGTAGAATGTGACTCCTGCAAAGGGAATCATGACAGTGAAGGGTAATTCTTCCAGAAAACACAAACATCAAGGCTAGGACACACAGGAAGTAGCCATGAGAAATATCGAGGCCCACAATGGAAACTTTATGATTTAAATGACCTGAGACATACAGGAAGTGGCTTATTGTCAAAGGAAATTGTCACAAGATAGCATGAAAAACTAGAGCCAGAACAGAAATAATAAATCCTTTGCAGTCCAACCTGACACAGTTACCAAGATGGATGCCACAGCTGGAGAAGGCAGGAAGGGACAGATAATAAGTGGCCTGTAGGTTAAAAAAAGGTGACATAGGAAGTTAGATCGTTTGGTAGAAACATGAACAAAAAATTATTTCACCAAGAAGAAATGATAGAGAAACACTGAAAATGGACACAAGGTAGTAGTTTATTGACCAAAAGCTTTATGAAATCCAGCTTCAGTTAGACAGGAAGTGATCAAGAAAGACAGGAAGTGGCTACATATTTTTTTTTTTTAATTCCCAATTGCCCTGAGCTTCAGAAGTATCCACAAGAGTCACAAGGTAAGACATTTGGCAAAGGAAGGCAGGTAGTAATCTTTTCAAGCAACATATACATCATATGTGAACAGAAAATGACAAGTCACAGATGGGAAATAGCTCACAGCCAACAGCCAAGGATCGAAACCAACAAGAAGCAATTCTTGTAGCTCCCACTGGTAGTCAAGAATGAAAGAGAAGCTCCTTTCACTTACGGCTCCTGAGTGGGCTGTCTCCGCAGAGAGGGCAGGGCCAAGCTCTGTCTCCTCACGATAATCATCCCCATAGCCATAGGTGTAATCGTAGGGCCCTTCAGGGGGGTCTGTGCCACCCTCCCCATATTCCTCTGCCTGGAACCTGTCGGCTGTGGGGGGGACCTGGAGATCTGTCTGCTCCTTCCCAGGGATGGGGAGGGAGAGGGGTAGATGGGGATGTTAGGGCTGAGAGGAGGCTTACCCTGGACCCCAGGGTGTGACAACTTCTAGCCCAAAGGATTCCAAGGTTAATCAGAACTGGATTTTTTCTCCCAAGAATAGCCATGGGAGTGGTTGTATATAAATGGAAGGGCCATCAAAGGCCAAAAATGGGGAGAGATGTCCAGAAAGTGGGTCCAGTGGGAAGAAGTGGTGGATAAAATGAAGGGTGGCCAGAGGACTGGATGCAGAGTGGACAGTCCATGGACACAATGACAGACAAAGGAGTCCAGGAATGACCAAAGAGATAGGGAAGACAAAAGGTGACAACACTGGACAGAAAGTGGCTCCCGGGAACAGAAATAGGACATAGAAAGTAAGACCATTAGACACCAACATGGAGACGAAGTCACTCAGGAATCAAAGAATCATGGAAGGAGGCCTGGATACTGAAGGGAACGGGCTGGACTTAGAGAGTCAAGCAGGCCCATAGTTCTAGAGTGACCCAAAGACAGAGGCCATCGATGGAAATGAGGAAGAACCCTCCGGCCAGAGGAGGGGCTGGTCCATCAAGACGTCATGGGCTGAGGGGAGTGAGTCACAGGTGCCCACTGCCCCCAGATGGGGTGAGGGTGGGGCATAGAGTTACCTCCTCAAGGGGTGGCAAGAGGCTCGACTCCAGGATTTCTTCCTCTTCACCTGGGGTGGGGTCCTGACCCCAAGGAGAGAAGGAGAAGAGTAGCACGGGGTGGGAAGGAAGGAGAAAGGTTAGCAGAAGGGAGGCAAAGCAGCACCTGTCCCCCGAGGGCAGGGTCTGTCTGTGCTGGGGGATGGGGGAAATCTCAGATCTTGCAGCCCCTTTGGAGGGGGATAGTTTGGGGAGAGTGAACCTCCAAGGTCATAGAGGTTTGGGGGCAGAGATCTGGATGCCCCGGCTCTACCTGCCGGTAACTGCTGCCTCTGGTCCTGGGGCGGGGCCAGGCAGTGGGGGAAGCTGCCCTCGGAGCTGGGCATCGGGAAAGGGGAGGCTGCTCCCATGCTGGGTCAAAGCCTGCAGTTGGAGAGGGCCTCCGGCCTGGTGAGGGGGACGCCTGCCAGGTCATTGACCTCTTGGCAGGTGGGGTAGGCTTTCAGGGAGGGGTCCGATGCCCCCTAGGGGAAGGGGGAGGCCTGTGGTGGGGGCTCCCAGGGCGCTGCAGCAGAGAGACAGGGAGGGGGCAGGAACTAAGTAAATCCCCATAATCTAAACACACTGTGCCTCTCCCCACGGCATGGGGGAGGGGAGGAAGGTGTCCTAGGAGATGATTGCTGGGGGTGCTGGGAGAAAGGGAAGAAATGAAGGGGTCCCTTGAGTTTACCTGATAATCAGGGGTTGTCCCCGTAGTCATCACATCATAATAGGGGGGCTCGTAGTCATAGTAGAGAGACTCAGTGGGCTGGGATTGGGGGGTGGGCATAGACAGGAAGGGGATGGGGTAATTGGAAGGTGTGGGGTGAAGGGCGGGAGAGGGAGATATAAAGATGGTGTGGGAGTTGGGAAACGGGGGAGGTGTGGAGTTGGGAAACAGAGAGTTGAAGATGAAAGGAGAGGTTGAGGGTCAGGAGGGAGGTGGGGAGAGGTGGAACAGAGGGAAGGGGTTCCACATGTGGGGCAGAAGCAGACATGATTAAGAGATTGACCCTCTGATCTTTAGACCACTGACCCCAGAGCCTGTCTGTATTCTAACTCTCCAGACCCCATCCAACCCAGGCTCCCTTCCCTTCCCTTCCCTTCCCTTCCCCCTACTACCTCCCCTTTTCCTGCCCCTCCAGGTAGGTGGGGGCCAGAGACTGGGTTCCCCACTCCCACACTTCTGCAGACCCACCCCTCCTTTGATATTCCCTCCATCCCTACTCCTTCCCATTCCTCCTCCTTGGTCTCACCATCCCGACTGCTTTCTCCTGGCTTCAGTCCCCTCTCCTACCTGCCTCCCCAGCTCTCACCCCTCTCCCACTGTCTCCCAATCTCTTAATTCAAAGAAGGAAGGGAAAACCCAGGGACACAGTTCCAGGAAGACTGGAAGAGGAGACGCAGAGCAGGGAACACAGCTCCCAGCCACAAATTCTTCATAACAACTCTTTTTATTTTTAGATGAAAATAAAAAGGCTGATGAATGAGGACTAGGAGGAGGGGGTGATGGGAATAGGGAGATGAGGGTGGGGAGGACAACTAAGGAGGAGAGATGCCTGGGTGTCTTCCCTCTCTGGGGTGTGCTGCACTTGGGGGTTCTCCCAGCTCCCTCACCTGGCTCTGGGGTTCCTGATTTTGTGGCCTGTGAAGTCTTGATGGTTGCTGCTGTGGAGATCTCTGGGCTCTGTGAGGCTGTTGGTTTTGGGGTCTTTCCCTCTGGCCCCCCTCGCATTCCAGCTCCTTCTGTTCACATGATTCATAGGCTGCCTGGACCCCTGGGACAATGGCCAGCTCCTGGACATCACCCTGCAAAGACATGAGAGAGATGGAGCGGAGAGATTCAGAGAGAGGCAGAGGGTATCATCCAGGAGAAAGAGTATAGGAGGCCAATCCTAGGTAAAACCCTAAGATGGGAGAAGGTCACTGTCAGTCCTCCATATGCATAGCCCTTTTCAGTTTTCAAGGGATCTCATAGGACCTTCATAACAACCAGGAAAGTTGGCAGAACAAGGATCTTTCTTTCTACCCATTTTTCAGATACGTTCCATTCAGAAAAGCCCAAAAAGGCAATGACTGCCCCAAGGTCACCCAGAGTGGCAGAATCAGGACCAGATCCCAGGCCTTCCAGAATTCTTTGCCTCCCCTCTGCGCTTTGTGGCAATGCATGAGCCCTTCCACAGTGGCTTCCAGAGACAGGGCTCAGCTTTAGATGCCTTGGCCTTCCAATGGCAGTGATGATGAGAATTCTCTGGACCTCTAGAAATGGAGTGGGGAGAACCCATTCCTGAGTTCCAATGGCATTTACTTTTGCCCACACATGGTGCTTAGCATACTCTCCATTGCACCGTAATTTAGGGATGTTGTCTCATTTCCAGAGCCCACCTGGGAGCTCTTGGGGGTGATAGAGACTTTATATTCTCTTCTTTGTTCTCCTTGTCCAGCAGGTATTCAGAAAATGTTGACTGGCTTGGAGGGTGAATGGAGGGATGGGTGAATGGAGGGATGGATGAATGGATAGATGAGTGGATGGGTGGCTGGGGGCTTACATGCATTAATGAATGGGAGCATTGATAAATAGTGAATGAATAAATGTACGTATGGGAGGGTGGACTGGTGGGCAGATGAACAGGGGTTACAGAGTAGATGGAAGCAAATGGGTGAATAGGTAGATGGGTGAACTTATGTGGGTGAATGACTGGTCGGATGGGAAGTAAGTGGGTCAGGAGATGGGTGAGTGAGTATATTGAAGGAGGGAGTGGTTGAGTTGGTGGAAGGATAATGGATAGATGGTGGCTGAATGGATGCATGCATCTTTGTGTGCATGGGTAGATGGGGAGGGTGGGTGGGTGAGTGAATAGCTGGATGGAGGAGTTGAAGAGGATAGATGGGTGGAAGCATAGATGGGTGGTTTGAAGGGGAGAGTGGTTAAGCAGGGGGAGGATTGACAGGTGGGTGGATATAAGCCTTCATGCATGACTAGGTGGGCGTGTGATGCATAGATGAGTAAATAGATGGGGGAGTGGGTGGTGGATGTGTGCATAGGTTGGCTGAGGAGTGAGTGAATTGATGGGTGGGTGAGGAGAGAGAGGGGTTGAAAGGATGGATGGATGAGGGAACTGATGAAGACTGAAGGACAGAGTAAGTGGCTGTGGACAGTCCTGCCATATAGGTAGGCATCTAGTTCTCCTGCAGAGAACAGTAGCCCTGAAGATAGAAAATAGAAATGAAAATTCATAAGAAAAAAAAATGAAGGCCTAGGGAATAGGAAGATGACATGCTGGGGCCAGAAGGGTAGTGGGCACAAGATAGGGGACCAGAAGTCAATCCTGCCTCTGATTGCTCTGGTTACCTCAAAGACTTCTTCATCCAGAATACGGGCACCAAAGATGATCACTCCATGGGTGTCCAATACTGGACGAGCACTTCGGGGGAGAGGCCGGGTGACTCGCTTCTTGCAGTCAACAATGAGGGTGACAGACTGGCCCTTCACAGCCACAGCCACACGGTGCCACCTGGAAATGGTGGAAGAGGTTCAAGTGAACTCTTGGCTGACTGAAGTAGGGGAGTCAACATGGTTGGAGAGCAGTGATAAGAGTTGAAGCCAATGGTGATAAGAGCAGTAATAACAATGGCTACCATTTATTGAGTGTTTACAGTGCACCAGACACCATGCCGTCACTTTCTTATTTGTGCCAATTCTATTTAATGTCTATTTTACAGATGTAGAAACTGAGGCTCAAAAATTTTAAGTAACTTGCCCAAGGTACAGGCTAGTTCAACATGCAGAGAAGGCTGTACACTCTAAAGCCCAAACTCTGGACTAGAAGTGACTGAAGTTTGGGCAGTGGGTAGGTGTGGTGTGGCCCAAAGGGTCTCAAGGGTTTCACAGTTTAGAGTGTAGGGGTTTGGGGGCACTTCCTCCTGAAAGTGTGGGCCAGGCAGACCAGAGGAGCAAACAAACTTACTTGCCATCTGCTAGGCTGAGGCCTCGGAAGACTGGCTGAGAGGGAGGTTGAGGCCGCCCAGTCTGGTCTTCATACAGGAAGCGGACAGGTCGGCCCAGCTCCAGGCCCAGCTGTCGGACACCCTGGGCACTGTAGAGAGTCAGGAGGGGAGCTTGGAGACCAGGGCGGGTCCGGACAACAGTCAGCAGAGAGAAATCTTTGGGAAATCCTCCTAGTAACCGAGAGAGATACACACAGAGTGAGAGGCAAAGGGAGCCGCCACAACCCCTTTCCTCCTGGTGTCTGATCCTAGGCCCCATCCCATTACCTCCCCCCAGGCCTACCCCACCATGTCACCCATACCTGGGAAAAGCTGGCGAGTGGGTGCACTGAGCTGGGCAGGTCGTGCCACTCGGTAGGCCACATCAGCTGGACAGATGCCTTTCGCTCTCCGGACACCATCAGGGAGGGAGGGGAACCTCAGGGCCCGGAGCACATCCACAGGGGGTGCACCTGGGAGAGTCCATGATTATCAGGAGAAGGGACATGCCCTCAGGAGGGCATAAATAGGGGACATTTGGGATCTAGAACTCAGCTTTCCAGGGCTCAAACTCCCTGCAAGGGAAAGGTCACCTCACCCTCACTTGCTTCTGAACAGTACCTGAATGGATGGGAAATGCAAAGGTACCTGGAGGCAGGGCAGCATCAGCTGGCATTCAACCCCATGACACTCCTGCCCCTGTCTCTCCTAGCATCTGCCTCTCTTACGCTCTCTCTTTGTCTTTTAGCTTATGAATCTGTCTCTCTCTGTACTCTCTGAATACTTCTCTCAACTCTTCATCTGTCTCCTGTCTCTCTCACTCTCTTACTCTCTCTGTCTCTTTATGTTGGTCTTTCTGTCTCTGTCTCTTCTGTCTTCCTCCATTTCTCTCACATTCTGTCCATCTTTTTCTCTCCCTCGCTCTCACTCTCTTTCCATATCTCTCACTCTCTGGGTCTCTGGCATCTGTCCCGTCTCCAGCACAAACAACATCTGGGCAATCGATCATCCTGGACACAGGAGGTGCAGGGGGGCCACGAGGAAGAGATCAGAGAAGCAGCTCTATGAGAGGGGCTTCAAGCAGCTACAGATCCCAGGTTTGGGGGATGGGGTGGGAACAACCCTGAGCATGCTGAGGAAAAAGATACAAGAAAGCTCTCCCAGGAGTCTGTGCCTCCTGGTTTAGGAGATGAGTTGGGGAGGGGTGGAGGAATGGGGGGCAGGGGCTGAAGCTGCCACGAGGATCCGGAACAGGTCCAGGGCCCTGAGCCACACATCTGTGGATCCCATCAGAGTGCTTGCCCAGAACCCAGGCAAGCTCCCCACACCTGGAACCTCAATCCTGTCTCACCACCCCCACCAACCCCACCACCTGGGACCCAAAGATTCAAGATCCAGCCCACCAGCCCTGTCTACCTAGAACTCAGCTTCCTAGGGCTCAAACTCCCTGGAAAACAAAAGATCACCTTGCCCTCACTTGCTCCCCTATACACATACTCTTCACACCATCAGCTCCAGATTGGAAAAATCCCAAAGAGAGTTCCAGCAAAACTTTCATAGAAGTGTGGGGCAGGGCAGAGGCCAGAGCAATCAGGAGAGTGGAGCTGGGTGGGGTGGGTGAGGTGGGGCGGGCAGGCAGAGAAAAGGCCCTTTGAGTCCAGGAGCCGGGAAACCACGGCCTTCCCCCCCAACCCCCACCTAAGCCTGGCCCCTGCGCGTGTGGCAGCTCCGCAAACACCAACACACAAGGGCCGCTTTGAGAGACGAAGGGTGAGTGAGACAGAGACACAGAGACTCACAGAGACCCCAGGCCAAGGAGACCTCGGAGGTCCCCACCCTCCACCAAATCCCAAGGGAGTACAATTCGATCATATGGACAACCTACCCACAGGTCCGCCCACCATCTTCCCACACCAGGCCACATACTTGCCCCCCTGTATCCAGCCTCATCTGCCCCACAGGCTCTCCACTGGTAGCCCCATTACCCTCCACCACTCTACCTCTGGCCCCCCAAATGCCTTATTCTCTAACCTTAGGAATTCTACAGTAACTCATTTCCCTAAAGTCCCATCTCTACCCACTCAGCCCCTGAAATAAGAAACAGTCATCTTAGCCATCCCCCTGCCTCCATGCCAGAGGATCCCTCTTCCCCCTAAGAAAGACTCCTAGAGTCTACAGGCACCATACGCCTCAATTTCCTGGCCCTGGGCTTCACTGTCCTCACATCTTGGAAGTTCTTCCTTCTGTAATCTAATCTAAATCTTTTGTGCTGCCATTCTGACCATTTTCTCTCTAAAGCAGAGAAGAATTGAATAGTCAAGTTAAATATAAATCAGCCCTCAGTGTCTCCAGAAATGGGCTTTTTCCAGCCTGCTGAGGACCTGGTGCTCACAGCCCCCTCCTTGACATCAAATCCCCTTTCCTAGAAGCCAGGAATTCTGGGTCCTGGGAAAAAGAAGGAAAAGATCAGGGTTGTGGGCACCAGGGTCCCAGGGGAGCCTGGCTGGCCAGAGGGAGGAGGGGCTAGGCAGGAATGCAAAGAGTTGGCTCTGGCCTCAGACACCTGATCCTGGCCTGTCCGGAGGGCCGTCCTGTTGGCAGCCAGCCCCAGTGCTCCCCAGAGCCAGCTGCGTGGCAGCATCGAGGGCACAGGGAGGGGGAGGGGGACCCTGTCCAGGAGGCCAATGAGACAGGTAGTCAAGGCTTCCTTTCTTTCTGGGCTTACTGGGCTCTGCTCTGAATCACAGGTGCTCACCCCTTATCCCAGAGATATCGACAGAAAGGCCATAAGACACACACGCCTCACCCATCAACATTGGCGTCTACCATCCCCACACCAGCAATGACTGGACCGGGCTGGCCCTGGCCATCTTCAGCTCTTCCCAAGGACTCAAGACAAGCATCCATCCCCATTCAGGGTCTCTAAAGTGGTCCTCCACCTTTCAGCCCTATCTGCCCTCCCCCAGTCACTTCAAGGACAAAGAGATTCCTACCCTGATGCCAAGGAACACAGGTGTCCTGCCCTCCAGCCTGTAGCCTTGAAGCCCCAAATCTCCTTGTTAGACTCAGAAGCTGCTGCCCCAGGCATCAGCTGGCCCCTTCCCAGAGACACTCAGAGCTCCAGCCTGACTCCGAGGACCCAGGCATCAGGACTCCTCTTACCTGCCCAGCCTGGGGCCGCGCTCAGCCCCAGCACCAGAGGTAGGAGGAGGAGGAGGCGATGGCAGCGGCTGCACCGCTCCATGGCTGAGAAGCCGAAACGCCGGGTCCCAGGGACCCAGGTCGGCCTGAGACGCTGGATGCCCTGAGGCTGACAGAAGACAGGGAGCAGACTATGAGCCTCAGACGCCGGGGTCCCAGGGAGGTCAGAGGCTGCGGGCAGCGACAGCTGTCAGCGGCCCAGCTCCATGCAGCAAGGCGCCGTCGGGGCTCCCGGCACTGCTCCCTCCTCGGTGGCTGCCGCTTCTGTGTGTCCCCGGCCACCCTGGCGCCCAGAGCCCCCACCTCGCCCCCGCCCCCGGCCCGGCCCCCGCCTCCAGCCGCCCGCCCACAGCCACCGAAGGGAAACCCCACCCTCAGTCTCCACCTGGGGAGGGAGGCGGGAACCCTCCCTCTATCGCTCGCTCTCTCCTGCCCCTTGTAGGTCTCAACTGCCTGTACCCTAAGATTCTCTTTTCGGGAACCCCAATATCTTCCCTAGCCCCTTCCTTTTCTAGGACCCAAACGTCCAGTCACACACACTCCCTCCCATTCCCTCCCTCTTGGGGGCCCAGAGCCCCCTTTCAGCAGAGGCCTGGGCGGGATTTAGGGCACAGTGGGAGGGGGAGAGGCGGGCCTGGGGGTCGCAGTCCCCACCCCACCCATAATCAGGTCTCCATAATTACTTCCCTCACCCCGCCCCGTGTAATTACAGAGCCGGGCCGGGGCGGGGGTATTTATAGACAAGGCTATAGATAGCGACGAACTGGGGCGGGGGATGTGGGGGAAGGTGTTCTACGGAGAGCAAGAGGCCAGAGACTGGGACCCACCGACAAACACAGGATAGTCAGGTCCAAGGAGATGCAAATGGGGGACGCGGTTAGGGAGTCCCAGAGCCGAGGTAGAGGGGGAGCAGTGGTAAGATGAGCGAGCAGTCGACTCTGGTTGGAAGGGTCCAGGGAAATGGGGTCACTCGGGGACGTGGGCCGCCTCCGGGCGGGCAACGCCTGAGAAGCACGCAGCGCTCGGCGCCCAGTGCGCCCCCACGAGCGGGCACGGCGCCGGGTCTGCCCGGAGCCCGCAGCGCGCCCGGAGGGAAGGCCGCAGCGAGCCGAGGCGCCGCCGCCCGCTGGCGCGGAGAGGGCACGAGCGAACAAGGCGCCTTTGAGAATCCACCGCCCCCCCTTCCTCCTCCGGCCGGCCCCGCCCCCAGCCTGGCACACCCTCTCCCCCCCTCCCCGACAAAGCTTGCCTTGTGTCCCCCACCCTGCGTGCACCTCTTGGGCCCCATGGAACCTCGGCGGCGGCGTCCAGGGATCGCGTCCGGAGCTCCCAACCGGATACCCCCCCCAAGCCCGAAACGGCGCTGCCCATCCTCATACAGTCACCTCAGTCCAGAAAACAGCGATTTTAATTTGAAAGCGATTTTATGTATGAGAGGGGAAAGGAGCCCCAAAGAGAAGGGACGCAGGGCAAAAATCATGCAGCCCCAGCACCCCACCTCTGCGGGCTGGCCACCTCCCCTCAATTCTCAGGCCAGGATCCTGTGTCCCCAGCCTATGCTATGTGCCCAGGGCTGGAGGAGAGCTGTAAAGGGAAGGCCTCCGGGACTACACTCGTGAAACCATCCCCTGTGGGGGCCCTGTCCTCACAGCCCAGGCCCCTTCCCCAAGTTAGACAGGAAGAGATGGGGGGGGCGGCGGGAAGCTGGGAAGGCTAGTGCTTGGAGAGCCCTAGGGACAGGCCATTTCAGGGCCCTGCCTTTCCCAAACACCCACCTCCACCACTGGCATTTCTTAGTCAACCTGGGAAAGTACAGTACTTCTTTGAGTCTAACTGCAAGTCTCTATCCTCACAGGAAATTAAAAATAGCAGATCGGTTCCTACATCTCCACCAGCCCCTTCACCACCACCACCACCTTTTTTATATTTCAGTCTGACTGCAGAAGGAGGTGAAGTGTAAAAAGAGACTCTGGACAGTGACAGGGCCCCTCCCTCTTCCAGAGAGGCCCCCATCTGCCAGGTTTGAGAGGAGGAAGGCCTGTCAGGGCCCTACTCTCATGTCCATCAGCTTGGGAGGCCTGCCCCCCAGTATCCACCTCTGGGGGAGTTCCCCATTTCCACTCTTCAGATGGGAAGCAAAATGAGGCAAGATGAGAAGGAAGCAAGGTCCTGGAGGCAAGGCCAGTGCTTTGTGCTGGGGGAAGGACAGAGGGTGAGAAATCACCCCAAATCATGGGAGACCCCGACAAATTCAGAGACTCAAGGCCACCGAAGAGAGACAACCAGTCCTCACAGGTATCTGGGGTCCCTTCCAACTTGGGATATCAAGCAGATCCCTTGGAGGGTTTATGTTCTTGGTTCTGCCCTGTACTTCTCACCCCATCAAGGTTCTGGGAACATGGCCCCCCACCCTGCCCCAGGGCTTGGAGTCCCTCTTGGATGTGTGCTCCTCCAGTGTGAGAAGCACCACGTCTGGGTCTGAGCTCAGGCCAGTTGATGGGGAGCCTCAAGCATCTCCATGAGGAAGGTGTCGATGGGGGTGTCACCAATGAGCTTGAAGAAAAACAGATGCTCTAGACACTTAAGGCCAATGGACCGGAGGGCAGGAAGACGTAGCAGCAGCTTGGCAAACCTGGGGTGGAGGTGGGAGAAGGGGATTGAGAGCTGGAAGCACACGGGCCCTGAACACATCCTCATAGCACTCCCCACCCCCAAGGGAGCCTCAGTGCCCCCCAGCCCCATCTCACCGTCCCTGCTGCTCAGGGTACTTCTGTTTGCAGTAGGTCTCCAGTGATGCATACACTTTCTCCCGCAGGACCTCCACCTCACTAGGGTTGGAGAGGCCCTTGGCATCTGGGATGGCAGGGAAGAGAGGAGGAAGAGAAATGAAGACAAACCAAATCAGGATGGCCATGCAGATGTGAGCCACAGGATGCCCCTTTTGGGCTGCACTTGCTTGCCCTTTACCAGAGGCCTGGCAAGGGAAGCAGGGCCCACTGGGTTTGTGGGATGGATCCGTGGATGTGGGTTTTTCCTCGGCCAGTTGGGAGATTTCCAGGTTGAGGGTCTTACTGAGGGGGATAGCTGGGTAACTTAGGAGTCTCGGAGAAGAGGAGGCTCCAAGGTTGCCTTGGCCTTGAGAGACAAAGGTAATCCTCCTCTTACCTGGATTAAACAGAATGATTGCCCTCAGGCAGCCAAGCTCTGTCTTGTCCATCCTCATGTCACGCATTTTGGACACTAGCTCTGTCAGCACCCTGGAGAGGGACCTGCAGGTCACTCAAAGGTCACAGCTCAGCCAGCCTTGGACACGGACCAGCCTATAGCCCCACCCCCTCTATCTACATGCCAGCCTAGCCGAGGGCCACTGACCGATCAAAGATGGCTCCTACTCCTGCTGAATGGGCTGAGTTGCGGTGCACGTGAAGACCTGTGGCAAGGAGGATGCCATCTCGAACATCAATGGATCGGTGTGAAAAGGAGGCAATGAGGAGTTCATTCCAGCCTGGGTGGGGCAGCAAGGGTCAGGAGCCAGAAATCAGGCCAAGGGATTCAAAGCACATCAGTGGAAGAGAAGGAGAAAAGAGGTGGCGAGGTCAGCAAGTTTGGCTCCCTGGGTACGCAAGGTAAGGCCACTGGGGTCACTAAAGATCGGGAAGTCAAAGAGGGGTCAAATGTCAAGAAGTCAAAGGGATCCAAGGTCACTGACCTGCCCGCAGCAATATGACCTGATCATCCAGAGGCAAGGAGGAAAAGTGTGGGATCCTCTTCGCCCACTCAACAAGCGTGAATAGCTGTTTGTCAGCTGCCTGACAGATGTTAGTCACAGGGTCATTTGGCTGCAGGGGACGGGGGTAAGAGTTATGGAAGATTTTGAGATATGCTGGGAGCCCCCTTGTAAGAGGCTTTTGACACCCCCTCCTTACATATAGTCTTCCTGTGAGCCCCATCCAAACCAATCCCTGTAAGTGAGTCTTCTCTTCTGGCATTAGTGCAAACAATTATTTATTTGGGACATGCCTATGGTTCTGCCAGTGGGTTGTTTGGGGAGTGGAGACAGAAGGAGCTATCACATCCACCTCAGATGTTTGAAAGACCTTGTTTGGCAGCACCTCCAGTCCCAAGTAGTGTTAGGAAGGTTATGAGGGGAAAGGAGGGGGAGGGGATGTAGAACAGACCTAGACTGCCTCCCCCAACCCCCATCACGAAGGAGAGTGGATTGACCCCAACACTCACGCTGCTGCCGCTACCCCCGGTTCCCCCAGGACCCTCAACGCCCTGGTCACTCTTCTGTTCCACAGCAAGCTCTGCCTCCAGGATCCTGTCCACAGGCATCTCCTCGGGGGCTCCCCCAGCCCCCTCCCCATCCCCATCCTTGTCCTTTCCCCGCTGACGCTCCTCCTGTACCGCTGCAGGGGGAAGGGGGAGAGAAAAAATGGAAAGTCAGCAGCCAGCCATGAAGGGGTTCCACAAATATCCTTACGGCCTCATCAGGATCTCATGGCCCTTGGGAGATATTTATAGGAATTGGGGAAGTCACTAGAAAGGGTGGACTGGGGGCAGCCCTGAAGGAAGGGTTATAAAAGGGCAGGTAAGTCAGTCGGGAAGGGTGAGGTAGGTAAAAGAATTAGGGAGGAATTTAAATGGAGAGCCTACTACATGGTTAAAAAAAACATGCCAAGATTCAACCTGAGAAAGCTGATTGAAAAAAAAAATTTTTTTAAATAAAATATGCCAAGAAACATGCTAAGCACATTTTAACATTCACTCAATTATCATAATGATGCTGGAAGCATTTATTCTCATTTTTAAGATGAAGAACTCGGGGTTCAAAGAGATTAGTTTGCTTAAATTCATATAATACATGGCAGGTCATACAACTGACTCTAAGTGTGTCTGAGTGCAAATCTTGTGCTCTTCTGACTCAACAAATAGGCAGTGAAAGGAGCACTGGCCTAGGTCTTTGAAGATGTGGGTTCTGATCCCAAACCTGCCTGCCACTCCTTTGTTGCATGACCTTGGGAAAGCCAAGCCTCAGGCTCATCTTCTCTAAAGTGGGTGTTTTGACCAAGATATGCTCTAAAGTGTCTCTCAGAATCCTAGGAATCTGACTTAAGAAGATAAGATGGAGACACAGAAGAAGGAAGGGAAGCCCTGAGGTCTTCAGTAAAGTCTGTAAGCTTAAGAGTGCCCAGTCCCAGGAGTTAGAGGAAAGATCACAGATAACAGGAGACAGAGACCAGAGAAGGTCCATGGAATCAGAGGAGGAACCACTCAGGTTAGAAATGGGGAGACAGCCCATCATGGCTAAGGAAAAGTTATCCTATCCTAGGATCAGTCTAGGGAGGGGTCATATGTGCAGGCCACAGAGGCCTAACCATTAAGAAGGAAACTCAAGGGCCAGAACAGGGTAACAGGGAGGAGAGCTGCGAAGGGAGAGAGAAATCAAATATCGCCCTCTAGAGGAGAGAGAGCAGTCCACCCTTCCAGAGAGGTACACAGTCTGAGTGGGATAAGGGAGAAGGGCATGTGGTCTAAGACGCCTGGGCAGGGCGGGTCCTTACCCTCCCTCTTCATGCCAGTGGCCAGGCACTTCTGATAGCGGCAGTACTGACAGCGGTTCCGCTGGCGCTTGTCCACTGTGCAGTCTTTGTTGTCCCGGCAAGAGTATGTAAGGTCTTTGCGGATGGTGCGTTTGAAGAAGCCCTTGCAACCCTCACAGCTGTAAACCCCGTAGTGTTTGCCTACAGGGAAAGGGGAGGAGCAATAAGAAGGTTGCATGGAGACACCTTCACCATTTAGTCTGTTTCCAATCTCCCCCTAGCAAAACTTAAAGTCCTCCCTGTTTGCCAAATACAGAGATAGGGAACCAGGAGCTGAGTGATGATCCAGTCCCAGTCTCCTCACTGTTCAGAAACCCTACACGCTGCTTCCTTTTCCCTCTGACCTTCCCCCCAATCGCGTCCTACATCTCAGCTTCAGCTTCTTTACTCCCATCAGGCCTCCCCCAGGTCACTTGCTCTGACCAAACTCCATAAGCCCTGGGAATCCCACAGGTGGTGATACATGGCCCAGACTCTCCCTCTCTGTTCATCCTCTGAGCCACATACCTGAGCTTCTGTCCCCGCAGATTGCACATAGCCGTTTGCCAGCCCCAGGGCCACCTGGAGGGGGTGGACAGTGCAGGCCCCGGACCCCTAAGACTGGTGGCTTCACATCTTCAGGGGGGCCAGACCCACCCCCAGGGAGTGACACTGTTGAGTTAATCTGGGATGGGGGAAATAGGGAAGTCACAGGAAGACTTATTGGGAAGCAGAATGTCACAGAAGTGATGGAAATCATTCCCTACCACTAAGCAAGGCCCTGCAATGCACATTCCAGAGGCTGTCATTTACACTGCAGTCTATGTGAAAGGCCATCCCTGGAGCACAACCCCAAAGTGAATAAACAGGCCCCCCCTGAAATTGTGCAACACAGTGACCCTGAAGGGCAGGTGTCTTGGGAAAGCAGATGGGATCAAAAGGGCAGAAAATCAGATAGATGAAAAGGACATCAAGAATATCAGAATTAGCCGGGCGTGGTGGTAGGCACCTGTAATCCCAGCTACTCAGGAGGCTGAGGCAGGAGAATTGCTTGAACCCAGGAGGCAGAGGTTGCAGTGAGCTGAGATTGTGCCACTGCACTCCAGCCTGGGCAACAGAGCAAGACTCCATCTCAAAAAAAAAAAAAAAAAAACACACACACACACACAAAAACAAAGAATATTAGAGTTCTTTTAGGGGAGGAAGCATGCACTGAAAGATCAGTCACCTCAGGAAAGGCAAGGGGTCTCATAAAGACCACAGGCCTGACAAGGTTAGAGGATTGGAAGGTCAATGGGCCATGGGGAAGTTCACACAAGGATCTGGGGTTACAAGGAAAACAAGAAAATGAAAGTGGCCAGGCAGTAAGTTGGTCACAACCTCTCACCTGGGGGCTGCTGACAGGCCCGGAGAATCCTGGGGGAGCTGGAGGGGGCAGACCAGGGGACCCCATGGAAGAACTGATGACTGGAAAGGGAGAGCCCAGTGGGGGTGGTGGCATCGGGGGTGGGGGTGGGGCCCCAGAGCCTCCAAGGGATGGAGCTGTTGAAGGGGGTAGGGGTGGCCCAGGAGGAGAAGGGGGAGGGACTCCCTGGGGAAGGGGATTTGGGGAGGAGCTGTCTGGGCTTCGGGAGTCTGAGGGAGGGGTATGTACAGGCACACAGACACACAAGAGACAGAAGAGACAAAAAAAGAAAATGAGTCTTCAAACATCCAACTAGAGACTTTAATTCTCTAATACCCCACCGTGCCGGACCCAGCCCACTCCACCCATCCCCAAGTTCAGAGACACCCTGCTGTCAAACAACAGTGTAACTCCGGCTGGTCCGATGGTAGTGGGTTATCAGAACTTATTAACATTTGTGTCACTAAAATTGGTATACAACCTCCCACTGCTATATTTGACTGGCTAAAAAAACCCAAAAACAGCGTAACTCCTCATTGTGGTGAGAGGAGGGAGTTGACAAGGAGAGGAGGATAGTTCAGGTGAGGAAAATTTTCCAACCAATCCATTTGAATGAATACCAGGTCATCCCAAAGCCACACCTGTCTCGTGGGTGGGGCAGCACGTGGGGTAGACCATCGAGCCCCTCTATTCCCAGCGTAAAGCCAGGTAGCCAGAGCGTGCAAGGGAAAGAGACAGGCAGGAGAGACCCCTCCTAAGACGCAGGATCTGCCTGTAAACGCCCAAAGTCCTGAGGTTTAAGAGGAATCGTGCCCTTCCCAGGCCCGCGACCTCCGGTGCCCAAGGCCTCAAGCGGTCACAGCTAGGAGGGCGGAAGCTCCCCTTCCCCGCCCCGCCCCGGGGGGGAGGGTGCTAAGGCCCTCGGGAGGGAGGGGACGCGTGTTTACAAACAAGGGGGCGGGAGCGCAAGGAAAAGAGCACCGGGGGAGGGTGTGGGGGAGGGGTCGCAGATAAAGCGGTCACTGGCTCGCCTGCCCTTCTGCTGGGGCACTCACCCCGCCCGCTGTCGCCCATCCCGTCCCGTCCAGCCTCCCCTGGCTCCGGCTCCGGGGTTTGTTGTTCTCCGCCTGCCACCGCCGCCGCCGCCGCCGCTGCGGGATCCAGCCAGGGCCGTCGCCGCCGCCACCGGGACGCGACCCCACAATGCATTTCTTTTCGCACCCCCACCGGCCCACACTGCCCTGCGGCATGCCGCTGAGGGAGGAAGGGCGGGCGAGCGGCCCAAGACATGATCCCTGGCTGAGAGTAGGGATACCGAAGAGGTCCCAGGGATTCCCAAGGATTGATCGGAGGATTAGCTGAGCACGAGGAAGCCCCTGAGAGAAAGACTCTGGCCTGGATTGGGTCGAATTAAGCCCGTCGCTCTGCTCAGTACCAAAATGACAGCGCCAATGTGGCAGCCATCTTTGTACAGACGGGAAGTCTCGGCGCGAGTTCCCGCCCCCTCGTCTAGTTGGAAACCGAGGAGGCGGTCTCCTCCGGCCTGTTAGCCCGCCTCGCCCACCCTCCCCTCAAATCACCTCCACACTCGCGCATGCGTGTCAGTGCAGGATGGATTCGTCGCTACCGGAGTGCCGCCATATTGGTAAAGGCATTAGGGCGAAGGTGGAACGGAACTTCCTGTTCTCGCGGGATCTAAAGGCGGGACTGCCACGTCCAAGCAAACCGGGAAAGGAGAGGATCCCGGAGCCGGTGAGAATTCTCTGTTTTTTCTCTACCATCCTTTCCAGGCCTTTTCCTCACCTAATGAGTCGTAGAGACGAGGGCCCAGAGAGTCTGTAAAGTGGCTGGTGAAAGATTAGTGTCCCAGGGCCCTACATCCGGGAGGTGGTTCGGGATAAAGAGAACTAGTCTTGGGAACAATGTAGGTGGGAACTTAAGGGAATGGGAGAGCGGCCCATAGAGGTGGACGGAGGGCGCGATTGGAGTAAAGCGGACCCTGTGTAGGTATAGAGTTGAGTCAAGTGGAGTCACTGCCTCTGTCCCTCTGGTCAGCGTGATGGCCAGAGGCCTGGGGGCCCCCCACTGGGTGGCCGTGGGACTGCTGACCTGGGCGACCTTGGGGCTTCTGGTGGCTGGACTCGGGGGTCATGACGACCTGCACGACGATCTGCAAGAGGACTTCCATGGCCACAGCCACAGGCACTCACATGAAGATTTCCACCATGGCCACAGCCATGCCCATGGCCATGGCCACACTCACGAGAGCATCTGGCATGGACATACCCACGATCACGACCATGGACATTCACATGAGGATTTACACCATGGCCATAGCCATGGCTACTCCCATGAGAGCCTCTACCACAGAGGACATGGACATGACCATGAGCATAGCCATGGAGGCTATGGGGAGTCTGGGGCTCCAGGCATCAAGCAGGACCTGGATGCTGTCACTCTCTGGGCTTATGTGAGTCTCCAGGGGATGGGAGAGAGAAGGGCTGGTTCTGGATTGTTGGGAAACTCCACAGTACTTGACCTTGACTCTCCCTCACCAGGCACTGGGGGCCACAGTGCTGATCTCAGCAGCTCCATTTTTTGTCCTCTTCCTTATCCCCGTGGAGTCGAACTCTCCCCGGCATCGCTCTCTACTTCAGATCTTGCTCAGTTTTGCTTCCGGTGGGCTCCTGGGAGATGCTTTCCTGCACCTCATTCCTCATGCTCTTGGTAAGTAACCTCTGACTTCTACCTCAAATCTAACCTATTTCGTTCTTTGGAGGAAAAGGGTTCTTTCTCCTTTATGATCCCTGACCTTTCGATATTCCCCCAAATACACACTCATTGTGTCAGATATTCCCTCATCTGGTTTTCCCCCCTTCTTCCAGAACCTCATTCTCACCACACTCTGGAGCAACCCGGACATGGACACTCCCACAGTGGTGAGGAAGAGACAGATGGGGATGGGAGTTGGGGTGCTGGGGAAGGTCCGTCTCTCCCTATTCCTCACCTCCCGCACTTGAGGAGGAGGAGTCTGGAATGCACATCTCCCTTAATGTCTCAATGCCTCCATTCCCAGGCCAGGGCCCCATTCTGTCTGTGGGACTGTGGGTTCTCAGTGGAATTGTTGCCTTTCTTGTCGTGGAGAAATTTGTGAGACATGTGAAAGGAGGACATGGTCACAGTCATGGACATGGACACGCTCACAGTCATACACGTGGAAGTCATGGACATGGAAGACAAGGTGAGCCCAGGAACAACTTTCCTGAAAGCTGACTTGCCTGCCTCAGAATCTCCTCATCTTATGGCCCTCAGGAGGGAGAGGACATGTTGGAAGATCTGTTCTCCACTCTGACCAACTCTTTTCTTCCCTCAGAGCGTTCTACCAAGGAGAAGCAGAGCTCAGAGGAAGAAGAAAAGGAAACAAGAGGGGTTCAGAAGAGGCGAGGAGGGAGCACAGTACCCAAAGATGGGCCAGTGAGACCTCAGAACGCTGAAGAAGAAAAAAGAGGCTTAGGTAAGGGCCAGAGTTGGTGATAAATTTGGGCAAGGGACATCATCACAAATCACATGGAATATGTGCTGTGGGTAATGGCAGGTATCTGAGAAACACTAAAGGACTGGGTGTAAAGTGGTCTCTGAGGGGAGGTGTGAGAATAGCTGACCAAGACTGGAACAAGTGGTGATGGAAGC
Source organism: Homo sapiens (assembly GCF_000001405.40). Classification (NCBI taxonomy): domain Eukaryota; kingdom Metazoa; phylum Chordata; class Mammalia; order Primates; family Hominidae; genus Homo; species Homo sapiens. The sequence goes on from NT_113891.3 coordinate 4,614,382, forward strand.
CTCTGATCATTTTCTCTTCTTGTCCTGTACAAGACCTGCGTGTGTCGGGGTACCTGAATCTGGCTGCTGACTTGGCACACAACTTCACTGATGGTCTGGCCATTGGGGCTTCCTTTCGAGGGGGCCGGGGACTAGGGATCCTGACCACAATGACTGTCCTGCTACATGAAGTGCCCCACGAGGTCGGAGACTTTGCCATCTTGGTCCAGTCTGGCTGCAGCAAAAAGCAGGTTGGTGATGTCTGCCAAACACAGCTGCCTCAAACCCTTTATCTCTCCTCACTCACCCTAAACCCAAACAGCCTCTTATTAGTTCCAAACAATTCATACTGTCATTGACAAGTCCTCTAGAAATGAGGGGGAAGAAGTTCTGGTTACTTTGTCCTTTAGCTCAGTATTTCTTAAACTGGTCTATAAACCATCTGAATGGTTTAGTGGAGTCTTACACACACACGCCTACTCAATCAGAAAGTCTGTGGAAAGGACCTCTGATCTCTTAAGATTTTTCAGAAATTGTCTATTCTAGACTGCTCCCTCTTCTCTTTTTATTTTGATGTTTAGTTTCCAAATCCATGTCCCCTATACCTATACCCCACCAGCCACTTCTAAACCACTGATAATCTTTAGCTATTGGTGAGTGCCTTTTTCTCTTTTCTGCCCATCAGGCGATGCGTCTGCAACTACTGACAGCAGTAGGGGCACTGGCAGGCACAGCCTGTGCCCTTCTCACTGAAGGAGGAGCAGTGGGCAGTGAAATTGCAGGTGGTGCAGGTCCTGGCTGGGTCCTGCCATTTACTGCAGGTGGCTTTATCTACGTAGCAACAGTGTCTGTGTTGCCCGAGCTGCTGAGGGAGGCATCACCATTGCAATCACTTCTGGAGGTGCTGGGGCTGCTGGGGGGAGTTATCATGATGGTGCTGATTGCCCACCTTGAGTGAGGGGTGGATAAACTACCCCTGCCCCAAACCTCTACCCCTAACTCCAGGTCAGGGGTGCGTAGAGGTTGGGGGCCCTGGCCAGGGACATCTGCCAAAGGAAGGAACTGTAGCCTGGGAGAATGGTTACTTTGGCATTAGGGCCTTCAAGGGCTGGCAGTCTTACAGAGGCTGGAGCGGTGAGAATGAGAGGCCAGAGGGACCATAGTGTTGGGCACTGTCTGACCATGTTGCATTTGGAAGGCTAAATGGGGCCATGAAGAAGGCTGGAAGGGACAGGGGGTGATGGCAGCCTACCTGGTGTCCCCTACCCCACCTGTTCTCGGAGAACCAAGTTGCTACACAGGAAGTTCTCCAAGGTCCAGTTTCCTTTCTCCCACCAGTTGGTGGAGGCTTCAGGGAAGACCAGAGTCCTGGACAGAGAGGGTAACAGGAGGAGTCGGGGATAAACATCAAACATCAATCGTGTGTCCTGATTTGGGAGTGATTGGGGGGATGGGGTGGGAGAGGGTTAGTTGGTATTCTCATGGCCTGATTTTTTTTGTTTCTATTCCTTTTATATCACTGTGTTTGAATCGAGGGGGAGGGGTGGTAACCGGAAATAAAGACCTCCGATCTTCCGCCCCACATGCAGTCTTTGTCTTTTTGGGGGGAATGGGGCCCCTTGTCTTCTCCACACCCGGGGCCCCTAAGCAGCAGTGTCGGGCCACGCCCCCTCGGTGGGAGGTCGGCCTGCGCTGGTGGCCGCAGATGGCCTAAGGCTGGCGGGCCTTTGATTGGCCCCGGCTTTGCCCTTGCCACGCCCCTCTGCGCTGGGATTGGCTTAGTGCTGGGATTCCCACCCACCCACAGCCCGCCATGGCGTCTCAGCTCCAGAACCGACTCCGCTCCGCACTGGCCTTGGTCACAGGTTGAGGGGGTTCTTTCCCCGGGCGGTTTGGGGTATTGGAGTGAGGTCAGGGGCGTGCCCTTGGAGTGCGCGGCCGCTGTGACCTCTGGCCCCTTACCCACATTTTACTTTCTGCCCTGTGACCTCTGATCCCTGCCCTCTCCTCCCCGTGCCCGGTCCGGCGTGTTCTGTCCTACCTCAGGTGCGGGGAGCGGCATCGGCCGAGCGGTCAGTGTACGCCTGGCCGGAGAGGGGGCCACCGTAGCTGCCTGCGACCTGGACCGGGCAGCGGCACAGGAGACGGTGCGGCTGCTGGGCGGGCCAGGGAGCAAGGAGGGGCCGCCCCGAGGGAACCATGCTGCCTTCCAGGCTGACGTGTCTGAGGCCAGGGCCGCCAGGTGCCTGCTGGAACAAGTGCAGGTGAACGCCAGGCCACTTTCCCCCTCTAAAGCTCTAATATTGCCTCCACTGCCCCGGCTTTTTGTGGGGGGTTTTTGATGCGTAACCTCCCCCTCCCATAGGCCTGCTTTTCTCGCCCACCATCTGTCGTTGTGTCCTGTGCGGGCATCACCCAGGATGAGTTTCTGCTGCACATGTCTGAGGATGACTGGGACAAAGTCATAGCTGTCAACCTCAAGGTGGCGATCTCTGAACCTGCGACGTTTGGCCCCCTTAGCCTGGGGAGGGAGTTGGAGGAGGGCTGTCACCCCAGCTGATCTTTTCTCCCTTGTTACCCTTTCCCGCCAGGGCACCTTCCTAGTCACTCAGGCTGCAGCACAAGCCCTGGTGTCCAATGGTTGTCGTGGTTCCATCATCAACATCAGTAGCATCGTAGGAAAGGTCAGGTTGAGTTGGACGAGGTCAGCCAGCCAAGTGGTATAGAGAGGAGAACCCCTCCTTGAGACTCCTGACTCATTCCACATCTCTGACTCACCTATAGGTGGGGAACGTGGGGCAGACAAACTATGCAGCATCCAAGGCTGGAGTGATTGGGCTGACCCAGACCGCAGCCCGGGAGCTTGGACGGTTGGTCAGATGCTTGAGGGTGCTGGGGAGCACCTGGGGGGTCTGAGGGAGGTACCAGCATTCAGCCCTCTCCAGAATCGGCAGCCACTCTCCTTCCCACAGACATGGGATCCGCTGTAACTCTGTCCTCCCAGGGTTCATTGCAACACCCATGACACAGAAAGTGCCACAGAAAGTGGTGGACAAGGTAGGAGGCTGTGGGTGGAGGGCAGAATCATTCAGAGACTCAATCTCTCTGGGCTTCACAGAGAGAGAGAGAGAGAGAGAGAATACTGGGCACAGTTCCTGGCAAACATTAAATATTCAATGAATGTATGAGAAATGAAGACAAAAAAAGGTCACAGACTCAGTCTTCAAAAAAATCCATAAAAGAAGCTTTCACCCACATGAGTATTTCCTTACAGATTACTGAAATGATCCCGATGGGACACTTGGGGGACCCTGAGGGTGAGCACTGAATGTAGTGGGGTCCCTGGGAAGGGGGCCTGAATGAAGAGATCCCCAAAGTTTGGGGATTTTCTAGGGGACTGGTGGTTGGTGTCTGTGGAGAGGTTTGTGGGGAGGGATGTCTTTGGTGGGAGATTATGGCTGTTTTGGGTCTATGGGAGTGAGCAGAATTCTGCCCTCTCCCCACCATTCTCATAGATGTGGCAGATGTGGTCGCATTCTTGGCATCTGAAGATAGTGGATACATCACAGGGACCTCAGTGGAAGTCACTGGTATGAGGCCAGCATGGGGAGGGAGAGGGCAGAGAAGTAGAACCCAGACTATATGAGAAAGCAAGTAAGGGGAGTCTGGAGCCACTGGGAAGGGCAGAGGTTCCCAAGGCCAGGGACAGAAGTGGGTACCCCCTAGCCCATTTGTGTCTCCACCCATGCATCTGTCCAAATGTTTCTGCCCCTCCCAGGAGGTCTTTTCATGTAACTGCCTCAAGGACCCTGGACTCTGCTCACCCCCCCACCACTCTGCCTGGCCTCCTGCTGATGAGGACTCTAAGTTCCCAGGATACAAAAGGGGTGGCAGTGTATGGTTCAGGAATGCTGAATATGGGAAGCAGGGGTGCTTGTGACCCTAATAAATTCCAAGTCCTCTTCCCTGCCACCTCCGGCTCTTCTTGTGTCCAAGCCCTCAGACCCTTCCCCACCTCCCCCTCCTTTCCCTTTCCCGAAGGATTGTTCCCTTTCTCTGCCTGGTCTCCCAGGGCAACCCCCGCCGCCGGGTGTGAGAGGAAAGAGTATGTGTCACTGTGTATGCGTGACACTCCGGGTCTTTTTGGAGGGAGGGGTTCGTGCGTCACCCCTTTCCACTGGTTCTGCAGCACCAGTCCCCTCCCCCCAACTCCCTGGGTTCTTATGGTCCCCAAGGGTGATTTGTTCATGGCCCCATCTTGGTGTCCAGTCTGGCCTTGAAAGGGGGTCTTGGAACAGGTGGCCCTCCCCCACCCCTCTCCTTTCTCTGAGTCCCCCCCTCCCCTTTCTCTCCACCTTACAATAGCTGCAGCCGGCCTGGGGTCGGATGGGGGGGATTAGGGGAGGGGGCCAGGATTAGGGGAATGAACCAGCCGATGAAAGGGGCTGGAGAGAGCAGGAGGGAGGGGGCTGGGAAGAGGAGGAGGAAGGGGAGGGGGGTCTGCGCTAATCGACTCTGGCGCCCACATAAGGACTGGCCACGGACTGAAGGAGAGGACAGGGAAGTAGGGGGGAACTGGGGTGGGGGGCGAGGGCACCCACTGCTGCCTTGTCCCAGGGACAGGCCACCCCCTGGCAGCCGCAGCCCAAGTCCGGGAGCCTCAGCTCGGGCGGGGACAAGATGCCCATCAGGGTCTCTAACTGCCCCCCACCCCCTCGCCCTGTATCCCTCTCATTCCCTACACTCAATGGGGATCGCTCTGCCCCTTCCTCTTCTCTTTCCTCCCCATCCCCTTCGTTTACTCTAGAGTCCTCGAAGAGGCTTCTGCCCACTTCCCACTCCAGACATTCTGCCCCTGTGTACCCCACCCACACGCGCACCCCCCCTTCCCAATGGGAGCTCCATCTTGTGTATGTCCCTGTTTCCGCGTGGTGTCTCTATTCCCCCTTTCCTCCCGTGCGCCTCCCTCCCTTCCCCGCCCCGGGCCGCGGCTCCTGATTGTCCAAACGCAATTCTCGAGTCTATGGCTCCGGCCGAGAGTTGAGTCTGGACGTCCCGAGCCGCCGCCCCCAAACCTCGAGCGGGAGAGCGGGTCGGAGGGTCTAGGGAGAGCCAAAGCAGAGGGTGGAGGGAGTCCCCAGGGTGGTAAGGGGAATCCCGGGCACATCGGGACCTAGGTGTGTTCTCAGGACTAGAAGGCTAAAGCGGCAGATCTTTTGCAGCCTTTTCCCCCGGGATCCTGGAATGGGGGTTACGGAGAAGTGAGGGGGGTTGATCCCCAGAGTCGCCAGGGTACGCAGAGTGGGGGAGGTAGCCCTTTTCACGAGCCCTCTGTCCCCTCCTGGGGTCCCAGATATTCCAGGCCCCGGCCCCCCGGAGCTGAGGCCCCGCGTGGGGGCCTCTGGAAGGGAACCGAGGCTAAGGTTGTTGGCCGCGCGACGGTGCTGGGCCGGGGGCGGAGACCGTGGTTCCCTAAGTGGCGCAGAACTCCCGGGACGCAGGATCCTCACGCGGGACGAGCCCGTCCCGTGGGCGGGAGAACCGCGGCGTCCACGTCCCGTCCCACCCGCGCCGCGAATGGTGGGTGACGTCTCCGCCGGCGGGGGGAGCGGGTGTAGCGGAGGAGCAGGCGGAAGTGACGTAGGGCCCCAGCGCCCGGGCCATGGCGGCGGCGGTGGCGGGAGCTGCTGTCTGAGCAGCGGTTGCGGACCGAGCGAACTTGGCCCAGGAGCCCGGGCCTAGGGAGAGGCGCGGCGGCGGCGGGAGCGCGAACGGCTGGAGCTGGGTGAGGGGCAGTGCCGGCGCGGGGGCGGGAGCGGGGGCGGAGAGGGGCGCTTCTGGAGGGGCGGGGTCTACGCGAGGGGCGGCCCCCCTGACGCCCTCCTCCCCTTCCCCCCACCCCCAGCCTTCTTCGCCTTCTCCTCGGCTGTGGAGCCCTGGTGGGGGGTCTGCGCCCGGTCACCATGACGACGCCGGCGAATGCCCAGAATGCCAGCAAAACGTGGGAACTGAGTCTGTATGAGCTGCACCGGACCCCGCAGGTGACAGGCATTCTCCCTTTCAGGCTTACCCCCTCCCCCAAACCCTTATATCCACAGACCGCATCACACAGCTTCTTTTCCGTAATTTGCTCTATTCTGCCTTGCCTGGCCCTACCTTTGAATCACCTTAATCTTTCCAAAGCACTTTCGCATTTAGCTCATTTAATCCTCAAAACAGCCCTGCCAGAGAGGTGGAACAAGTATTATTATCTTCATTTGAAAGATCACAAACACAAAAATTACCTTCCCTGTTCCTCATTCAGTGTCATAAGTCAGTGCATATAAGACTCACTTTGGGAGTTTATTAAAAGCAGAGCTTCATGCCCCCCAACATTCTGATTCAGTAGTGAATTGGGTTCTCAGAATCTGAATTTTTAACAGGCACCCTATGGGGTTCTAATACAGGTAGCACCAGGACTTTAAAAAATTTTGTTGAATAGTTTTTCCCAACCACAGATTTGTGCCATCTTCACTCCTAGGCCACTTAGCCACCTCAGATCCTCCTATTCCAAAGCTCCTACTCTTAGTTAATGGACACTAAAGTCTGTCTTTTCTCCATTTGCTCCAAGTCATCAGTCCTTCTCTTTCTCAGAATTCTTGTCTCCTATAGAGACCAACATGGGTCTTCTCACTGTATTTCTCAAAATTCTTATTTTATGGGCTGCTGTTTCTAAAACCCCTTTCCCTCTAACCCACACCACCTTTCTACTCACTGATGCCTTCAGGAAGCCATAATGGATGGCACAGAGATTGCTGTTTCCCCTCGGTCACTGCATTCAGAACTCATGTGCCCTATCTGCCTGGACATGCTGAAGAATACGATGACCACCAAGGAGTGCCTCCACAGATTCTGCTCTGACTGCATTGTCACAGCCCTACGGAGCGGGTAATAGGAGAGACATGTTTGAGATGAGATGAAGGGGTACAAAGTTAGGGCCCTCTCACTGGTCTTGGTTCAGCCTAGGCTTCAGTTCCCTTGACTGACCACTCAGGGCTTCCCTTCTCCTACCCCAGGAACAAGGAGTGTCCTACCTGCCGAAAGAAGCTGGTGTCCAAGCGATCCCTACGGCCAGACCCCAACTTTGATGCCCTGATCTCTAAGATCTATCCTAGCCGGGAGGAATACGAGGCCCATCAAGACCGAGTGCTTATCCGCCTGAGCCGCCTGCACAACCAGCAGGCATTGAGCTCCAGCATTGAGGAGGGGCTACGCATGCAGGCCATGCACAGGTGTGAGGGTCAGGAGAGAAGCAGAACTGATGGGATGGGTCCGTGGGTCAGTCCTTGTTGCCTGCTAGCTTCTAAGCCTCAGCATCCTAGGAGCTGACCACATACTGATCATTAGGGCTGGAAATCATGGGTGTAAATTGCAGTTTCTTAGTAAACAACTGGCCCTGCTCTTCTTAAGAAAAATATAGGGCTGGGCACAGTGACTCACATCTGTAATCCCAGCACTTTGGGAGGTGAGGATGGGAGGATCACTTGAGCCCAGGAGTTTGAGACCACCTTGAATAACATAGGGAAATCTCATCTCTACAACAAATTAAACATTTAGCTGGGCATGGTGGCACATGCCTGTAGTCCTACCTTCTTGGGAGGCTGAGGTAATAGGATCACTTGAGCCTGGGAAGAAAGTGGATGTTGCAGTGAACCATGATCACACCACTGCACACTGCACTCCAGCCTGCTGGGCGACAGAACAAGGCCCTGTCACAAAAAAAAAAAAAGGAAAAATGTAGTTTACCCCATGACTTTCTAGAAGTTAGAACAGTAGAGCGATTTTGAGAATAAGCCCCGGATTCATACTGCTGGAAGTTAAATCACCTCCTAGGCCAGCATCTCTCAGTCTTTCATGTGTATCCAGATTACCTGTAGATCTTCAGATGCAAACTGTGATTCAGTAGGTCTAGAGTTGGGCCCGAGAGTCTGCATTTCACAAGCTCACAGGGGATGTGTATGCTGCTACCGCACTTTGAGAGGTGACAGCCTATGATCACTAACAAGTTACTTAACCTCTCTAAGCCTCAGTTTCCTCAGCCATAAAATAGAGGTAATATAATTACCTGTGTCATAGGATTCATTGTATTAGGTAAGGGGATTGGTGCAAAACACTTAGTATACTGAGTGCTTAGCACATTGTGTTTAATAAATATTAGGTATCGTCATTAGGATTTTTCTTATCTCTTAATTCTCTGAAGTTTAAAGTCTAAGCCCTTTATCCTGGATGCCTTCTAACCTTAACCACTTGCTTCTACAGGGCCCAGCGTGTGAGGCGGCCGATACCAGGGTCAGATCAGACCACAACGATGAGTGGGGGGGAAGGAGAGCCCGGGGAGGGAGAAGGGGATGGAGAAGATGTGAGCTCAGACTCCGCCCCTGACTCTGCCCCAGGCCCTGCTCCCAAGCGACCCCGTGGAGGGGGCGCAGGGGGGAGCAGTGTAGGGACAGGGGGAGGCGGCACTGGTGGGGTGGGTGGGGGTGCCGGTTCGGAAGACTCTGGTGACCGGGGAGGGACTCTGGGAGGGGGAACGCTGGGCCCCCCAAGCCCTCCTGGGGCCCCCAGCCCCCCAGAGCCAGGTGGAGAAATTGAGCTCGTGTTCCGGCCCCACCCCCTGCTCGTGGAGAAGGGAGAATACTGCCAGACGAGGTGAGGAGCCCTGTCTTTCCCCAGCCACTGAGAAACCAAAGATCACCTAGATTTCCATCAGAAGTGGGCTTTGCCCAAACCCAAAATACCACCCCAACCCAGAATCCATTTTGGAAAGCCCCTACCTCCAGTCCTCATCTGAGGCGCTCTGGCTCTAAGCCTGTCCTCCCTCCCATTCCAGGTATGTGAAGACAACTGGGAATGCCACAGTGGACCACCTCTCCAAGTACTTGGCCCTGCGCATTGCCCTCGAGCGGAGGCAACAGCAGGAAGCAGGGGAGCCAGGAGGGCCTGGAGGGGGCGCCTCTGACACCGGAGGACCTGATGGGTGTGGCGGGGAGGGTGGGGGTGCCGGAGGAGGTGACGGTCCTGAGGAGCCTGCTTTGCCCAGCCTGGAGGGCGTCAGTGAAAAGCAGTACACCATCTACATCGCACCTGGAGGCGGGGCGTTCACGGTGAGAGCTTCTGAGGGCAGTGGTAGAAGAGGGGAGAGGAGGGAGGGTGGTCTGGGCCACATAGAACCATGAGCCTGGTCTAACTCATCAGCACTCTTCCCCTATACATCCTCTATCTCTTTCTATGTCCCCTCTCCTTTCCCATCATCCATGTCCTTTTTTGCCTTATCGCTTTTATTATTCCTTTTTTCTTTCCTCCTCCCTTGGTCACCTTTTGCCTCTCATTCATTTCCTTTTCCATCTTCTCCAACTTTCCTCTCTCTTTTCCCCTCTCTCCCTTTTACCCCCTCCTCAGACGTTGAATGGCTCGCTGACCCTGGAGCTGGTGAATGAGAAATTCTGGAAGGTGTCCCGGCCACTGGAGCTGTGCTATGCTCCCACCAAGGATCCAAAGTGACCCCACCAGGGGACAGCCAGAGGAAGGGGACCATGGGGTATCCCTGTGTCCTGGTCTATCACCCCAGCTTCTTTGTCCCCCAGTACCCCCAGCCCAGCCAGCCAATAAGAGGACACAAATGAGGACACGTGGCTTTTATACAAAGTATCTATATGAGATTCTTCTATATTGTACAGAGTGGGGCAAAACACGCCCCCATCTGCTGCCTTTTCTATTGCCCTGCAACGTCCCATCTATACGAGGTGTTGGAGAAGGTGAAGAACCCTCCCATTCACGCCCGCCTACCAACAACAAACGTGCTTTTTTCCTCTTTGAAACCTGCAGTTCTGTGTGTCTGTTTATCAGGGGTGTACAAGAAAAAGAAAGGAAAATAGATTGGGGAGGGAGGCCTAGAAATAATGTAAAATCAGCCTTGGAAATGGGGAGAAAATGTCGGGTTATTCGAGATATGTCGTCGGAAACTCCAAATTAGCAAATATGTATGAAAATAGGAACCATCTATGAAGCTGGAAGAGAGGATAAAAAACAGAGGTGCCAAGTTAGACCCCAAACTTTCCCCCCTAAAACCTGAGTCGCCCAGGCTGAAATCCAGGGTTTCAACACCAAAGGGAAAGCAGGAAAATGGCTCAAAAGAGAAAGGGATGTGTGTAGATGTGGGAATGACCGTGATGTTTGGAAGTCACTGCGAGCAGCCGGTTTCTATAGCTGGAAAGAGGGAGGGAGGTGGAGAGGACTGCGGAGAAGCTCCCTGTTCGACATCCCAGTCCCCGGGCCACCTCCCAAAAAAGGGCAGGCTGGGCTGCAGACTCGGAGTGTGAGTGCACAGCCTTTGCCCGCCGGGCAGCGGGGCTGAGCGGAGGGAGGGTCGCCTGGGAACACTAGTTCTGTGCTCGTCCAGGCAGCGGCTGAGAGCAGAGGAGTGGGGGCATCAAGGAAAGCCGCGGCTGCCTTACTGGCCTCGAGTTCCGCGAGCGGGGCTGGGCACCAAGCCTGAGGCTGGGGGGACAGGGGCGCACGACTGCACTCCCGGTCCGGGGCAGTGCAGGTATTCGGGGAAGAGGAATCGCCTCTCCAGAACCGACTGCTGTTCCTTCCACCACCCGTAACCTCTCTGCCCCTCACTTCCTGTTTCCTCTGCTCTGGGTACCCCCAGCCCCTCTGGCCCCAAATTCCTCCCCCATGCTCAGTTCTCTGTCTCACTGGCAGAGGAGCCGGCCGTGTTTCCCCCTAAAGCCCGCTTGGCCCTCCCAGTTCCGCAGCTGCGCGGCCCGCCCGCCGATCCCATGGCTCCCTTCTCCACCCTTGGGATTTCTCGTTTGTTCGCCTCCTCTCCGGTACCCTCAATCCCGTAGATGCAGGTGGGCATCCTCCAGCCCCAGCAAGTACTGCGGACCAGTTGGGCTGGCTGGCCCCTTTCCTGCAGAAGCAGACAACACCCACTTCTACCCTCGTAGGAGCCCCTTTCTACACTCACTTCCCTGGAACCCGTGATCCTGACTCCCCTCCTCCCGGACCCCAAGCATCCAGGACGTGTACGGTATAAGGGGAAGTTGTAGTGGGAGGCAGGTGGGCGTTGTTCCTGGAGTTTCAGGGTAGAGAAGCAGGTGGGGAGGAGTTGGGTGAGATACAGAGGTGGAAGCCAAAAGTCTGGAGTTAACCTGACTTCTCTTCTGGCTCCAGGGGCTGCCGGGATCGTCTGTCCTCACCCTCCTTGTCCTCCCCAGCCCTAACCACCCGGCAGCCTCTTCTCTGTCTCTGCTGCCCGTCCTGCCTTCACTCTGAAACAGCCTGCCCCCTCCCGGGTCCCCAGTCCTCACCTTCGCCCCACACGCCCCCCTCTCTATTTATCACATTTCCTTTCGTGTCCCCCTAACCCCATCGCTTGGTGCGAGTGCTCTCTTGCCCTCCTCTCCCCATGACTGAACCTCACAGACATGGCTGTTTATTTAGGTGACACCATGTGGGAGACACAGAGGAACCCATTTCCATCCTGGCTCCACTGGGGCATTTCCTTTCCAAGTCCTTCAGTCCCTCCCAACCAAGCCTATGTTACTGGGTCAGGCAAGGTGAGAGATATAAAGTATGCAAAAGAAAACGTTACTATTTTGTTGAGGAACAAGATACATGTGGAATAGTTGACAATGCAGAGGAACAGGGTAGAGGAAGGAGGGTTGATACAGTATTAGAGTCAGACAAACGTGGGTTCAAATCGGCTCTGCCACTTACAAACTGAGCCACCTTGCACAAGGCACTGGGTCTTCCCTCTGTTTCTTCACCTGCAAAATGGGGGAGAGTAACAGGTTGCCCTGAGAATTGAGAGATAATACAAGTAAAGTTACACGCCTAACAGATCAGTGGCTCTCCCAGTGTGGATCCCAGACTAGCAGCATCAGCATCGCCTGGGAACTTGTTAGAAATGCAAATTCTTGGGCCCCACCCCAGATCTGCTGTTTAAGAAACTGGAGATGGGGCCAGCAATTGCATTTTCCCAAGCCCCCAAGTGCTTCTGATGTTCACACAAGGCTGAGGACACTGAAGAAGATGCCCCACAAAATGTTACGGCCTTGCCTTATACTATAAAGAATGGCAAAGGGCCCGTGTAGGGGTGCTCTGTGACTCCCAAGCAGGAGGATCACTGCAGGCCAGTAGGGAGGTGAGGAGCGGCCTCACAGAGGAGGTGGGACTGGGCTGGGGAAGGAAACAGAGAAGCCTTTCTGCAGTGGGTGAGGGAGATGGGGGGAAGCTCCCTCTCCCTTACCCTACCTACCACCCAGCACGATTTTACCTCTCAGGCTTCTCAGTCTCCAAAGCAGAGCAGACCATGTATCTGAACGCGGAAGCTGAGCTCTGGAGCCCAGAGCCTCAGGGCCCTGAGGGAAGGTTCCCCCAGGAGACCCCTGCCCAGGCAAGGCCTAACTCTGAGGGCCCTGTCCTTGCCTGGCAGCCCTCAACACCCTGGGAAGCTGCTCACAGGAGGCTGTGCTCTGGGCTTCTCCACCTTCACAGTCCACCTCAGCGAGGAGGGAGGTGCCGCTGAAACCGCCAACCACTTCTTCAGTTGGGTGTGGGGCTTAGCCTCTCCTCTCCCACCTCTGTCTCCTCTGCTTCCTCCTCCCCCATGCTGCTCTCACCTCTCTCCCCTCTCCCTGCAGGCTGGGAGCAAAGGGAGAGGAGGAGGAGAAGAGAGGACAGACCCAGCCCTCTACCTACTATGGCACTCCTTTACCTGCCAGCTGTCACAACCAACCCTTCCCCAACTCCCCTACCCGGGACCCCCATCTCCACCCACAAATCCACTCAAATTTCCTGCCTGGAATGTGGAGTCTCTTCCCACTGCTCTCACCTCTCTCAGCACAGCCTGGGCAAGGGGCCCTTCTCCTCCCCCTAATATAGGAAGTACTTCAGCCAAGGGGCCCACCTGACCCTGTGCGAACACTTTCACACAGGTGATAGGCCCTACTCCTGCAGAAAGTGTGGCCACAGCTCTTGCCACAGCTCACACCTGGCCCAGCACTGCGGCACACACCTGCCTGAACCCAATCACTGCCACCAGCGTGGCAAGGGCCTCTCCCCAAGGCTCCAGCCCGTTGCAGCCTGCCACTCTACACACAGGCAAGCAGCCTTACGTCTGTGCCACCTAAGCCTTCTTGTGGTAGATGAGGGTGCTGGCCCCCACTCCAACCTGCAACACCAGCAGCAGAACCATACCTGGGGGCGTCCCCATCACAGTGACCAGTGAGGCAAGGGCTATGGACATTGCTCAGGGCTGGTGCAGCACCAGCAAGTCTGCAGAAGCAAAGGCTGCAGGCATGGTTTCTGATACAGCCCCAGGCTGGTGCAGCATCACCAGGGCCACATCAGGGACAGGCTCTACTGCTTGCCTCTGTGGCTGTGGTTTCACTTGGAACACCCACCTGCCATGACACCAGGCCTCATATGTGGAGAGGAATGAGATGAACACAGTGGGGAGGCAGGGAATCAGAGCCCCTGTGGCTGCATCACCGCCCCCAATCTGCAGCGCTCTATGAGGGTGGCAGGGCAGCCTCAGAGACAGACTTCCTCCACCTGTGGGAGGCATAACAGAGCAGAGATCCACCCACTCCCAGCCAGGGTGACCTTCAGAGCAACCATAAGGGGTAGCTCGAGTGTCTCGCCTGAACCCACTCAAAGCTGGAATGGCCAGGTCCACTTCACTCTAGACCAAAGTGCCAAGTCCTAAGGGAGCTCCCAAGCCAGGAACTTTTCTCTGGAGAAGAATCCATACTTCTCAGGGTCTTAAAAAATTTTGTTTTTTATATAAATAAGAGGTCCTGGGGCACTTTTCCATCTCCTGTCCTCCATCGGAGAAATTTCACTAGGCTGTCTCAGACGTGCTGTTGTCGTGGATGGATTAGACTCCTTGGGACTTTCTTGAAGGGTCATTTTAAAGTGATAGCTTAGGCTGGGCATGATGGCTCATGGCTGTAATTCCAACACTGTGGGAAGCCAAGGTAGGTGGATTACTTGAGGCCAGGAGTTCAAGACCAGCCTGACCAAACCTGGCAAAACCCTGGCTATACAAAAAACACAAAAATTAGCAAGGCGTGGTGGCCCATGCCTGTAATCCCAGCTACTCAGGAGGTTAAGGCATGAGAATCACTTGAACCTGGGAGGCGGAGTTTGCAGTGGCCGAGATCACGCCACTGCACTCCAGCCTGGGCGACAGAGTGAACCTCTATCTCAAAACAGAACAAACAAAGAAAAAAATGCCCTTAAGAGTTCTTTTATAAAAATAAAAACAGAAAAAAAATAGATAACTTAATTTCCAGAGATCTCCAGGACAACCCCCTACCATCAAATCCTAGTCCCCCAACTAATCCCACCCAACCCCCAGAGGCTACTGGGTTCTTCCTGCCTCAGGTGTTCACACTACACCCGGCGCCCCTATTTGATGAGCCATCTTCCTGTGCCTACTCCTTGCTTCACCAGGTCCTGTTCTTACGAGTTTACTGTTACTCTTCATGTTATAGGGTAAGTGAGACCTTATTCTTGTATTAACTTGCCCCAGAGTATACTCTTTGGAACTCGGCAATATTTCTCCCTATGATGTACCAAGGAGGTTGATTACTGACACATGCTAGAAGAAATTAAATACGCTTAGTGGTCAAAGGATTACTTGAGAGACTGCTAATCATTTCCACCCTTTCGGGAAATGTGTATTGAGTCTACCATGTGTCAGGAGTTGTTCTGGGACCTGGGTATCATAGTCATGTGGCATAGCCCCTGCCTTCGAAGGATTTGATGTAGGGGCGGTTTAGAATGAGCATCTCAATATTGAATCCAGCACCTAGTCCTATCCATTTTATCTGCTCTAATATATCTCAAGTCTGTCCACTCGTTTTCATCCCTCCACATCCCTGGGCTAGCCACCATGTGGACCATGTGGCCTTCTCTGAGTCATTGCAGTAGCTGAAGAGGCTGGGAATGGCCTTCTCTACAGTATGACACACACCTAAGAGGGATCCTTTAAAAATGCAAATCTGATTGTTTCAGTCAGCCTCCTTAAACCTATTCAGTGGTTTTCCATTGATCTTAGGTTAAAGACCCAAGTCCTTAACCTGACCTCTAAGGCCCTGCAAGGGGTGGCCCCTCCTCTCCAGCCTCATCTCCCACCACACCCCCTCACTCGTGTGCTCCAGTTGCTGTCCACCTTGTGCTTCCTCCTGCACAGAGTCTCCAGGGAGGCTGGACCCTCTGTGGAAAGGCTCCTTCCTCTGTTCCTCTCCTCTTAGCTCCTCTTCATTCTTCAGGCCTCACCTTCTCAATAGCCTCAGGGAAGCCTTCCTGACCTTCTTTTCAGGGTCAAATTCTCCTGTTATGAGCGCTCACACTAAGGTGTACCTTTCCTCAGAGGCACTTGGCCCTGTTGGAGTTCTACATTTGTTGATGATTATGTACAGACTGATGTCTGTCTGCCCCATTGAATGTAAGCTCCCTGAGGGCAGGGACTATGACTGCAGATGCTCACTCTTGCCACTCCCTGGACCTAACACTGGATACTTTATAAATAGTGGTTGAATAGATGCATTCATGGCAGGATCTGGGCAGGAGGCTAGATATTTCAGGATTTCAGAGGTGATGAATTAAGGCCATGATTCTCCCTCCTGTAGCTGCAGCCCAAGAATCCCATGTGCTATTACCTAACACTGTTACTTCCTCCTTAATTCCTGGCATCATTCAGGTCCACAGCCCTGCCTTCATCCCAGGCTTCCTCCATCTTGCCTGTGAGACCCTCTCCCTCTTTAACTTTTTAGTTCCCCTTTCTGGTTTTGCCTCATTGACTTCAGAAGCCAGCATGGAATAATGTCGCAAGACCCAGGATCCAGAACTGGAGGCCAGGTGCAGTGGCTCACTGCTAAAATCCCAGAATTTTGGGAGGCCAAGGCAAGAGGATTGCTTGAGCTCAGAAGTTCAAGACCAGCCTGGGCAACATAGTGAGACTTCGTCTCTACAAAATATTTTTTCAACTTTTATTTTAAGTTCCGGAGTACAAGTGCAGGATGTGCAGGTTTGTTACATAGGTGAACATGTGCTATGATGGTTTGCTGCACCTGTCAACCCATCACCTAGGTATTAAACCCGGTATCCATTAGCTATTCTTCCTGATGCTCTCCCTCCTGCCACTTCCCCTTCTGACAGACTTCAGTGGGTTATTGTTCCCCCCACCCACATGTGTCCAGGTGTTTTCATCGTTCAGCTCCCACTTATAAGTGAGAACATGTGGTGTTTGGTTTTCTGTTCCTGTGTTAGTTTGCTGAAGATAGTGGCTTCCAGTTCCATCCACATCCCTGTAAAGGACATGATCTCATTCCCTTTTATGGCTGCATAGTATTCCATGGTGTACGCATACTACATTTTCTTTTTTCTTTTTTTTAAGGTGGTGTCTTGCTCTGTCACCCAGGCTGGAGAGCAGTGGCACAATCTCGGCTCACTGCAACCTCTGCCTCCTGGGTTCAAGCGATTCTTCTGCCTCAGCCTCCCAAGTAGCTGGGACTATAGGCGAGTGCCACCACACCCTGTTAATTTTTGTATTTTTAGTAGAGACAGGATTTCACCATGTTGGCCAGGCTGGTCGTGAACTTCTGACCTTGTGATCTGCCCACCTCGGCCTCCCAAAGTTCTGGGATTACAGGTATGAGTCATCGTGCCCGGCATTTTTTTTTTTTTTTTTTTTTTTTTTTTGAGATAGAGTCTCACTCTGTCACCCAGGCTGGAGCGCATTGGCACAATCTCAGCTCACTGCAACCTCTGCCTCCCGGGTTCAAGAAATTCTCCTGCCTCAGCCTCCTGAGTAGCTAGGATTACAGGCATTTGCCACCACACCTGGCTAATTTTTTTGTATTTTTAGTAGAGACAGGGTTTCACTATGTCGGTCAGGCTGGTCTCGAACTCCTGATCCACCTGCCTCAGGCTTCCTAAGTGCTGGGATTACAAGTGTGAGCCACCACGCCTGGCTGCATACTACATTTTCTTTATCTAGTCTTTCATTGATAGGCATTTGGGTTGACGCCATGTCTTTGCTATTGTGAATAGTGCTGTAGTGAACTACAAAATATTTAAAAATTAGCCAGGTGTGGTGGCTTGTGCCTGTAGTCCCAGCTACTTGGGAGGCTAAGGTGGTAAGGTTCGTTGAACCTGGGAGTTTGAGGCTGTAGTGCTCTATGATTGAGGCTGTGAATAACCACTGTATAGTGAGAACCTGTCTATTTCTTTTTTAATCTTTTTAATCTAGCTAACTAGGAATAGAAAGTAACTTCCAAAGTCAAGACAAGGATACCAGTTTTTACTGTTTCTATTCACCTTTCTGCCAAGAAGTCTGAAGTGACACAAGAAGAAAAAGAAGAAATAAAGCCATCACTATACATAGACAATTACTATACATAGATTGCTTACTATACAAAGAAAATTCACAAGAACCTACCAACTATTAGAAATAACAATTTCCTTGCCGGGGGCAAGGAGAATACACAAACATCAATATCCTTACACCACAGCAATAAACAGATAAAAGATTTCATTTTAGGCCAGGCATCGTGGCTCACGCCTGTAATCCCAGCTCTTCCGGAGGCCAAGGCAGGCGGATCATGAGGTCAGCAGATCGAGACCGTCCTGGCTAATACAGTGAAACCCCGTCTCTACTAAAAATACAAAAAATTAGCTGGGCGAGTTGGCAGGCACCTGTAGTCCCAGCAACTGGGGAGGTTGAGGAAGGAGAATGGCGTGAACTCAGTAGGCGGAGCTTGCAGTGAGCCGAGATTGCGCCACTGCACTCCAGCCTGGGCGACAGAGCGAGACTCCGTCTCAAAAAAAAAAAAAAAGAAAAGAAAATACCATTTGTCATAACAAAAATCATAAGATACTTAGGAATAAATATAACAAAGTCTGTGTATGATATTTATGGAGAAAATTATAAAGTTTTATTAGAGAACATAAAGAAGATATAAAAGAATAGGAAGAGATCCCCTACTCACAAAGACGGAAGTTTGATATAAAGCTGATAATTTTTCTCAAATCTAAAAATTCAGTACAATTCTAAGCAAAACTCCAATCAGATATTTTATGGAACTTGACAGACTGTTCTTAAAATTCTTTTTTTTTTTGAGACGGAGTCTCACTCTGTTACCGAGGCTGGAATGCAATGGCGCGATCTCGGCTCACTGCAAGCTCCACCTCCCAGGTTCAAGTGATTCTCCTGGCTCAGCCTCCTGAGTAGCTGGGACTACAGGTGCGCACCACCACGCCCGGCTAATTTTTTTGTATTTTTAGTACAGACGGGGTTTCACCATGTTGGTCAGGCTGGTCTTGAATTCCTGACCTCGTGATCTGCCCGCCTCGGCCTCCTCAAGTGCTGGGATTATAGGCATGAGCCACCACACCCGGCCTTAAAATTCTTATGGAAGAGTAAATGGCCAAGAAAAAACAAAACTTGAAGCAGAAGAATATGAGATCCCTTGCCTAACCATATGTCACAAGTTTACTGGTTGAAACTTAGAGTGATTAAAACAGTCTAGTCCTGGTATATGCACACATAAATAGACCACAGTACAGAACAAAACTTTTTTGAATCAGATCCTAATAGGGTTTGGATCTGTGTCCCTCCCTCTCCAAATCTCATGTCGAATTGTAATCCCCTTTGTTGGAGATGGGGTCTGGTGGGAGGTGATTGGATCATGGAAATGGATTTCCCACTGGGTGCAGTTCTCATGATAGTAAGTTATCATGAGACCCGGTTGTTTAAAAGTGTGTGGAGGCCAGGTGCAGTGGCTCTTGCCTATAATCCCAGCACTTTGGGAGGCTGAGGCAGGAGGATCACTTGAGCTCAGGAGGTCAAGACCAGCCTGGACAACATGCTGAGACATCATCTCTACAAAAATACAAAAATAGTAGCCGAGCATGGTGATGCATGCCTGTGGTCCCAGCTACTCAGGAGGCTGAGGTGGGAGGATCGCTTGAGCCCAGAGGGTGGAGGTTACAGTGAACTGAGATTGTGCCACTGCATTCCAGCCTGGGTAACAGAGCAAGACTCTGTCTCAAAAAAAAAAAAAAAAAAAGCGTGTGGCACCTCTTCCCTCTCTTCCTCCTGCTCCAGCCACGTAAGACATGCCTGCTTCCCTTTCACCTTCCACCATGATTGTAAGTTTCCTGAGGCCTCCCCAGCCATGCTTCCTATACAGCCTGTGGAACTATGAGCCAATTAAACTTTATAAATTACCTGATTTCAGGTATTTATCTATAGCAGTGCAAGAATGGACTAATACAGACCCTCAAAGATATGAGACTTGGCTATAATGGAAGTGACATAAATCAGTGGGAAAGTTCAATGGTTTTGAGTTAACTGGCTATCCAAACAAACACACAAAAAATAAATTCTACATTACATCCTACCCAGAAGTAAATTTCAGGTAGCTAGAGTAAAAAGCAAAACTGAAAACTATTCAAAGAAAATATAAGATCACATATTGATGATATCAGAATAGAGAAGGATTTCTTATACAAAATTTTAAAAGTACAAAAGTACAAGCAGTTAACAAAATGAAGAACACTATATGATTATATCAATAGATGGGGGAAAGGCGTTTGACAAAATTTAACATCCTTTCATGATACAAATTCTTAGCAAATTAGGTATAGAAAAAGTGTATCTCAACACAATAAAGCCCATATATGACAAACCCACAGCTAACATCATACATAATCATGAAAAGTTAAAAGATTTTCCTCTAAGATCAGGAACAAGACAAGGATAACCATTCTCACCATTTCTATTCAATATAGTACTAGAAGTTCTAGTCAGAACAGATAGGCAAGAGAAAGAAATACAAGACATCCAAATTGGTCAATGTTGACCAGGTTGGCCTCGAACTCATAGCCTCGCCTCCCTGTGCACCAGGACAGCTGGCTTGAGCCACTGATGCTCCCTAGGCATCCAAATTGGAAAGAAAGAAGTTAAATTGTCACTTTGTAGATGACATGATCTTATATAGAGAAATCCCTAAAGATACCACCAAAAAAACTATTAGAACTAATAAATTCAGTAAAGTTGCAGGATACAAAATCAATATTCAAAAGTCAGTAGCATTACTGTATACTAATAATGCACCAACCAAAAAAGAAATCAAGAAAGCAATCACATTTATAATAGCATCAAAAATATATACTTAGGAATAAATTTAATCAAAGAGGTGAGAAATCTGTACACTGAAAACCATAAAGCATTGAAGAAAGAAATTAAAGACACAAATAAATGGAAAGATATTCCATGTTAATGGATTGGAAAGATTAATATTGTTAAAATGTCCACACTACCCCAAACTGTAGATTCCATCCAACCTCTATCAAAATTCCAATGACATTTTCACAGAAATAGAAAAAAAATCCTAAGATTCATATGGAACCACAAAAGACAAGGACCAAAATGGCCAAAGCAATCTTGAACAAAAGGAACAAAGCTAGAGCCATCACACTACCTAATTTCAGAAGCTGCCACAAAGCTATAGTAATAAAAACAGCATGGTTCTGGAACAAAAACAGACATATAAGACCAGAATAGAGGCCAAAAATAAATCCACACATTTTATGGCCAACTGATCCTTTACAAATATGCCAAGAACATACAATGGGGAAAGGACAGTCTCCTCAATAAACAGTCCTGGGGAAACTGGATATCCACATGTAGAAGAATAAAATTTGACCATATCTCACCTCATATACAAAAATCAACTCAGGCCAGGCATAGTGGCTCACATCTGTAATCCCAGCACTTTGGGAGGCTAAGGCCAATGGGTTACTTGAGGCCAGGAGTTCGAAACCAGCCTGGCCAACATGGTGAAACCTACCAAAAACACAAAAATTAGCCAGGGGTGGTGGCACACACCTATAGTCCCAGCTACTCAGGAGGCTAAGGCACAAGAATTACTTGAATCTGGGAGGCAGAGGTTGCCAAGACCACACCACTGCACTCCAGCCTGAAGAACAGAGAGAGACTGCCTCCAAAAAAAAAAAAAAAAAAAAAAAAACTACTCAAAATGAATTAAAGACTTAAACATAAGATCTGAAATGGCGGGGTGCGGTGGCTCACACCTATAATCCCAGCACTTTGGGAGGCCAAGGCAGGTGGATCATAAGATCAAGAGATTGAGACCATCCTGGCCAACATGGTGAAGCCCCATCTCTACTAAAAATACAAAAATCAGCTGGGTGTGGTGGTGCACACCTGTAGTCCCAGCCACTCAGGAGGCTGAGGCAGGAGAATTGCTTTTCTCCTATATTTTCTTCTAGTATTTTTACAATTTCAGATCTTTTTTTTGAGATGGAGTCTCGCTCTGTTGCTGGGCTGGAGTGCAGTGGCATGATCTTGGCTTCTTGACATTGGTCTGGGCAATAATTTTTTTGGACAAATGAGATTGCATCAAATGAAAGCTTCTGAACAGCAAAGGAAACAATCAACAGACAACCTACGGAAAGGGACAAAATATTTGTAAACTATACATCTGATAAGGGGTGAATATTTTTATAAGAAACTTAATAGCAAGAGTTGTTGAAAACCAAAAATCTGATTTTTTTTCTTTAAGTTGGGGTCTCACCCTGTTGCTCAGGCTGGAATACAGTGCCGCAATAATAACTCACTGCAGCCTTCAACTCCCAGGCTCAAGCAATCCTCCCACCTCAGCTTCCCAAGTAGCTGGGACCACAGGCACACCCCACCGTGCCCTGCTAATTTTTAAAATTTTTTTGTAGAGACAGGGTTTCCCTATGTTGCCCAGATTTATCTTGAACTCCTAGGCTCAAGTGATCCTCCTGCCTTGGCCTCCCAAAGTGCTGGAATTACAAACATAAGCCACTGCATCCAGCCAAAAATCTGATTTTACAATGGGCAAATGATCTGAAAAAACATTTCTCAAAAGAAGACACATAAATGGCCAACAGGTATATGAAAAACAAATGCTCAATATTACTAATTATCAAGGAAATGAACATTTAAACCACAGTGAGATATCACCTCATACCTGCTAAGATGGCTCTGATAAAAAAAATAAAAATAAACCAAGAGATTACAAGTGGTGGCAAGGATGTGGAGAAAAAGGAACCCTCACAAACTGTTGGTAGGAATGTAAATTTGTACACCTATTTTGGAAAACAGAATGGAGCTTCCTCAAAACATTAAAACTACCATGTGATCCAGTAGTTCCATTATCAGGTATATTTCGAAAGAAATGAACTCAGTATGTTGAAGAGATATCTGTATTCCCAAGTTCACTGCACCATTATTCACAATAGCCAAGACATGGAAACAACCTAAGTGTCCATCAATGAATAAATAGAGAGATTATGGAACATATACACAATGGAATACTATTCAGTCTTTAAAAAGAAGGAAATTCTGTCATCTGTGACAACATGGATAAAACTAGAGGATATTATGCTAAATGAAATAAACCAGGCACAGAAAGACAAATACCATGATTTCATTTACATGTGGAACCTAAAGAGTCAAACTCAGCCAGGCATGGTGGCACGTGCCTGTAGTCCCAACTACTCGGGAGGCTGAGGCAGGAGGATCTCTTGAATCCAAGAGTTTGAGGCTGCAGTGAGCTGTGATCAGACCTCTGGACTCCAACCCAGACAACAGAGTGAGACCCTGTCTCAAAATAAATTTAAAAAAATAAATAAATAAAATAAAATTGCAGAAGCAGAGAATAGAATGGTGGCTGCACAGGGGCTAGGGGGCGGGGGGCGGGTGTGGGCAGGGATTGGAGAGCTTTAGTCAAAGGATACAAAATTTCAGTTAGGTAGAATAAATTCAGGAGATCTATTGTATAACATGATGACTAGAGTTAATAACAATGTATTGTATACTTGAAAATTGCTGGCCAGCTGCAGTGGCTTATGTCTGTAAACCCAGCACTTTGGGAGGCTGAGGTGGGTGGATCGCTTGAGACCAGTTCGACACCAGCTTGGGCAACATGGTGAGACCCCATCTCTAAAAAAAATACAAAAATTAGCTGGGCGCAGTGGCTCATGCCTGTAATCCTAGCATTTCGGGATGCCGATTGCTTGATTGCTTGACCCCAAGAATTCAAGACTAGCCTAGGTAACATAGTGAGACCCTGTCTCTACAAAAAATTGAAAAAATTAGCAGGATGTGGTGGCACGTGCCAGTAGTCCCAGCTACTTGGGAGGCTGAGAAGAGAAAATCACTTGAGCCTGGGAGGTCCAGGCTGCAGTGAGCTATAATCTTGCCACTGCACTCTAGCCTGGGCGACAGAGCAAGATCCTGTCTCAAAAAAAAAATAAAAATAAAAATAATTGCTAGGAGAGTACATTTCAAATATCACGTTTAAAATGATAGTATGTGAGATAACAGATACAGTAATTACTCTAGCCATTACACACACACACACACACACACACACACATATATATACACACATCATGTTGTTACACCATAGATACAATTTTTATTTGTCGACTATAAATAAATGCACAAGCAATAAAGGAAAATATTGATACATATGACCACGTTAAAACATTTTTAAGCTTTTATAAGAAATCACATAGGCCGGGCGCGATGGCTCAAGCCTGTAATCCCAGCACTTTGGGAGGCCAAGGCGGGTGGATCACAAGGTCAGGAGATTGAGACCATCCTGGCCAACATGGTGAAACCCCGTCTCTACCAAAAATACAAAAAAATTAGCTGGACGTGGTAGTGGGTGCCTGTAGTCCCAGCTACTCGGGAGGCTTAGGTAGGAGAATGGCGTGAACCCATGAGGCGGAACTTGCAGCGAGCCGAGATTGTGCCACTGCACTCCAGCCTGGGCGACAGAGCAGGATTCCGTCTCAAAAAAAAAAAAAAAAGAAATCACGTAAAGTAAAAGACAAGCCACAGACTTAGAGAATATTCACAATCTACATAAACAACAAAGGATTATATCCAGGATTCATAAAGAAGTTGCAGATCCATATGAAAAGGACAACGCAAGAGAATATGAGCAAAAGCTGTGAATAGGTGAGTCATAAAAGAGAAACCTAATGGTCAATAAACATAAGAAAAGATGCTCAATTTAACCAGTAATGTAGAAATGCAAATCACAGCGCGAGTTACCATTTTACACCCACAAAATCACCAAAATTAAAATTATTCTAACACTGTTGACAAAAATGTGGGACAATAGGAATGCATATATTTTGTGTTGAAGTGTAAACAGATACAACAAATTTGAAGAGAATTTTGGCACCAGTTAATGCTGAAAATGAATATTCCCTATGACCCAGCAATCTTGCTTCTAGATCTATTCCTTAGAAAAACATTTCTACACATGCACAAAAAGGCGAGGATAAAAATGGTCATTGCAGTATCAGTTAATTGTCAAGAAGAAGTGGAAATAAGCTAACTGTTGTTAAGTAAAATGGATAAATAAAGTATGGTTTGTTCTTATAATGGGATACTATACGGCAGTTAAATGAATTATAGACATATTTAGCAATGTAATGAGTAAGAAACTTGCAAAAATGGATGTTGTATGATATTATTTGTGTGAGTTTTAAAATACACAAAACAGTGGTATATGTTTAGGAAAGCAAACATTTTTTAAAAGTGCAAAGTACGCATGGGAATAATTCCCAACAACTTTAGAATGATAATTACTACAAGGAAGGAGAGAAATGGGATGGGCGTTAACCGAATTTGTAATCCATTTTTTTTATTTTTAATTTTAAAGAAAAGTGATACAAAGCAGGCGATGCAAAGGTGAGGATTTGCTTAACTGGGTTGCTGTGATCATGAAATGAGCCAATCAATGGGACAGTGCTGAATGAAAGTTGTTGCCAGTCTCTTTAGAAGGGTACAATGATGGTGGCTGTGCAGGTGGAGAGATGTGATTTCCTGACCTATTCTCTCCTCCGCCCTGTGTTGAGTCTCACGCCTCCTATTGGACGGTATAAATTGGTATAAATCTTTTTTTTTTTTTTTTTTTGAGACAGAGTCTCACTGTCACTCAGGCTGGAGCGCAGTGGCATGATCTCAGCTCACTGCAACCTCCGCCTCCCAGATTAAAGCGATTCTCCTGCCTCAGCCTCCTGAATAGCTGGGATCACAGGCAGCCGCCACCATGTCCAGCTAATTTTTGTATTTTTAGTAGAGACGGGGTTTCACCATGTTGGTCAGGCTGGTCTCAAACTCCTGACCTCGTGATCCGCCCGCTTTGGCCTCCCAAAGTGCTGGGAACAGGCATGAGTGACCACGCCCGGCTGATATAAATCTTAACAGCTACATGCCCCAATTTCCTCACCTACAAAATGTGTATATTCAAAGTGCTACCTAATAGCATTGTCGTGAGAGTAAATAAGTTGTGTGAAGTGCTTTAGAACACTTACCTGGCTTAGAGTAACTGCTCTAGGCTACTGTTTTTGTTGTTGATGCTGTTATTATGGTTGTTGTTAGGTATCACCTCCAGCTGCATATAAACTCTTTTTTAATCTCAACTTCTAAAAATCTCATAAGAACCTTACTTGGCAACGAAAGTGCCCCAAAACTGAGAAGACCCAGACTCTTCCTTCAATGATCTAGATCAATTTGCACCTCAAATTCCTGTAAGGGCCAGGCAAGTAATGTGCCAAGTGCCAAGGGAAGGCTATAACAGGCTGGAGGGCACCCTCCCCTCCTAGAGGGGCAGCAGCTCCTGGTCCAGCGTTGCCGCATAGGAATTCAGAGCTGGCACTGCCGTGATAAATTGAAAATCTCAATTTTTCTGTAAAATCACTCTTTTTATTTTTCCTTTTTTTTTTTGGCAGGATCTCACGTTGTCACCCAGGCTGGAGTACAGTGCCATGATCCCAGTTCACTGCAGCTTTGACCTCCCAGGTCCAAGTGATCCTCCCATCTCAGCCTCCCAAATAGCTGGGACTACAGGTGTGTGCTGCCACACCTGGCTAATTTTGTATCATATACATATATATATAAACATACACATACACATATGTATATATACATGTATACATATGGGTTCAAGCATTCTTCTGCTAATTTTTTGTATTTTTAGTAGACGTGGGGTTTAACCATGTTGGCCAGGCTGGTCTCGAACTCCTGACCTCAAGTGATCCACCCGCCTTGGCCTCCCAAAGTGCTGGGATTACAGGCATGAGCCATCGCACCCAGCTAATTTTTTTAGTTTTTGTAGAGAGATGGTCTCACTATGTTGTCCAGGCTGGTCTCAAATTTCTGAGCTCGAGTGATCCTCCCACCTCAGCCTCCCAAAGTGCTGGAATCTCAGCCATGAGACACGGCATCTGGACAAAATATAAATGATAATGAATACACATCAATATTTTAAATCAAACACATTTAGATAAAGCTGACTTTTTGCCTGCTTTTTTTTGAAATTTTGGGCTGGGCCCAGTAGCTCACACCTGAAATCCCAGTGTTTTGGGAGGTCAAGGTGGGCAGACTGCTTGAGCCCAGTGTTTTGAGACCCCCCTGGGCAACATGGTGAAATGCCATCTCTACAAAAAATAGAAAACTTAGCCGGGCATGGTGGCACACATATGTGGCCTCAGCTACTCTGGAGGCTGAGGTAGAAGGATTGCCTGAGCCTGGGAGGTTGAGGCTGTAGTGAGCCATGATTGTGCCACTGCACTCCAGCCTGGTGACAGAGTGAGACCCTGTCTCAAAAAAATATATACATATTTATTAATTTTTATTATGTATTGCTATGGCATAAATGTTTGTGCCCCCCTAAAATTCATAAATTGAAACCTAATCCCCAATGTGGTGATATTAAGAGATGGGGCCTTTAGAAGGTGATTAGGTCATGAGGGGCCTGTCCTCATGAATGGGATTAATGCCGTTATAAAAGAAGCCCAGGCTGGGTGCGGTGGCTCATGCCTGTAGTCCTAGCACTTTGGGAGGCTCAGGCGGGCTAATCATTTGAGGTCGGTAGTTCAAGACAAGCCTGGTCAACATGGAGAAACCCCATCTCTACTAAAAACACAAAAATTAGCCAGTCATGGTGGCAGGCATTTGTAATCCCAGCTATTCAGGAGGCTGAGGCAAGAGAATCACTTGAACCCTGGAGGCAGAGCTTGCAGTAAACCGAGATCACGCCACTGCACTCTAGCCTAGGTGACACAGCGAGACCCTGTCTTAAAAAAAAGAGGCCCAAAGGAGCTTGTTTGCCCCTTCCACCCGTGAAGATGCAGCAAGAAGGCGCCATCTATGAAGCAAAGTGTGCCCTCACTGGCTACCAAATCTGCTGGCACCACCTGCTTGGACATTCTAGCCTCCAGAACTGTAAGCAGTGTTTATTATTTATAAATTGCTCAGTGTAAGGTATTTTGTTATAGCAGTCTGAATGGACTAAGACAGATAGTTTTATAAAAATTAAACTACAGTTGGCATTT
The DNA here is from genome assembly GCF_000001405.40 of Homo sapiens. Classification (NCBI taxonomy): domain Eukaryota; kingdom Metazoa; phylum Chordata; class Mammalia; order Primates; family Hominidae; genus Homo; species Homo sapiens. Next base: position 4,641,835 of record NT_113891.3, read on the forward strand.
TGTATCTGTAGGTCCACACCTATGGATTCAACCAACTGAAGAATAAAAATATTTTTAAAATATATATGGCCAGTCCGGGCGCGGTGGCTCACGCCTGTAATCCCAGCACTTTGGGAGGTCAAGGCGGGTGGATCACAAAGTCAGGAGATCAAGACCATCCTAGCTAACGCGGTGAAACCCCATCTCTACTAAAAATGCAAAAAAATTAGCCGGGCATGGTGGCGGGCACCTGTAATCCCAGCTACTTGGAAGGCTGAGGTAGGAGAATGGCGTGAACCTGGGAGGCAGAGTTTGCAGTGAGCTGATATCCTGCCATAGCACTCCAGCCTGGGTGACACAGCAAGACTGTCAGAAAGAAAGAAAGGAAGGAAGGAAGGAAGGAAGGAAGGAAGGAAGGAAGGGAAGGGAAGGAAGGAAGGAAAGAAAGAAAAAATAATACAAATAAAAAATACAGTATAACATATATTTATACAGCATTTACATTGCGATAGGCACCATAGATAACCTAGGGATGATTTAAAGTATGTGGAAGAATGTGCATAGGTTATATGCAAATACTATGCCATGTTATACAAGGGGTTTGAACATCAGTGGGGGTTTTGGAATCAATCCCTGGTGAATACTGAGGATGATTGTATTCATAATCTCGTATTCAATGTCCATCTATTACAACATAGAGAATCAATATCATACTTCACAAGAGTTATATCTAGACCTACATGTATTCAATTTTTTTTTCAATAGGCTTTTGGGGAACAGGTGGTGTTCAGTTACATGAATAAGTTATTTAGTGGTGATTTCTGAGATTTTGGTGCCCCCATCACAGGAGGAGTGTACACTGTAAATGTGTAGTTTTTTATCCCTCACCACCCCTCCCACCACATGCATATAAATTTAACAGTAATAAGGATTGTTTAATACAGCAACATGTTCCTCAGCTATCCTTTGCAACTGTTGTAAATGCAGCACAACATACATCCATACCTCTAAAACAAAGAGAAACAAGAAAAACCACACTCAACACTATTGGGAAATGATACTTTGTCATGCTATTTGAGAGGTAATATTTAACAAGCTGGTTAAAGTGATTTCACTTACATGTTTCCACTGCTTAAATCCTCCCTACACTCCAAAGCAGTACATGCTTCAGAATCCAGGCAGAGGCACAACCTCAGATTTTCACAGAATTGGCTATAGTCATCTTTTGTTTCCAGGATACAGGGCAAGAGATTACAGAAGTCACCATTCCCCAGGGCTTGAACGGCGTTGATTACAAGAGCAGATGTGTAAGATTTCAGGTTGTGCTGTTCCAGCACTGACAGCAGATCAGTGACAGAGGTGCCCAGGTGTCATGTAATAAATGTGTGTGATAAGTTGTTTGTGATAGGTGAATCCCCCTAAAGTATGTGGGCCAGGGCAGGGCCCCTGTGGTTCAGATCTGAGGATGATACTGCTTCTGTGGGAAGATCATGACTTCTGTTTCAAATATGCTAAGTTAAGCTGGGCACCGTGGCTCATGCCTGTAATCCCAGCACTTTGGGAAGCTGAGGCAGGTGGATCACCTGAGGTCAGGAGTTTGAGACCAGCCTGGCCAACATGGTGAAACCCCATCTCTACTGAAAATACAAAAAGTTTGCCGGGTGTCGTGGCGGATGCCTGTAATCCCAGCTACTCCGGAGGCTGAGGTAGGAGAATCACTTGAACCCAGGAGGCGGAGGTTGCAGTGAGCCAAGGTCTTGCCACTGCACCCCAGCCTGGCCAACAAGAGCGAAACTCTGTCTCCCAAAAAAAAAAAAAAAAAAGCTAAGTTAGTAATACCTTTGGGACATCCAAGTAGGGATGCCAGGCAGGAAGGTGGTCAAATCTGGAGATTTGAGGCAAGAGATAAATTTGAGAGTAACCAGCTGATGGGAACTGAAGCCACAGGACAGGTGTGATCCCCTAGAAGGAAAGGGTAGCATAAGAAGAGGAGGGTCCAGGACCGACCTCTCTTGATGAACTCCAATATGACCAGGTGATTTCAGTCAAAGGCGGAGTGAGCCGGCTGAGGGGTGGAAGAGCAGCCGATGGAGGGATGGGAGGAAGCCAGAAGAGGCCAAATCCTGGAGGCCAAAAAACGACAGTGTTTCAAGAAAGAACTGGCCAGCAACGTCAGCTACTAGTGGCAGTTCAAGTAAGAAGAAAACGAAACAATGGACTTAATGACATAAAGTTCATTGCAAAAAAACATTTGAGTAGCAGCAAGGTAGAGATAAACACCAGCCTGAAAGGGTCGAGCAGTGAGTGGAAGTGAGAGAATTTTGCCCAGTTTTTTTATTATGAAAAATTTCAAACATACAGAAAACTTGAAAATATAATACAATATTGTTTGTATGTCGATCATTTTACTTAGATTTAACAATTGTTATTTATACATATATACAAATATTTATATATTATATATATACAAACATATATATATACACACACATATATATATGGTTCTTTTTTTTTTTTTCCAAGACAGGGTCTCACTTCATCGCACAGGGTGGAGTGCAGTGACCTGATCATAGCTCATCTCAGCTTCAAACTTTTGGGCTCAAGCGATCCTCCCACCTCAGCCTCTCAAGTAACTGGGGCCACAGGTGCATGGCACCATGCCCGGCTAATTTTTAAATTTTTTGTAGAGACAAGGTATCGCCTTGTTGCCCAGCTGGTCTCAAACTGGACTCAGGTGATCCTCTTGCTTTGGCCTCCCAAAGTTCTGGGATTACAGACATGAGCCACAGTGCCAAGGCCTATATACGTCTTTGTGGGCTTGTTTTTAGTTTTTTGTTTTGAGATGGAATTTCGCTCTTGTTGCCCAAGCTGGAGTGCAATGGCGCGATCTCGGCTGTACGCAACCTCCGCCTACTGGGTTCAAGCAATTCTCCTGCCTCAGACTCCCGAGTAGCTGTGATTACAGGCATGCGCCACCACGCCAAGCTAATTTTGTATTTTTACTATAGATGGGGTTTCTCCATGTTGGTCAGGCTGGTCTTGAACTTCCGACCTCAGGTGATCCGCCTGCCTCAGCCTCCCAAAGTGCTCGGATTGATTACGGGCATGAGCCACTGTGCCCAGCCCTTTTTTTTTTTTTTAAACATAGAAATTGTTGAGTGACTACTAAAACATTCTTGGACCATATGAAAATATAGGAAAGCATGTGCTTCACACCTAAGTACCTCAGCATGCATCTCCCAAAAATAAGGAGATTCCATAACCACAATACGTAATCACAGCTAAGAAAATAATGATCATGGCCAGGCACGGTGGCTCACACCTGTAATCCCAGCATTTTGGGAGGCTGAGGCAGGAGGATCACAAGGTCAACAGATTGAGACCATCCTGGCCAATATGGTGAAACCCCGTCTCTACTAAAAATACAAAAATTAGCCGGGCGTGGTGGTGCATACCTATAATCCCAGCTACTTGGGAGGCTGAGGCAGGAGAATTGCTTGAACCCAGTAGGGACAGGTTGCAGTGAGCTGAGATTGCGCCACTGACCTCCAGCCTGGTGACAGAGCAAGACTCAGTCTCAAAAAAAAAAACAAAATTAGAAAATAACGATCATTTCTTCACTTCATCTGATAGCAGAATATACTCAAATATTCCCCAGTTAGCCTCAAAATGTCTTTTATATATATATTTATATATATATATATCTTTCTTTTTAATTTCTTTCCTTCCTTTCTTCTGTTTTTCCTTCCTTCCTTCCTTCCTTTCTCTCTCTCCTCCCTTTCCTTCCTTCCTTTCCTTCTTTCTTTTTTGACTGGGTCTCACTGTCACCCAGGCTAGAGTGCAGCAGTGCAATCACAGCTCACTACAACCTCCACCTCCCAGGCTCAAGTGATCCTCCCACCTCAGCCTCCTAAGTAGCTGGAACTACTATTTAGGTGTGACCCACCACACCTGACTAATTTTTGTATTTTTTTTTTTTTGTAGAGACAGGGTTTTTCTCTGTTGCCCAGGTGGGTCTTGAACTCCTGAGCTTAAGTAATCCACCTGCCTTGAACTCCTGAGCTCAAGCAAAGTGCTGGAATTACAGGCGTGAGCCACTGCATCCAGCCTATGCATATATTTCAAATCAGGATCAAATCAAGGTACATGCGCTGCATGCATTGTGTTCCTCTTGGAGGGGTGTGGATCTGGTGACAGATGGTTGAGGGAGCTCACCTCTGATGACTTTCATTTTCTCTGTGACATAAGAGGGAGGTCATCAAGTGAGCATGAGGTGAGAGACAGAAGAGCCTCAGAGGTTCAAGGATCAGGGAGGTTTAACGTAGCCATTGACCAGAGTGATGTGGTTGGGCCACTAAACAATTCTGGGAGCCTCCTTAGAGTTCATGATCATGAGTGAGGAGTGGGAACCATTTCCTGATTGTGTGATTTCCCCCACCACCACCAACAGTTCTTGGCTATCAGAGTAAAATCCTGAAGAAAACAGATCACTGGGCTCATCCAGGGTTGGGGTTTTGCCACTTGGGTACAAAGGATGAAAATACAGAGGGGAAGGGGAGTTGGCGACATTGTCCAGAGAGGTGTTGAAATGAAGGGTTGTGGAGTTGAGCTGAATAGGGAGGGGCTCATAAGCTGGAAGACGGAAGGCATCATTGATCCAAAGGTCCTAGGAGACTGAAAATTGGTTGCGAGGAGGGCAGACAGACTGATGGACAGACGGTTAGGAGGTGGGGGCCAAGAGCAGGCTGCTTGACTGATTCTCAAGGAGGGGCTCTTTCAGGTGATAAGGTCCAGGGTATGACAATGAGAATGTGTGGCCGAGTTGGAGAGGAGAAGATTCTTGGGGATTAAGTGGCCAGGTTATTGAGAGGTCAAGTAGGGAATGGATCCTCCAGGTGGACAATGAAGTCTCCCAGAGGGAGGACTCAATGCAAAGACAGACGGTCAGCTGGGCCAGCGTTCCCCTGAGTGAGGTGGAGGGGTCTGGCAGACAGTAGCAGTGAGAAAGGAAGAGGAAAGTTTAGCCTAATTGCAGTGCCTGGAAGGCCGCGGGTTATTTTAAACTAGAGTTGGGGGCTGGGGGAGGAGTAGTCCGGAGGCAGCAATCTGAAGCCAGGAGAGCACCCTCAGCTGTAAGAAAATCAACAGCTCTCATTTCAGAAGCCTGCAAAGGAGGTAGTGCCCTCAAGGGAGAGTTAAATTTCACTTAACGCCAGGAAGTGGAGGGAATGCTCCAAGGAGAAGCTAAGGGTATGAGGGGGGCTACAGTTTATTAGAGGGCACAGGCAGGTTAGGGAGGGGGAAAGTGGAGGGCTGAGTCAGAGCCAGAAGGTACAGAGTGTCATGGAGACACAGTGCAATAGAGTAGGTGGGCTTGGGAGTTTATGTTTTCACTATGAAATGATAAAAACAAGGACAGGAGGCAGGCTGGATTTCACCCAGTTAGTTTCTTGGAAGCTGTAAAAAGTGGCGTTTAAGAATGTAGCCTTGGCCAGGCACGATGGCTTATGCCTGTATCCCAGCACTTTGGAAGGCCAAGGCAGGCGGATCGCTTGAGGTCAGGAGTTTGAGACCAGCATGGCCAATATGGTGAAGCCCCGTCTCTATTAAAAATGGAAAAAACAGCCAGGAGTGGTGGCAGGTGCCTGTAATCCCAGCTACTCGAGAGGCTGAGGCAGGAGAATTGCTTGAACCCGGGAGGCGGAGGTTCCAGTGAGCCAAGATCACGCCACTGCACCACTCCAGCCTGGGGGACAGAGCAAGACTCGTCTCATTAAAAAAAAAAAAAAAAAAAGAATGTAGCTTCAGGCGGGGTGCAATAGCTCACGCCTCTAATCCCAGCACTTTGGGAGGCCAGGAGTACAAGACCAGCCTAGCAAACATGGTGAAACCCCATCTCTACTAAAAAAAATACAAACATTAGCCAGGTGTGGTGGTATGCACCTGTAATCCCAGCTACTTGGGAAGCTTAGGTAGGAGGATGACTTGAGCCCAGAAGGTGGAGGTTGCAGTGAGCCAAGATGGTGCCACCACACTCCAGCCTGAGCAACAAAGCCAGACCCTGTCTCAAAAAAAAAAAAAAAAAAGAAAAGAAAAGAAAGAAAAGGAAGGAAGGAAGGAAGGAGAGAGAGAGAAAGAAAGAAAAGATAAAGAAATAAAGAAAGAAAGGCAGGCAAGAAAGTGGCTTCTAAAGCAGAACTGGCTGCATTCCAATTCCAGCTTTGTCATGCACTAACTGTCCTGTCTATAACCTTGGCAAGGTCTCTGGGCATCAATTTCCTCTCTGTAAAATGGGGATAACACTAGTACCCACCTCACAGGGTTGCTGTGACAATTCAAAGATGCAATGTGTTAAATGTTGATATGGTTTGGATCTGTGTCCCCACCAAATCTCATGTAGTCCCAGTGTTGGAGGTGGAGCCTGGTGAGAGGTGGTTGGATTATGGGAGTGGATTCTCACGAATGGTTTAGCACCATCCTCCTGGTGCTGTTCTCATGATAGAGAGTTCTGGCAAGCTCTGGTTGTTTAAAAGTGTGCCGCACCTCCTCCCTCTCTCTCGGCTCCTGCCATGTGAGAAGGCTCGCTCCTCCTTTGCCTTCTGCCATAATTGTAAGTTTCTGGAGACCTCCCCAGAAGGCAAGCAGATGCCAGCATCATGCTTCCTGTAGAGCCCACAGAACCATGAGCCAATTAAACCTCTTTTTTTTTTTGAGATAGGGTCTTGCTCTGTCGCCCAGGCAGTGGCGCAATCACAGCTCACTGTAGCCTCTACCTTCTGGTCTGAAGCAATTCTCCCACCTCAGCTCCCCAAGTAGCTAGAACCACAAGCACATGCCACCATACCCAGCTAAGTTTTGAATTTTTTATAGAGACGGGTTTTTGCCATGTTGCCCAGGCTGGTCTCAAACTCTTGAGCTCAAGTGATTAACCCTCCGGCCTCAGCCTCCCAAAGTGCTGCTAGGATTACAAGCATGAGCCACTGTGCCCAGCAAACATCTTTTCTTTTCTTTTTTTCCGAGACGGAGTCTTGCTCTGTCACCCAGGCTGGAGTGCAGTGGCATGATCTTGGCTCACTGCAACCTCTGCCTCCCCGGATCAAGTGATTCTCCTGCTTCAGCCTCCCAAGTAGCTGGGATTACAGGTGCTGGCCACCATGCCCGGCTAATTTTTGTATTCTTAGTAGAAACGGGGTTTCACCATATTGGCCAGGCTGGTCTCAAACTCCTGACCTCAAGTGATCCACCTGCCTCAGCCACCCAAAGTGCTGGGACTACAGGCATGAGCCACCGCGCCCGGCAACCTCTTTTCTTTATAAGTTACCCAGTTTCAGGTATTTCTTTATAGCAGTGCGAGAAGGGACTAATGCAAATGTTTACAACAGTGCGCAAATATTTATAACAGTGCTTGGGCTGTCACCTCAGACACACTTGGTGGAGCCTTGCAGGCCCAGCAGAGCAGCCTCTTTGATTACCTGAACCCTGCCCCTGGCTAGGTAGGAAACATGAAGTGGATGATAATGATGACTTGATGAGCAGTTGTGAATGCATAAATTATATGGAGACACTAAGGACTGCAACAGACAAGAAGATCTCAGTGACAAACGGGTTATTTAGGGCAGCAGCCAACTGACTCCCACAATGAGTGGGATCTGGACAAGAAGGCGTGGTTTCCCAAGGCCACTGAAGGTTTCATTGCTACATACCCAGCCAAGTGTGGCTTTTCTAATGGTGGGGCATCTAGCTCTCCTGCAAATGTACAAAATGTCAATGCTAGGAATGCAGAATTTCTGCAAAGAAAACCCCCCAAACCCACTGATCCTAAAAACAGGGGAGATAAAAGAAAAATGGAATGAGGATAATTTCATGTTGAAGAAGACAGAAATACAAATGTCTATATATCTGGTTTGCCTCCAGGAGAAATCCTCAGAAGACTTCAAAGTCAAGCTTTATGAAGATGATCAAAGAAATCTTAAAGGAGATGCGCTTTGCTGTTACTTGAAGAGGGAATCTGTGGGCCTTCCATTAAAGCTTTTGGATGAAAATGAAATTAGAGGCTGTAGGCCAGGTGCAGTGGCTCACGCCTGTAATCCAAGCACTTTGGGAAGCTGAGGCAGGTGGATCACCTGAGGCCAGGAGTTCGAGACCAGCCTGGCCAACATGGCAAAACACCGTCCCTATTAAAAATACAAACATTAGCCGGGCATGGTGGTGCATACCTGTAGTTCCAGCTACTCAGGAGGCTGAGGCAGCAGAATCGCTTGAACCCTGGAGGCAGAGGCTGCAGTGAGCCGAGATCATGTCATTGCACTCCAGCCTGGGCAACAAGAGTGAAATTCCATCTCAAAAAAAAAAAAAAAGAGGTTACAAGAAGAAGCTGTCACTACAACAAAAGCTGTTGGTCTGGGGATCTGCAAGGGAGCTGGGCCATCCAGAAGGTACCATAAGCAAGTTGTCATAATCAAACATATGTTTCATCCTATGGATATTTTTGGTTGTTTTGTTTGTTTTCTGAGATAAGGTCTCACTATTGCTCAGGCTGGAGTACAGTGGCGTGATCACAGCTCACTGTGCAGCCTCAACCTCCTGGGCTCAAGGAATCCTCCTATCTCAGCTTCCCAAGTAGCTGGGACCACAGGTGTACACCACCATTCCTGGCTAATTTTTTTAAAAAAATTTTTGTAGGCCGGGCATGGTGGCTCACACCTGTAATCCCAGCACTTTGGGAGGCTGAGGCGGGTAGATCACGAGGTCAGGAGTTCGAGACCAGCCTGGCCAACGTGGTAAAACCCTGTCTCTACTAAAAATACAAAAATTAGCTGGGCATGGTGGTGGATGCCTGCAATCCCAGCTACTCGGGAGCTGAGGCAGAGAGTCGCTTGAACCCTGGAGGCGGAGGTTGCAGCGAGCCGAGATTGCACCACTGCACTCCAGCCTGGGCGACAGAGTGAGATTCCGTCTCAAAAAAAAAAATTTTTTTTTGTAGAGAAGGTGTCTCACCATGTTTCCCAGGCTGGTCTTGAACTCCTGGGCTCAAGAGATCTGCCCCTTGGCCTCCCAAGGTGTTGTAGTCACAGGCATGGGTCACTGCACCCGGCCCATCCTGTGGATTTTAAGGATGATGAGTTGGTGCTAAATGAGCTCAGAGAACTTTCAGTGCTCAACATTGAGACCAATGAGGAATGTTTTGTTTGACAGACTCATGGATGGTGTGGACTCTGTGTTCTGGAGGAATGCAGAGGAAACGGATTATTATATTCAAGTCCTCCTTGGAAGGTGGTTTGTTGACCCAGACATGGAATAAGGTTACAGACTATTAGGTTCAGGGGACCTCAGGAAAAAGGAGGAAAATCTAAGGGGATGGGAGGCTTTCCTCAGTGCCTGTGAGGCCAACAGACACTTTCAATCTCCAATGTGTGTATGCTTCAGAAAGGGCAAGATGTTGGCTGTCCTTTCACTCTCCACCAGCTGAAATGTGGTCTCTTCCCATTATCGCCATTCTGACCACTCTTCCCAAGTCACAGACACTTCTCAGATGCCAAACCCAAAAGGCGTGGCTGAATTCATTTGCATCAACTCAGGCAATGAATTTGGGAGGAGAGTTCGCTTGTCAGAACGTAAGAACGTCACATTTTGCAGTTGGTAATGTGGAGTCTAGGGACCCTTGGAATCACTTCCCTAGCTGATCGCCAGCACACCCTCTTTCATTCATTCAATCACACTTTAGCTTAGGTGCAGCTGGGAAGGGACTTCGCGGATGTAATTAAAGTCACAAATTGGTTTATCTTGAGGTAATCCAAAGGGAGACTGTGCAGGAGAGGTCTGACTCAATCACATCCAAAGCCTTCAGTGGTGGCTGGAGAGGAGAAAACACATTTCTGCACTTAGGAACCTCCTTTCTCACCTCAATTCTAGCAGCTCAGATGAGGTGTCAGCTCCCTGCAGGCTCTGGATGAGTCCGTGGGGCCACAGAAAAAAGAACTGCAGAAAACTCAGGAATAAAAATGGAGACAGTGACACTTCCAAGTAAAACTACTAGAAGTCTTCAGAAAGTAAGGCAAGAAAAGGAAACTTGAGGACCAGAGAAGCTGCCAGGCCAGTTCATTAAGCCTTGGCTTGACCAGGAAATCCAGTGTTTTCTTGAAGGATGGAAAATCTGGAGATGAAGAATGGGAATCATGTACTGTCAAACGCAGTTGCCAAGGGGTTCAAGCCCAGGGGTGTGAAGAAGAGCTGAGACCTGCCTACAGATGCCAAGATTGCAGGGCTCATCCTGGACTATTAATGAGACCATCCAGAGGCCAAGGAGCTTACAGGGCTCACCTTTGGGGATACTGGCCCAGCAGTGCTGCAGATCCTACCCTGAGTAGAGTGACATGAGAACTGGGCTGGGGGAGTTGAGGAGAAAAGGAAGTCTCAAAGGCTCTGTGTGTTTGTGTGTGTGTGTGTGTGTGTGTGTGTGTGTGTGTCTGTGTGTGTGTGTGTAAACTGGAAATGGTTAAACTCCCCTGTGTGCAGTGGCATACCAAGCAGGGTGGAGTGGGGGGAGGAGGCTACACTGCAAGGGGTATTTTGTCACTAACATTTTTTTATAATTGCTGGTGCGCAGTATCAATAAAAAGTTGGCTTCAGGCTGGGCGCAGTGGCTCACACCTGTAATCCTAGCACTTTGGGAGGGTGAGGTGGGCAGATCACCTGAGGTCAGGAGTTCAAGACCAGCCTGGCCAACGTGGTAAAACCCCGTCTCTACTAAAAACACAAAAATTAGCCTGGCGTGGTGGTGTGTGCCTGTAATGCCAGCTACCTGGGAGGCTGAGGCAGGAGAATCACTGGAACCCGGGAGGCAGAGGCTGCAGTGAGCCAAGATGGTGCCACTGCACTCCAGCCTGGGCCAAAGAGTCAGACTCCATCTCAAAAAAAAAAAAAAAAAAAAAGTTGGTTTTAGAATTATTTTTAAATTCTCCACAGACAATACACCTTCTTATTACCTGCACCTGGAACAACCATCCCCACTCCCTGCCCATGGTAAGCTGCAGCCTGTGTGTCCTATGTGGGTAAACAGTCCAGCTCTACCAGATTGTAAATGGGGTTGGGGGGTCGGGGTAGAGGGCATGGCGAGTAAGGATTATTTTTCGCATAATAACAGTTTTATGCAGCATGGTTTTGTACAAGAGAAGTGTTTTCTAAATATTTGGCAAATAAATGAATAATTGAATTTGAGTAATAATGAAGAAAATATAAGCAGGAATTTTACAAGAAGACCTTTAGTTTAAACAAGAAGAAAGCAAGCCAGGCACGGTGGCTCATGCCTGTAATCCCAGCACTTTGGGAGGCTGAGGTGGGTGGATCACCTGATGTCAGGAGTTCAAGACCAGCCTGGCCAACATGGTGAAACCCCATCTCTACTAAATATACAAAAAAATAGCTGGGCATGGTGGTGGATGCCTGCAATCCCACCTACTTGGGAGGCTGAGGCAGGAGAATCACTTGAACCCGGGAGGCAGAGGTTGCAGTGAGCCAAGATTGTGCCACTGCACTCCAGCCTGGGTGACAGGGCAAGACTCCGTCTCAAAAAAAAAAAAAAAAAAAGAAGAAGAAGAAGGCATTCCTAATTACCCTGGTTGTAAGATAATACAAAACAGGAAATGACAGCATCATTAGAGATTTAAGGTTTCTTAACTTTTTACGTCTAGGACAGGTTTTGGAAGTCTGGTGAAGTCTGTGGAGTGTCAGAATAATCTTCAACTGCATAAAGTAAAATAAATGGGATTACAAAGGAAAACAATCATATTGAAGTACAGTTGTCAAAATGAAACAAAATGTGTAAGAAGAAGATCTAGTGGTGAGTCTAACCACTACCACTAACTACAAAGTAACCGTGAGCATACATGACATTTTGAAATTTCTGCAACTACTGGAAGATGACACAAATGTGTAAATTCTATTAACAACAGTCACATGTACTACAAATACCGGTGTAGGTTTATTGCCTACATTTATCATTGGAGAAAATGCTAAATTTCAGTTAGAGATTAGTGAAAATGAAATGTAATTTTCTCCTATTTTTGTTTGCCCTTTGGGATCCTGGATGAAGAGCCCTGCATTACACTGGGCACAGTGGCTCATGCCTGCAATCCCAGCTACTAAGGAGGCTGAGGTAGGAGGATCGCTGGAGCCTAGGAAGTTGAGGCTACAGTGAGCCGTGATCGTGCCACTCACTGCACTCCAGCCTCGGCAATAGAGCGAAACCCAGAAAGAAGAAAGAAAAGAAAAGAGAGAGAGAAGGAAGGAAGGAGAAAGAAAGAGAAGAAAGAAGAAAGGAGGGAGGGAGGGAAGGAGGGAGGAAGGAAGGAAGGAAAGAAGGAAAGAAGGAAGGAAGGAAAGAAGGAAAGAAGGAAAGAAAAGAATGAAAGGCCAGGCACGGCAGCTTACTCCTGTAATCCCAGCACTTTGGGAGGCCAAGGCAGGTGGATCACCTGAGGTTGGGAGTTTGAGACGAGCCTGACCAACAAGGAGAAACCCCATCTCTACTAAAAATACAAAATTAGCTGGGCATGGTGGCACATGCCTGTAATCCCAGCTACTCGGGAGGCTGAGGCACGAGAATTGCTTGGCCCAGGGAGGTGGCAGTTGTGGTGAGCTGAGATCGTGCCGTTGCACTCTAGCCTGGGCAACAAGAGTGAAACTCCGTCTCAAAAAAAAAAAGAAAGAAAGAAAAGAAAAGAAAAGAAAGAAAGAAAGAAAGAAAGAAAGAAAGAAAGAAAGAAAGAAAGAAAGAAAGAAAGAAAGAAGAAAGAAAGAAAGAAAGAAAGAAAGAAGGAAAATAGCTCTGCATGAGAGCCAGTGATGTCTCAGAGTGGGAAGGAAGCCAGGTCAACATGTTGCCCCTACCAACAAGCCCTTAGGTTGACAGGAGGTGCCTCTCCCAGCTTTACATTCAGAGCCAACCTCCCCAGGAGGCTCTTTTCCATCCTAAGCCTTGTTTCAGGGATCAGGGAGTGGCAACTCTCCACATGCCTGCATGCTTCCATCTGAACCAATGTTGAAGGCTCTTCTACTATTCAAAGCCCCTAAGGATGTAACATTTGGAGAAAATATGCTAAAAAGACCTGGTACTCAGAGACAATTTTCTCCAAATGTTTGAATGGGAGCATCAAATGAGTCCCCAGCCTTGAAGGTTGGGTTGGTCTGGGGAGGAAAACTAATTGTCCTTTCAGCTCAGCTATATCATCAGTCCCAAGGCAGACGTTCAGAAGATTCTTTTCTAGTTCATAGGGAAAATGACACTTAATCCTATGAGAGCCCCAAAGGCAGAGGACATGGGATGTGGTATCAGGAACCTGGAAGACATGCTTTTGCAATGGGGTACACAGCACTTAAGTGAGGGAAACCACCAGGAAGTGGCACTGGCCCTGGAATTCCCTTCATGTCACACAGGGACAGAGAGGAAACTAACATTTTCTAAGGACTTATTCCATACCAGGGGCTGCACATTCTGTGTCTTATATCTATTACAAACTGTTTCTTCATAAGGCAGGTGATTTGTTTTTCTTTTCTTCTTTTCTTTCTTTTTTTTTTTTTTTTTGAGACAGGGTCTCCCTCTGTCACCTGGGCTGGAGTCTAGTGGTGCCATCTCGGCTCACTGCAACCTCTGCCTCCCCAAGCAATCCTCCTGCCTCTCAGCCTCCGGAGTAGCTGGGATTACTGGCATGCACCACCACACCCAGCTAATTTTTGTATTTTTGGTAGAGACAGAGTTTCGCCATGTTGCTCAGGCTAGTCTCGAACTCCTGTGCTCAAGTGATCTGCCCACCTCAGCCTCCCAAAGTGCTAGGATTACAGGCGTGGACCACCATGCCCTGCCTGTTTTGTGATCTGCCCGCCTCGGCCTCCCAAAGTGCTGGGATTACAGGCATGAGCCACCACGCCTGGCTAGTGCCTGTATGTGTGTATGTGTGTGTGTATGTATGTATATATATATATATATATATATATTTTTTTTTTTTTTTTTTTTTTTTTTTTTGAGACAGAATCTTGCTCTTTTGCCCAGACTGGAGTGAAATGGTGTGATCTTGGCTCACTGCCAACTTCTGCCCCCTGAGTTCAAGCAATTCTCCTGCCTCAGCCTCCCAAGTAGTTGGGATTACAGGCACCTGCCACCATGCCTGGCTAATTTTTGTATTTTTAGTAGGGACAGGGTTTTGCCATGTTGGCCAGGCTGGTCTCAAATTCCTGACCTCAGGTGATCCACCTGCCTCAGCCTCCCAAGTAGTTGGGATTACAGGCGCCTGCCACCATGCCTGGCTAATTTTTTTATTTTTAGTAGAGACACGGTTTTGCCATGTTGGCCAGGCTGGTCTCAAATTCCTGACCTCAGGTGATCCACCTGCCTCAGCCTCCCAAAGTGTTAGGATTACAGGCGTGAGCCACCGCACCCAGCCTTTTCATATATATATATATATATATATACTTTTTTTTTTGAGACAGAGTTTCGCTCTTGTTGCCCAGGCTGGAGTGCAATGGCGCAATCTTGGCTCACCACAACCTCCTCTGGGTTAGGGCAATTCTCCTGCCTCAGCCTCTCGAGTAGCTGAGATTACAGGTATGTGCCACCATGCCTAGCTGATTTTTTATATTTTTAGTAGAGATGGGGTTTCTCCATGTTGGTCAGGCTGGTCTTGAACTCCAAAACCGCAGGTGATCCGCCCACCTCAGCCTCCCAAAGTGCTGGGATTACAGGCGTGAGCCACCGCGCAGGGCCTCTTTTCATATATTTTTAACTAAATTAATAAAACAGCTGGGGCAGTGGCTCATGCCTGTAATTCCAACACTTTGGGAGGCCGAGGTAGGAGATCACTTGAGCTCAGGAGTTCAAGACCAGCCTGGGCAACATGGTGAAACCTCGTTTACCAAAAAATACAAAAATTAGCCAGGTGTGGTGGCACATGACTGTAGTCCCAGCTATCCCAGAGGCTGAGGTGGGAGGATTGCTTAAATCCATGAGGTCGAGGCTGCAGTAAACTGTGATCATGC
The DNA here is from genome assembly GCF_000001405.40 of Homo sapiens. Classification (NCBI taxonomy): domain Eukaryota; kingdom Metazoa; phylum Chordata; class Mammalia; order Primates; family Hominidae; genus Homo; species Homo sapiens. Next base: position 4,656,844 of record NT_113891.3, read on the forward strand.
CACTGCATTCCAGCCTGGGTAACTGAGCAAGACTCTGTCTCAAAAAACTAAAAACTAGGCAGGCGTGGTGGCTCATGCCTGTAATCCCAGCACTTTGGGAGGCCGAGGCAGGCAGATCACATGAGGCCAGGAGTTTGAGACCAGCCCAGCCAACATGGCAAACATGTATTTCAGTGTCTACTGAAAATACAAAAATTAGCTGGATGTGGTGGTGCGTGCCAGTAATCCCAGCTACTCAGTAGGCTAAGCCAGGGGAATCGCTTGAACCCGGGAGGCAGAGGTTGCAGTGAGCCGAGATGGTGCCTCTGCACTCCAGCCTGGGCAACAGAGCGAGACCCTGTCTCAAAAACACAAACAAATAAAGAAAACTCCAAAAAACTGAAAAGTAAATAAATAAATAAAACAAAACAAAATGTGGAAGCAATAGCAAAGGCTTGACCTTGCTCCAAAATCACAGGTTTTTTTTAAGCTGTGTTCTTATAAACTTCCAAATGAGATGAAGATAAACTTCTGCTGAGAGGGGCATGGTCATGACTTACAGTTTGGGCAGGACAAAGTATTTTCCATCACACACACACACACACACACACACACACACACACACACACTCACCTTCACACATACGGTGTTATTTCTACTAAGTTGTACTTGATTCTTCTCCAGTGGCTCTGTCTGGAGTTTATTTAATGTTACTAGTTTGCCAATGAATAGACTAAGACAATAAGCAATTTTGCTTTTATTTCTTTATTTTAAAAAACTGCTTGTTAGTCTTATGAGAAAACAAAGTGAAGAATAAAGGTAACTACTGCATGTACCACAGTAGCGAGAGAAAAAAGAGTGTCAATTAATCTAATTGATAGTCAGAGGATTGCATGGCTATTAGTGATGGAGTCGGGATTTGGGCACGTGTACATTTGTTGGATTTTGCAGCCTGGCATCTATATCCCATTTGTCTGGTGGCAAGATCCCATTTTTGCGTTGGGGCCATTATCCTCCAACATTGGGTAGTCTATGGTACTATTCCTCAAGGGACCCTCCCCTTCCTCAGATGAGTGTGAGCACCTGACCCACCCTAAGCCTATTGGAGTTCTCTCTTTTTGATCCAAAGTAGAAGCACTGACCATTGGTGTCTGCTGCCTGGATGCTGGAACTATCCTGGCTTCTGTCCTTTCCAAAGACCGCCTGTTCAGCTTTTCCTTCAGTTCTGTAAATATTTTTTCAATAATTTACTATTACTTATTAATCTGTTGCTTCTCTACAACCGGCTGCCTCCTCAGCTCCATGACTCCCAGCCTGGAGTCATAGAACAAAAGCTGAATGTGGGCACAGAAGGTTCAGCCACTGAGTGCCTATATGGTTTTGAACTCATTATTTGAAATTCAAGCTCATTACCTGAAACAGGAAGAACACCTCCTCATAAGGCTGGTATGTGAATTCAATTAGATGAAATATGTGCTCTCCGAGATCAAGGACTTTGATTTAGTCTCTGCTGAATCCGCAGTGCCTATCACAGAACACAGAGAAGAGCTTCAATAAATGTGTTGGTTTAATGACAACTGCTTCTGAAAACACTTTGTTAACGCTAGTACGTAACATGAATAGCTGTGTCCATTATGTCCAGGGTGAAGTCAGCCAATTTCGATTCTCCTCTCCTTAAAGTTTTGTCTTGCTTTCTCTTTCTTTCCTTGAATCTTCACACTAAATCTACTTTGTTTTTTAATTTTTTAAAAAGAGATAGGGTCTCACTCTGTCACCCAGGCTGGAGTGCAGTAGTGCAATCATAGCTCACTGCAATCTCTAACTCCTGTTCTCAAGCAATCCTCCTGCCTCAGCCTCACAACTAGCTGGGACCACAGGCATGGGCCACCATGCTTGGCTTTTTGCTTTTTTTTTTTTTTTTTTTTGGTAGAGATGGGTCTCCCTATGTTGCCCAGGCTAGTCTCAAACTCCTGTGCTCAAGATCCTCTGGCCTCTGCCTTCCAAAAGGATTACAGGCATGAGTCACCACCCTGGGCCTCTGACTACTTTATTTTAAAGCCCAGCCAATTTATATCTTTTTATTATTATTATTATTATTATTTTTGAGACAGAGTCTCACTGTCACCCAGGCTGGAGTGCAGTGGCCATCTCGGCTCATTACAACCTCCGCCTCCCAGGTTCAAGCGACTCTCCTGACTCAGCCACCCTAGTAGCTGGGATTATAGGCAGGCACCACCACGCCAGGCTAATTTTTGTATTTTTAGTAGAGATGGGTTTTCGCCATATTGGCCAGGCTGGTCTAGAACTCCTGGCCTTAAGGGATCTTCCCGCCTCGGCTTCCCAAAGTTCTGGGATCCCAGGTGTCAGCCACCTCGCCAGGCTGCTTGATATCTTAAAATCAGAAAAGCCACCCATCTTAAGTGGAGGGTGGGTGGGTCCATATTTACAGGAATGGAAGAAAGGAGGATGTTCCCTCTCTTTTGTCCACGTTCAGCAGCTCTGAAATTAATGCCAAGGCGAGCAAACGCCCGCCCCCCACCCCCTGCCGCCCTCGCCTTATGCCGAGACTTTGCTGTTGAACACGAAGTAAACGTTTCCCAGAAAGCCCAGTTTAAGAAACAATTCAGGGCGAGGTGAGGGCACAAAGGTAGAGAAATAAGGGGAAATGATATTTCTTTAAAGAACAGAGATCCCTGAATAGCACCGGGGGCCGTTACAGCCCATGAGGACATCTCCGAGTCCTTCTATATGACACTAGGGACCCCCGTGCCATATACAGACACTGTTCTCAGAGATTAGGAGGGGGAAAGAGGATATTGCCACAGTTCTGTCCTTCGAAATGACTCCAGATGCTTCTGAGTCTGTGAGGCCCCTGTGTCCGTCATCAGCAAAACAAGTGAGGGAGAAGTTTGAGGAGTGATGACCCTAGCAGTTATGGGTTTAAGCCTGGGAATCTTAAGCCACAGAGCAGAGGATTTGGGGGCTGAAGAAAAAGACCCTCCGCAGCTTCAGCGCGAAGAGGGCGGCGGGGACCGGGGTGGTGGGGGTGGAACCTCGCCGCCTTCCGAAGCAGGAGTAAGCTGCAGAGGCTGCGCGGGGGTTTGAGCGGAGCGAGAACAGCTCCTTCCCTTGATCATGCTGCCCTCCGGAGGTCAGTTTAGGTATCGCCGCTCCCTTTCACGCTGTTTTGTCTCTTCACCGTCTGTTCTGGATCATCCTGTCCAGAGAGACCGTTGGGTCAGAGGGTTCCTGTGGACCCCTGGGGCGAGCTTAATGTCCCCGAAAACTGCGTGCTCCAGTATCACTTGAATGCCCACCGGGTTCCGGAATCACGAGTCTCCAGAGCTGTCCCTTCGCCCCACGGCTCACATTCCAGGTCTGCCCCTCAGTGACTTCTGCAACAACACGCGCTTCTCGATCAGCTCTGAGGATTTGGGTTCTGCGACGGACAGGGGAAGGAAAGAAGGAAGGCTGTGAAGAACCGTGGTGCCTGCCTGCACAGCCCTCCTCGCGTGCGAGCATTAGTTGGCTAAAGTCGCCTGTCTCGACAGTCTCCCCTGCGGGGTATCTGGGGACCCTTTCTTTGGGAATCCACGCTCTTTGTCAGAGTAGCCAATGCCTCTCCTGTCCAAAATCTCATACCCTTGGCCCTTCTCCCGTCCTCGCGCTGAGGCTGGAGTCAGGTCAAATGTCAGAACATCTGGATGTCCCAAGAGTGACACCTGGGAGTGGGTGGGCAAGAAACCAGTAGCGGGAAGGGAAAGTGGAGGAGCAGAGGATTCCCGGGGCCGGCGTCTGGGGTGAGCTCGCGGCCCCTCAGAGCCTGGCACATCGCCGCCTGGCATCCGGCAGGCGTGAGGGAACGCATAGCGCAGCGAGTCAGGCGGGGTAAACCCGGAGCAACGCGGAGGCGGTGATCTGGGCAAGGGCGAGGTCAGTTAAGGACGCAGTTCTGGCCCCGCCCTCAAGGCACGCCTGGCCAATCAGGAATCGCTGATTCACCAAGCCTCTCCTCCTGCGCTCGCCCTCTTCTGCACTTCGGTCTCAGGCGCAAACACGTTCAAAGTCGCTAGGCCAAAGCGCTGAGATACGGTTTCCCAAGCCAATTAGAGAGCGGCTCTCGGATATGGGGCGGAACCCTGAAAAGGCGAGAGCTGAGATGCCGCTCCGTTCTGCCTTACCACGCCGCCCCCCAGCGTCCGCCAATTAGGAGAGCCCGGAGCCGGATCCACTCTCAGCCTCAGGAAGCAGCAGCCTCCGCTCCGCGGCGGGTGTGCTCGGCAGTCACAGACCCACTCAGGACACCTCCCGTTGCCGACGGGCTAGACCTGCATCCGAAGGGCCTAAGCGGGGAGGAACCGCTTTCCACCACTCTCCAGGGACCTGGGGAGGGAATGTTTAGGCCGTAGGGGTGGAGGACACAGGAAACGTAACATTTTTCCTTAACTGCGCCTCTCTTCTTAGGCCTTAAAGGGGTCCCCGTGTCTCTCCAGTCTAGAGCCTAAGTTCAAACGAGGCGTATAGGCGAGGACAGCAGGAAGGCTCCAAGTCAAACAAACGGATGGTACGAATTTCGCCTGGTCTAGCCCTGCCCCAACGGTGTGGGTGTGGGTTGGGTGCTGCAGCCCCCGAGCAAGGGGCTGTCACAGCCACAACCAGAGGAGCTATGGAGCTGCTACGGAGGAGGGATTCCAGAGTCAGCTTGGGCTTGTCCCAAGGGAGCCCTTGGGACAGTGTCTGGGGCTGCGCGGCCTGGTTCTCATCCCTTGCAGCATCTGCTATTTTAGCCAGGGGCCACCTTCCTCCAATGGCCTGGGAGTAGCTAGAGGTTAGAGGTTACACCCACCAGAAGGGATGTAAGCCCAGGAAGTAGTCAGAAAGGAAAGGTCATTCTAGAGATGGGGCCACCTGAAAAACCTTCAGGAGGAAGGAGAAAGGAAATGGGATAAGTGTCATGTCATACTAAATATTTATTTTCTGCAGACTGACTTCGGAGTAATTCTTGAGCCAGGAGGGGAGAGGTTAGTGTTCAAATTGCTGAGATCTTAGGTCAAAAAGCTACAGAAAAGAAATCACTTTGAAAAACACAATGACTCAGAGGCAGTCACCCCTTGCCAGCAATTCCAAGAGCTGAGGAGGCTTCATGCCTCAGGACATGGTGACTAGTTGAGTGAACCAGAGATTGAGGCAGTGGTTTTTACAGGGGAAGAAACAAGCCTTGGGTGTATGGGAGCAGGAAAGGAGGGTGACAGACTGGAGAAATGATAAAGGCCATTTTGGAAGCCCACAGGGAAGTGGTCTTGGGAAACCTGAAGACACTGGGATATTCAGAAGGCCAAGGGGATCCAGCTTATCCTGTTGGGCAAGGTGCTGGGAGTGAAGGCAGGTAAGCCATGTCAAGGGCCTGGGAAGCAAGGGGAAAACTGGAAGGGGTACCCCAGGTGAAGAAGGGTATGGAATGGGGTGCAGAAGTCCATGGAGATGACCGGCAGATCTCAGGGCGGTTTCTGGCACATCAGAAGTTGGGCTTATGCTTCTTGAGCTCCACCATAAGGTGGTGAATGTTGATGAGCTCAGCCCGGGCAGGGAGGGCTCGGAGCTGCGGCTGGGACAGCACCCGGTGGAAGCGATGATAGAGCTGGATCAGCTGGGTCAGCGCTCCCTGGTCAAAGAAAGTCATTGAGGGATCAAACCGTAAAATGGTGCTAATAGTGATGATTAAGAATCAGGTTAGGCGGCCAGGCGCAGTGGCTCACACTTGTAATCCCAGCACTGTGGGAGGCCATGGCGGGCAGATCACGAGGTCAGGAATTCGAGACCAGCCTGGCCAACACAGTGAAACCCCATCTCTACTACAAATACGAAAATTAGCTGGTTGTGGTGGCAGGCACCTGTAATCCCAGCTACTTGGGAGGCTGAGGCAGGAAAATCACTTGAACCTGGGAGGCAGAGGTTGCAGTGAGCCGAGACTGTGCCACTGCACTCCAGCCTGGACAACAGAGCTAGACTCTGTCTCAAAAAAAAAACAAAACAAACAAAAAAAAAAGAATCAGGTTAGGGCTCATACAGAACTTTGGGCACAGCTAGTAACTGAAGACCAAGGGTCACTTAGATGATGCTGAGCCCAGCAAAAAGATGGGGAAAATAATTAATGATGGGGGATCTGAGTGGGGCCTGGGACTTGCAGGTCACCTGAATGATACTGGTGCCATTTCTGAAGTTGGTGAAACTCCGCATTACATCCTGACTCAGAGATTCCACTGATGATTTCCAGGAACTACCAAAGCCACGGATCAGCTGAGTTACCCGGGCTAATAGCAGGAGGAAACAGTGTCAGAGAGGGATCTGGCTGATCTTCAACTCCACTAAGTTCTCCCCAAGGTATAGCCATCCTTATCATCAAACCCTCTTTTCTGGTATTCTCTCAATCCAGTCTTTCATACTCTATTCCCCCACCATGTAATCTGCATCCTTTCATTTTTCTTTTCCACTTCCCTTACCACTGATCCCATCATTACCATATTTTCCTCATACCTTCTTCCCCTCGAAGTCGCTCAGCCTGTCCACGCTCAATCAAAGCCTCAGCCTCCTTCACAAATGCCACTAAACCCCCAAAAGGGGGAGACAGCAACTCTTCAATGAATTCCTGGAAAGACACAAACACATATACACAGGTGTCCTGGTGTCAGCAGATTTGCCCAATTCTGGCATCATGACTAATGTAGATCCATCTGAATGGCATCTTTCAGCTGCTGCAAAAGTTAAGGAAAATCCTCTATGGAGAAAAATATCCTCAATCCTAATTTTGGCCCATACAGTTCCCCTGGTTAAGATCAAACAATGAACTCAAAGATCACTAGACACAAAAGAAGGGCAGCTACCAAGAGAGTCAGCAGACACAATAAGCAATAGCTGCTGACCTTAAGAACTATCCGATACGGATAGCAGTTGTACTGTGTGCAATGTCTAAAGTTAAGGATAGGCCGGGCACAGTGGCTCACGCCTGTAATCCCAGCACTTTGGGAGGCTGAGGTGGGCAGATCACCTGAGGTCAGGAGTTCAAGACCAGCCTGGCCAACATGATGAAACCCCATCTCTACTAAAAATACAAAAATTAGCTGGGCATGATGGTGGATGCCTATAATCCCAGCTACTCGGGAGACTGAGGCAAGAGAATCACTTGAACTTGGGAGGCGGAGGTTGCAGTGAGCAGAGATCATGCCACTGCACTCCAGCCTGGATGACAGAGCAAGACTCCGTCTCAAAAAAAAAAAAAAAAAAAAAGGATGTAAAAATGACCAATTAGTAAGAACTATGAGGAATGAACAGACTTGAAAAAAGGAAATTTTTTTAGATATGAAAAGCCAGTTTTAGAAAGTCAACAGATTAACAAGAATTATACAATGAATTAGAATTTATAACTGAAGAAAGGACTCAGAATGTAGCACAGACAGAAGATGGAAAATTTTGAGATAGTAGGAGATACAGAAATCTAATTAATGTATCTAGGCACTGAAATTGATGGCTACTAACATCACAAAGAGAGCCAAGAAGACATTATGTGCTTCCTGATGGAAATACATACCACTACCTCTCAAATATCCCTGTAGAAAAAAAAAAACTAATTTAAATCTGACCAAGCCTTTCCATCTAATTACACACTTATGAGAAATACACCAGACAGAGGAAGTTTGGCCACACCATGGAATGCAGTCAGCAAAATCTAAACTGTACATCATTCTAGATGACAAATGACTCAATAACTCAGTTTCTTCCAAAAATAAATTGCAGAGGAGATGGAAGGGAAATCTATAGACTAAAAAAAGACACATATATGGACTTTATATGGATCCTGATTTGAACCATAAAAATCATTTATGAAGGCCAGGCACAGTGGCTCATGCCTGTAATCCCAGCATTTTGGGAGGCTGAGGCGGGTAGATCACCTGAGGTCAGGAGTTTGAGACCAGCCTGGCCAACATGGTGAAATCCTGTCTCTACTAAAAATACAAAAATTAGCTGGGCGTGGTGGTGGGTGTCTATAATCCCAGCTACTCAGGAGACTGAGGCAGGAGAATTGCTTGAACCCGGGAGGCAGATGTTGGAGTGTGCCAAGATCGGGCCATTGCACTCCAGCCTGGAGGCAACAAGAGTGAAACTGTGTCTCAAAAAAAAAAAAAAAAAAATCACTTATGAAATAACTGGGAAAATCTGAATAGTTATTTTAGATAAGATAATTTTTTTAAGTGTGATAATGTATTGTAGTTTTTAAAACCATCTGTTACCAGGTGTGGTGGCACACACCTGTAGTCCCAGTTACTTAGGAGGCTGAGGTGGGAGGATCACTTGAGCCCAGGAGTTCGAGGCTGCAGGGAGTTATATCATGCTACTACACTCCAGCCTGGGCACTACAGCAAGGCCCTATCTCAAAAATAATTTTCTTAATAAAAATAACATTCTGATACAGATGAAGTGATAATATTCATCTGTATATGTATAAGATTTAATTCAAAGTAACTGGGGGACACAGAAGGAGGATAAGCAATAGGTGTTGGTATAGATGAAACAAAACTGTCCGTGAACTGCTATACACCGAATATCACTGATGATGCCTGGGGGTTCACTATGCTTTTCTAATAGCATAGTGAAATTTCCCATAATAAAATGTTAATTTTTGTTTAATGTAAAAGGGAGATTCAAACAAAAAAACTCATAAAAGCAAACAACCCAGACAGAAAGATCTGGTAAGAAGAAAGTGAAATTATTATTCCATTTAAAAATAAATTATTAATACTAAAATTAGCCAGGTGTGGTGGTGCATGCCTGTAACCCCAGCTACTCAGGGAGACTGAAGCAGAAGAATCACTTGAACCGGGAGGCAGAGGTTGTAGTGAGCCAAGATCATGTCACTGCACTCCAGCCTGGGCGACAGAGCAGCAACTTGTCTCAGTAAATAAATAAATAAATAAATAAATAAAAATTGTATCTTTTCTATTCTTCCCTCAAAATATTCACTTATATCCACTGAGGGTGTCAAATAACTAATATGCTGCAAGGAAGGATCTTTCTATAATCAAGGCATCTTTGTGATGTGATTTTGGACAGAGATTAAATAACCAAATTCAACCTATTACAGTTGCCTAAATGCAGTCTCACACACACATATACAAACAATAATGTAGCAGTGTACGGTGGGGCACAGGGAGTAGACTTGCCAAAGAAAAGTTGAACTAACAGTGATGACCCCTGCTAGGCAGGAGCCATAAATTATATAATGTGTTGTAAGCATGATATATACACCTGATTTTGAAGACTTCATCTTAGAATAAATTTTAAGTATATCTTTTTTTTCTTTTTTTTTTTCGGAAACAGGGTCTTGCTCCATCACCCACGCTGGAGTGCAGTGGCACAATCACAGCTCACTACAACCTCAACTTTCCTGGCTCAGTGATTATCCCACCTCAGCCTCCTGAGTAGCTGGGACTAACAGGCATGTGCCAACATGTCCCACTCATTTTTTTTTTATTTTTTGTAGAGATGGGGTTTCACCATGTTGTCCAGGCTGGTCTCAAACTCCTGGGCTCAAGCGATCCTCCCTGCCTTGGCCTGTGCTGGGATTACAGGTGTGAGCCACCGTGCTGGCCTCAGTACTATTTTTTATTGATTATATGTTGAAATAATAATATTTTGGATGTAGTGGTTTAAAAAATTATTTCATCTGTTTCTCCTTACTTTTTAATGTAGCTTCTAGAAAATTTAAAATTATTTAAGTGGCTCACATTTGTGGCATGCATTATATTCCTATAGGAGTACTGGTCTGGACTTAGATGAACTTTAAGCTTTCTATAACGCAAAAGAGAACACCTTGATAGCAGAGGAGTGACCAGAGGAAACAGTGCACTGGGCTTTAACAATCTTTCCTACGTAGTATGAAGCAGCAGCTGACCAAAAAGGACCAGAAGCATTGATGGCAGCTGGCGAGTCTCTATACCTGGCAAATCCAGTGACAAATCCCAGCTGCTCTCAGCAGAAACAACTGGTTTAAGTGCATCTTTGTGGGTGCCTTAATCTCCTGCAATGATCCCGCCTCAGCCTCCCAAGCAGCTAGAACTACAAATGCATGCCACTACGCCTGGCTTTTTTTTTTTTTTTTTTTTTTTTTTAAAGAAATGGGGTCTTAGCCGGGCATGGTGGCTAACACCTGTAATCCCAGCACTTTGGGAGGCCAAGGCGGGCAGATGACGAGGTCAGATCAAGACCATCCTGGCTAACATGGTGAAACCCCCCGTCTCTACTAAAAATACAAAATACAAAAAAAATACCGGGCATGGTGCTGGGCACCTGTAGTCTCAGCTACTCGGGAGGCTGAGGCAGGAAGAATGGCATGAACCCGGGAGGCGGAGCTTGCAGTGAGCTGAGATTGCACCACTGCACCACTCCAGCCTGGGAGACAGAGGGAGACTCTGTCTAAAAAAAAAAAAAAAAAAAAGAAATGGAGTCTCACTATGTTGCCCAGGCAGATCCCCTCAAACTCTCAAACTCCTGGGCTCAAGAGATTCTCCCATCTCAGCATCCCAAAGTGCTGGGATTACAGGCATGAGCCACAGCACCAGCAACAATTCTTTCAAAATCAGGAATATGAAAAGGGTTCTCACTATCACCTTTCTGTTCAACTTCTAAACATCATCCTGGGAGTGTTAGCCAGTAGAATAAGAAATCAAAAACATAAGATGTTAAAGACAAAAAACTAGAAAAGATTTATTTATTCCTAGTAGAACTAAACATACGTATTATACCCACCTAAAAATATGGCAAACGACTTACAGTGTCTTTGTGCTGAAAATTTAAAAAGGTTATCAAAAGACATTAAAAGACTCTCTTAAAAATTGGAGGAGGAGGCCAGGTGGAGTGGCTCACATCTGTAATCCCAGTTTAGTGAGACACTACAAAAAATTAAATTTTTAAATTTTGTATTCTCTACAGAAAAAAAAAAGCCAAGTGTGGTGCTGTGTGCCTCTAGTCCTAGCTACTCGGGAGGCTGAGACAAGAGAAGCACTTGAACCCAGGAATTCAAGGCTGCAGTGAGCTATGATTGTGCCACTGCACTCCAACCTGAGTGACAGAGCAAAACCTGTCTCAAAAAAAAAAAAAAAAAAAAAAGGATAGGGAGCCCATGATCATGATCATGGATAGGAAGTTTCAATATCATAAAGTATCAATTCTTCCAAATTAGTCTATAGACAATGTAATTCTAATCAAAATCCTTAAAGACTTTTTAAAATGTGAAAACTTTTCGAGACCAGCCTAGCCAACACGGTGAAACCCCATCTCTACTAAAAATACAAAAATTAGCTGGGTGTGGTGGCACATGCCTGTAATCCTAGCTACTCAGGAGGCTGAGGCAGGAGAATCACTTGAACCCAGGAGGCAGAGGTTGCAGTGCGCTGAGATTGTGGCCCTGCACTCCAGCCTGGGTGACAAGAGTGAGACTCTGTCTAAAAAAAAAAAAAAAGAAAAGAAAAAAAAAGAAAAGAAAAAGATTTTCTATAAATGGTTCTGGGCCAACCATCCACATAAAAAAAAGAAATAGATCCCTACCTCACATCACACACAAAAATTAATTCCAAGTAAATTTGAGACTTAAAGGTAACAAAAAAATTCTCTCTATATATTTGTTTATTCTTTAATTTTATTATTATTTTTTGAGACAGGGTCTCACTCTGTTGCCCAGGCTGGAGTGCAGCAGCACAAACAGGGCTCACTGCAGCCTCGACCTCCCAGGCTCAAGTGATCCTCCCACCTCAGCTACCTGAGTAGCAGAGACTACAGGTGTGTGCCACTATGCTTGGCTAATATATTTTTTTAATTTTTTGTAGAGATGAGGTCTCACTATACTGCCTAGGCTGGTCTCAAACTCCTGGCTTCAAGCAATCTTCCTGCCTTGGCCTCCCAAAGTGCTGGGATTACAGGCTTTAGCCACTGCACCTGGCCAAAATTCTACAATATTAAGAAGAAAATGTAGCATAATATTTTTCTGGCCTTGGAGTAATAAGGAATTTCATTTTTTTTTTTTTTAAACGGAGTCTCACTCTATCACCAGTCTGGAGTGCAGTGGCACGATCTTGGCTCACTGCATCCTCCACCTCCCTGGTTCAAGTGATTCTCCTGCCTCAGCCTCATGAGTAGCTAGGACTACAGGTACGCATCACCACGCCCAGCTAATTTTTTTGTATTTTTAGTAGAGACGAGGTTTCACCATGTTGGCCAGGATGGTCTCGATCCCGTGACCTCGTAATCCACCCGCCTCAGCCTCCCAAAGTACTGGGATTACAGGCGTGAGCCACCACACCCAGCCCAGGAATTTCTTAAACAGGACAAAAATAGTCAGGCGTGGTAGATGGTGGCTGTAAGCCCAGCACTTTGGGAGGCTGATGCGGGAGGATCACTTGAGGCCAGGAGTTTGAGACCAGCCTGGGCAACATAGTGAGACTCTGTCTCTACAAAACAACAACAACAACAAAAATTAGCTGGGCATATGGCACACACCTGTAGTCCTAGTTACTTGGGAGGCTGAGGGAGGAGGGTTGCCTGAGCCCAGGAGGTTGAGGCTACAGTGAGCCATGATCACACTACTGCATTCCAGCTTGGGTGACAGAGCAAGACTGTTACTAAAAACAAAGACATAAAAATGAAGGACAGATAAATTCAATCATATTAAAATTACAAATTTCTTTAATCAAAAAGCAACATTAAAAAAACAAAGGCTGGACGCGGTGGCTCATGCCTGTAATCCCAGCATTTTGGGAGGCTGAGGCGGATGGATCACCTGAGGTCAGGCGTTCAAGACTGGCCTGGCCAACATGGCAAAACCCATCTCTACTAAATATACAAAAATTAGCCGGGCGTGGTAGCACACGCCTGTAATCCCAGCTACTCAGGAGGCTGAGAAAGGATAAGTGCTTGAACCCGGGAGGCAGAGGTGCAGTGAGCTGAGATCACACCATTGCACTCCAGCCTCGGCAACATGAGTGAAACTCCATCTCAAAAAAAAAAAAAAAAAGGTGCAAGGATTTCTTGAGCCCAGGAGCCTGGGCAACACAGAAAGACCCTCATCTCACCAAAAAAAAAAAAAAAAGTAAAAAGATACATACTAAAAGATAATCTGTAACCTACGTATAATCAACAAGATTAGTATGTAGATGATGCAAAGAACTCTTATAAATAAAAAATACTAGCAGACTTATTTTTTTCTTTATTTTTTGAGAGAGTCACGCTCTGTAACTGAGGCTGGAGTGCAGTGGCATAATCTTGGCTCACTGCAACCTCCGCCTCCCAGGTTCAGCGCCCCTGAGGAGCTGGGACTACAGGCATGCGCCACTATGCCTGGTTAATTTTTGTACTTCTAGTAGAGACAGGGTTCTGCCATGCTGGCCAGGCTGGTCTTGAATTACTGGCCTCAACTGATCCATCCGCCTCAGCCTCCCAAAGTGCTGGGATTACAGGTGTACACCCTGCCCAGCCACAAGCCGATTTTTAAAAGGTCAAATGCTATGACAGCCATTTTACAGGAAAAAAAAAAATTGTATAGTTGTGGTGACGCTCCTCACACAGAGCACCAGCTTCAGGGAGTCTGTCCCTTGCAGACCCCTGACCCGGCAACGGATGAATGAGGTACACTGACACACAGATACTCTGCTTTGCCAGTCCAGCTGAGTGTGTCCAGGCTGTTTACAGACTCCCTGAAGAGTACTGTAAACAGTTGCAATGGCGGCCCTGACCAGCTAGTGAGACTCGCATTTATTCAGTAAAGATTAATTGACAAAGACTTGAGTCAACACCACTACGGGGTAACTGACATTGTGGACTTCCTGAGTAGAAAGCAGTTAAGCACCTGCGGTACATCAAAGATTAGTCTTAAGACCATATGAGTAAACAAGCTACCTAGATAACTTCCCCACATTCCTTTGTTATTACTCTAATTTATTTAACTAAAGGTAAAGATCAGGTCGCCTTCAACCATATCTATTACTGAAGTTATGCAAACTCTTAGGCCTTCCAAGAGGGTTTGTGGCTATCATCACTAATATTTTTCCCACCAGCCTGACTGAACCCCTACATATAGTTACTAAACATTTGAAATGATGCTCAATGTTATTAGTAATCAGAAAATTACAAATAAAACCCACTGAAATACAGGTTGAGTATCCCTAATCCAATAATCTGAAATCCAAAATGCTCCAAAATCCGGAAGTTTTTGAGTATCAACATGATGCTCAAAGGTAATGCTCTTTGGAGCATTTCAGATTTCAGATTTTCAGACTACAGATGCTAACCAGTAAAAATAATGCAAGGAATCCAAAATCCGAAAAAAATCAAAATCTGAAACATTTCTGATCCCGAGCATCTTTAGCAGCATCCTTGGTCTCTAAAAAAAAAAAGAAAAAAAATGGCAAAGACCTGATAATACCACATGTTGGAGAAAATGTGGCTCAGTAGGAATTCTTACATATTGCTGGTGAGAAGGAACTACTTAGGAAAACAATTTATCATTGTCTCATAAAGACTAATACTGCATATCTTATTAGCAGCAAGACTACTGTCCTAGGTTTATACCCAAGAGAAACTTTTGATGAAGATAATCAATATCTATGTGTGCTAAAAGACATGATTATTCATAAAACAATGCTCACAGAAGCAAGAAACTGGAAACAATCCATTTATAGAATATGTTTAATCACACAAGTCATATATGGCAGTGAAAAGGAATGAGCTATAGCCATATGCAATAACATGACAATATTAGAAAAATTATGCATGAAAAAAATCCTGTGATTCTGGGGTTTTTTGTTTTGTTTTGCTGTTTGAGACAGGGTCTTGCTGTGTTGCCAAGGGTAGACTACAATGTCATGATCATGGCTCGCTGTAATCTCGAACTCCTGGATTTCAAAGTGGTCCTCTCGCCTTTGTCTCCCAAATAGCTAGAACTACAGGTGCATACCACCATGCCTGGCTTTTTTTTTTTTCTTTTTTGCCTTGCTGTTTTCTTGCCTTGTCTCATCAGTGTTTATATCATTAAAAAATAAAACAACCCAGTGCAGTGGCTGTTTTGTTTTTTAATGATATAAACACTCACAAACACACCACACAATCCAAGTAGCAGCAGCTTGGCAAAAGTCACCATCAAACTATGAAATCCTACTGAAACCATCCCTGTGCTTCTCGTGCACAGGTACTCGTTGATCTAAATGTTGCATTTATTGTGTTCTTGCTTTTTTCCCCCTTTTTTTGTGTGTGTTCTTGCTTTTAAAAGTAAAGCTATATATATGCCAAAACAAAAATTCGTTGTTTTCCAGTGTCATTAAAAACAGAATCTAGGCCGGGTGCAGTGACTCATGCCTATAATCCCAGCACTTTGGGAGGCTGAGGCGGGTGAATCACCTGAGGTCAGGAGTTTTAAGACCAGCTGGGCCAACATGGTGAAACCCCATCTCTACTAAAAATACAAAAATTAGCTGGACATGGTGGCACGTGCCTGCAGTCCCAGCTACTCAGAGGCTGAGGCAGGAGAATCACTTAACCTGGGAGGCGGACGTTGCAGTGAGCTGACATCGTATCGCTGCACTCCAGTGTGGGAGTCAGAGTGAGACTCCGTCTTTAAAAAAAAAAAAGAATCATAAGATTTTTCACTTGAGGGCAGTAATTCAAGACCAGCCCAGGCAACAGTTGTCTTTTGTAAAGACAACTGTCTTTACAAAATTAAAAAATTAGCTGGCACACACCTACAGTAAACTCATTTTTGGTAAAAGTGCCAAGAACATACACTGGGGAAAAGATAGTCTCTTGGTCAGGCACGGTAGCTCACGCCTGTAATCCCAGCACTTGGGAGGCCCAGGTGGGAGGATCACTTGAAGTCAGGAGTTCAAGACAAGCCTGGCTAACATGGTGAAATCCCGTCTCTACTAAAAACACAAAAACTAGCCCGGCGTGGTGGCAGGCATCAGTAATCCCAACTATTCAGGAGGCTGAGGCAGGAGAATCACTTGAACCAAGGAGGCAGAGGTTGCAGTGAGCCAATACTGCACCACTGCACTCCAGCCTAGGTGACAGAGCAAGACTCCGTCTGAAAAAAAAAAAAAGAGAGATAGTCTCTTCAATAATGGTGCTGGGAAAACTGGCTATCCATTACACAGAAGAATGAAACTATACCCCTATCTCTCGCCACATATGAAAACCAAATCAAATGGATTAAAGACTTAAATCTAAGACCAAATTATGAAACTACTACAAGAAAACACTGGGGAAAATCTCCAAGACACGGGTCTGGGCAAAAATTTCTTGAGCCATACCCCACAAGCACAGGCAACCAAAGCAAAAATGGCCAAATGGGATCACGTCAAGTTACAAAGCTTCTGCACAGCTGGGCACGGTGGCTCACGCCTGTAATCCCAGCACTTTGGGAGACAGAGCTGGGCAGATCACCTGAGGTCAGGAGTTTGAGACCAGCCTGACCAACATGGTGAAACCCCATCTCTACTAAAAATACAAAATTAGCCAGGCATGGTGGCACATGCCTGTAATCACAGCTACTCAGGAGGCTGAGGCAGGAAAATTGCTTGAACCTGGGAGGCGGAGGTTGCGGTGAGCTGAGATCGCACCATCGCACTCCAGCCTGGACAACAAGAACAAAACTCCATCTCAAAAAAAAAAAAAAAAAAAAAAAAAGCTTCTGCACAGCTAAAGAAACAATAAAGTGAAGAGACAAAGAATATTTGCACATCCCATCTGCCAAGGGATTAATAACCAGAATATATAAGGGGCTCAAACAACTCTACATGACAGTCTAATAATCCTATTAAAAAATGGGCAAAAGATTTGAATAGATATTTTTCAAAAGAATACAAATGGCAAACAGACATATATGAAAAGGGGCTCACCATCACTATTATCAGAGAAATACAAATCAAAACTACAATGAGATCTCATCTCACTCCAGTCAGAATGGCTTTTATCCAAAAGACAGGCAATAGCAATGCTGGCAAGGATGTGGAGAAAAGGGAACCCTTATACACTGTTGGTGGGAATGTAGATTAGTACAAACACTTTGGAGAACAGTTTGAAGGTTGCTCAAAAAACTAAAAGTAGAGCTACCATATGATTCAGCAATCCCACTGCTGGGTATATACCCAAAAGAAAGGAAATCAGTACATTGAAGAGATATTTGCACTCCCATGTTTGTTGCAGTATTGTTCACAATAGCTAAGATTTGGAAGCAACCTAAGTGTCCATCAACAGATGAATGGGTAAAGAAAATGTGGGATATATACACAATGGAGTACTACTCAGCCATAAAAAAGAATGAGACTCAGTCATTTGCAACAACATGCATAGAATTGGAAATTATTATATTAAGTGAAATAAGCCAGGCACAGAAAGACAAACGTCATGTGTTCTCACTGATTCGTGGAATCTAAAAATCAAAACAATTGAACTCATGTACTCATGTACGAAGAGAGTAGAAGGATGGCTACCAGAGGCTGGGAAGGCTAGTGGAAGGCTGGGGAGAAGGTGGGGATGATTAATGGGTACAAACAAAAATAGGAAGAATAAATAAGACCTACTATTTGACAGCACAACAGGGTGACTATAGTCAATTATAACTTAATTGTACATTTTAAAATAACTTAGTGTAATCGGATTGTTTATAACACAAAGGATAAATGCTTGAGAGGATAGATAAAGAAAAAAATAAAATTCATTCTAAAAATAAAAAATTAGCTAGGCATGGTGGCTCGCACCTGTGGTCCCAGCTACCCAGGGGGCTAAGGTAGAAGGATCACTTAAGCCCAGGCTGTTGAGGCTGCAGTGAGCCATGTTCATGCCACTGCACTCCAGCCTGGGTGACAGAGTGACACTTTGCCTCAAAAAAAAAAAAAAAAAAAAACCAAAGACAAAATAAAATAAAATAGACCAATAATGACAGTATGTTGTGAATCAAGAGTTACAGTAATTCCGCATACCTGAGATCCATTATGCCACTCCCTACACACACACACACACACACACACACACACACAGAGAGAGAGAGAGAGAGAGCTGAAAACAGCACAGAAGGCTGTCTCTTCCCTTTTCCCCACACCCCTACCTGTGTCCGAGCATTGAGCAGCTGCTGGAAGCTCTCAACCTCTTTGCTGTCATCTGCAGCCCGCTCCTAAGGGAAGACAAAGGGAAATGTCTAGTTTGGGGAAAGCAGTCCTTCACTTCAGGATGTCCCCTTCATTCCACACTTATTGTACTAAGCTGGACACTGTGCCAGACTCCAAGAGTAAAACACTGAACAAGACAGGCATCATCTCTGCCCTCACAGAGCTAACAGCAGTGGGGGAAACCGAATTTTCTGGGTAGGAAGGCAAGGAGAAGGAGCACCTATTACCATCAGCACACCCAGCATCATGTCATAGTTGTTGATCAGAAACACAAGCTGCTCCTTCCTTGAGGAGAACTCAGCTGCCACTCGGAGGACAAAATTCTCCACCTCCACCTGAAAAGGCAGAGAGGAAGAGGTGACACCAGAAAGCAAGGTCATCTGGGCCCCATCTGGCTCCTCCTCAGACTCCACCCACTGGAAGCAGCCCTGCTGCTGGGAAGTGTCTCCTGTCCGACCCTCACCTGCAGCTGTCCCAGCAATTGCATGGTCCGTTCATTAGGAATTGTCTGGTTGATACTGACAAGAGCGGAGGAGAACTCTGCATAGCGGCGTGTGATCTAGGAGAGAGTGGGAAGGAAAATCACACCCACCTCCTGGCCCAACCAACACAACCTCCCAACTTCCTTAGCCAACCCACCTCCATGTGATGTGACTCTACCTTCAGTCCCTCCTACCCACAGTGCACCACTCACCATGAGTTTCACCACCCTCCCAGAACACCTGCTCATAGCGTGGCCCATGACACAACTGTGACCTTGGCCAACCCCCACAATGATGCTTAGAGCCCTGCCTTTCAAGAACCCTTTGTTACCCTTGCCCTCCCTCACATAGTGGGGCCGAGTATCCAACCCCCCTAGGCGCTGGGGGTCAGTGCTTCGGACGCTCTGAACATTCATCTCCAGGATCAGTTCAAACCGTGGCCATAGCAAGGCAAGCACCTGTTCCCAGTACCTGTGGGCTTAATCAGAATCAGAGGTCAGCCAGCAAGGAATGTTGGAGGGGGATGGGAGGGAGTGGGGCATCATTCAGTTTAATGGTCAATAGCTAGTTGTGGGGGTTGGGGGGCAGTGGTTGGAGAAAGGTGAGTCAAAAAGCAGCACTACTGCCTCCGGAGCAAATGAATGGGAATAAAGGTTGATGATACCAGGTCAGTAGGAGTCTAAGGTCAGGGCAGAGTCATGCAAGACCAAGAGAGTTCGTGGCCTGTTGGGCATCAAGGACCAGAATTCAGTGACCTGTCCAGGGCAGGAACATCCCTCTTTGCTGCAATGTTACGGAACCGGAGAACAATGTGGATACAGAGAAAAACAGCAATGGCATCGTAGCAGTCAGCTAGATAAGAATCCAGGTGTTTCTGTGTGATTGGGGAACAAACAGAGGATTAAAAGAGAATGTCAGTTTGTTGTCCTCAGTGACTATGAACAAACGCATTTGTTTCTTTGGGGATGATGCACTGGACAGGACAGAAGGGAGAGACGTAAAATGGAACTGCCCCCTGCTTTCCTGTCCAGGATCTATGTTTTTGGCTTTTTTTTTGTTTTTTGAGATAGAGTTTCACTCTTGCCACCCAAGCTGGAATGCAGTGGCACAATCTCGGCTCACTGCAACCTCCGCCTGCCTCCCAGGTTCAAGCAATTCTCCTGCCTCAGCCTCCTGAGTAGCTGGAATTATAGGCGCCTGCCACCACGCCCGACTAATTTTTGTATTTTAGTAGAGATGGGGTTTCATCATGTTGGTCAAGCTGGTCTCGAACTCCTGACCTCAGGCGATCCGCCCACCTCAGCCTCCTAAAGTGCTGGGATTACAGGTGTGAGCCACTGCACCCGGTGTTTTCGGCTTTAGAGACAGGTTGTTTTGTCACCTAGGCTGGATTGTAATGGTACAATCATAGTTCACTGCAGCCTCAAACATCTGGGCTCAAGTGATGTTCCCACCTCAGCCTGCCAAGCAACTGGGACCA
Organism: Homo sapiens; assembly: GCF_000001405.40. Classification (NCBI taxonomy): domain Eukaryota; kingdom Metazoa; phylum Chordata; class Mammalia; order Primates; family Hominidae; genus Homo; species Homo sapiens. The sequence continues at coordinate 4,676,988 of NT_113891.3, forward strand.
TGGGTGTGTACCACCATGCCTGGTTAAGTTTATTTTTAAATTTTTTGTAGAGACAAGGTCTTGCCGCATTGCCCAGGCTGGTCTCGAACTCCTGGCCTCAAGCAACCTTCCTGCCTTGGTCTCCCAAAGTACTGGGATTGCAGGCATAAGCCACTGCACCTGGCCACACCAGGATCTATGATCACAAGCCTATCACAGCAGAGTTCAGGGCTGAGCTTGGGTCAGGGGTTTGAGCACCAAGATTTGGGGGACCCTCAGTTTTCACGTGCTATTGCCTGATTGTGGGTCAGCAGTAGGGGTAGTCTCAGGGACCCTACGCACTGAGGATTTCATGGGGGAGTAACACTGTGACAAGTCTAAGTAACAAGTTTTTTTTTTGAGATGGAGTCTCGCTCTGTCACCCAGGCTGGAGTGCAATGGCGCAATCTTGGCTCACTGCAATCTCCTCCTCCCAGGTTCAAGCAATCCTCCTGCCTCAGCCTCCCGAGTAGCTGGGATTACAGGCCGCGCACACCTGGCTAATTTTTGTACTGTTAGTAGAGACAGGGTTTCATCATGTTGGTCAGGCTGGTCTCAAACTCCTGACCTTGTGATCCTCCCGCCTCAGCCTCCCAAAGTGCTGGGATTACAGGCGTAAGCCACTGCACCTGGCTATTTTTTTTTTTTTTTTTTTTTGAGACAGGTCTCACTCTGGAGTGCATGGCTCACTGCAGCCTTGACCTCCTGGGCTCAAGCAATCCTTCCACCTCAGCATCTTTAGTAGCTGTGACCACAGGCACACATCAACACACACCCGGCTAATTTTTCATTTTTTGTAGAGATGAGGTTGTTGCCCAGGCTGGTCTCAAACTCCTGAGCTCAGGCAATCCTACTGCCTTGGACTCCCAAAGTGCTGGGATTATGGGTGTGCACTACCACGCCCAGCCAAGGCTTAGACATTTTAGAATGAGGCGATCCTGATTTCAGTTCTACCAGAGTCATGACCCCACTATGCTGCTGATGAAGACTGGGGACAAAGGTGTTGAATGGTACAGGAAACAGGAGTCTTACCAGGGTCATGCTGAGTGTACGGCCCATGACAGCATGGAACAGGTCGTGTGCAGCTGGGCCAGACACAACAAAAAATTCACAGATGAAAAGGTATTCGCGGCAGGAATTGTCTAGGAGGGCGTAGTGCTGGCTGCGGAAGAGGGCCTCAAATGGATACTGGGAGAGGAGGAGTAAAGAAGAAAAACAGAAGGGATGGACCCCAACACTGACTTCCCATGGATATGGCTGGAAAATCAGTAAACCTGAGTAATAAGAGCTAGGCAGACCCTTCGCATCTATCTAGGTCCGGGCTGTCTAAGAGCAAGCTGAATGGGCACTGAAAAGGTGGGGGAACATAGGGGTACAAAAAGGGCCTACACCCACCTGCTGTTGCTACTCCTGCATCCACCTCAACACCTGCCTCTGACTGTCATTCCCCTCATCCAGTCTCTCCCCTCTGCATGCCCTTAAGTCAATGGTTCCCAGCTCTTTTCACATCACAGCAGGCTGGAGTGATTGGAGAAGGCCACTCCCAAGTCTAAGGGGATTAAGACAGGGCCTGCAGGTTGGGAAGCTCTGCCCTGAGGTCTGGCCTTCCCTCCCCACCGTGCTCAGAGCCTCTTTCGTGACTGAAGCTTGTTCCTCCTCATACCCTCTGCTCTCCGCGCTGCGCTGTGTGAGGCACCAGGATGGGGGCCTCAAGTTCAGTGGGGGAGATGACAGAGCCGCGGGTTCCTAGGGTGAAAATGGTGTTCCTGCTGCGGAGCGATGGCTTTGAGAAGAATCGTAAGATGGGTCAGAGTCAGGGAAAACAATGAGACCATAACTGGGCCCAAAGACTCACTATCTGTGGGGACCCCAGACAGGCAGACGTGGCCTAGCCAGCCCTCTTTCCCAGTACTAGGGCCCCACGTGCTGACATCTGTGAATGGGCTTCAGGGTGTCTCTCCCTCCCTTGCAATCATATGCAAAACTATGTGTCAAAATAATGTGTGCATCTTTCTGGGGAGGGAGGCTATAGCTTTCATCACATTCTAAAAGGTTTCAGTCCCATAGGAAAAGGTAAGGAGCAGTGCATTGGTGGCTGGAGTCGAAAGTCCTCCCACTCTCAAGGCCTGGCATGAGGGTTCCCCAGTACTAGGATATCTTTCTTTGCTGTATCTTCCACACCCATTAGATCATCTTTCTCAGCGACTTCCTCATACTAAGGAAAGAGAAAAGAGAACTGATAACCGTCTCTTCCCACAACACAATAAAATATTCCTTGCCCAGGGATGTCCCCTCCTCCCAGTCCATGTGCCCAGGAATACCTCTCCCTCCTGACCTTACCTGCACCTTCATGAGCCGCCCCAGGTAAGAGCGGTAGTAAGACAGGTAAATCTTGCTCAGCGTCTCCACATATTCATCCCTGATCTCCTTTGCTGTTGCTCGTTCATTGCCCAGCAGAAACTGATAGAAGAACCTAGGGGGTCAGGAACATGTCAGTCTACCTGTCTCCCAAGAAACCAGATGCCCACACTAGGCCGCTCAAAAACTCAAAGGCCATCCCATGCACTTCCTTGGGGTTGTGACCTGTACTTCAGCAGGGCCGTCTGGGGGATCTGATAGTTGGTCATGGGTTTCCTGAAGGAATAAATCTTCTGGAGGATAAACTCTCGGATCTTCGTCACTGCCTAGATGTGGGGAACCAAACACAGGGCATGAAGCTGCAACCCTTTTGCTGTATGAGAGGAACTGGGGGAAGCAACAAATGGTAAACATAGGCAGAAGGGTGGTGAATATCTCTTTGGTATTTCTCAAGATTTTCAGGGAAACCCAGAGAGACAAGAATGGGGCTGCCCAGAAAAGGCAGGGTGAAGTCCCTGGAGACAGGCTACAGTGAGCTCTGCCAAGGAAATCCATAGTGAAGATCTTGGGAAGGCTGCTTCCAGTAGCCTCCAGGGTATCCATCCCTACTTCCCACCTTGACCCGGAGCCGATCGAGCACGCCTCTGACATCTGCGCAGGCTGCTGTGCCTCTAGCTTCCTGCTCTCTGACTGCGGCTGCCTTGGCATCCAGCTCCTGTAGCTGCTCCAAGAACCTGGGCTCTGTCACTGGAGCCTCCAGAATTGCCCTGGTTAGCAGGGAGGGGTGGGATGAGTTACAAGGGAGACCCAGACATCCCTAAACCAGACCCAGACCACACTCCTTACCTCCAGCCCCTGTCATCTCTACCACCTTGCATTGTACCATATAGTCAGGACACATGTACAAAGTTTTCTATTCCTGGACCTCCCCACTATACACCTGATCTTACATCATTCTTAATCTTAATCTTTGATGCCTAATGCATACCTAAAGAAATGGTGGTTAACCTGGCTACTAATTTCTAAAAAGCACTTAACCTGGAGCCAGGAGACCCATATGGTAAATAGGGTGGGTCACCCCAGCCCATCCACCTGCTATGGACATTATAACCCTTCAAACTGGTAACTCACGTGACCAGAGCAGAAGGCACCACCAGACCATCAACAAGCTCCCCAAGTTTCCCCCGAACTGCCTGGCGATTTCGAAGTCGAATGTTCATGGCTCCTGACTGTTCCTGCAGTGTCCGGATCTCAGAGCTGATGGAGCTGAGGTCACTCTGAAAAGCTCCCAACATCTGCTCCATTCGCTGTAGGGAGGGTAGATGTTGCCGGAGTGCTATAGGGTTTGTAGGGGATAAGTGGGCCACCAAAGACTCTTTGTGAAGTCTTCAGTATTTATCAGTCCTTGAGGGTGGCAGATGATGAGACACCCCAGATTATCAGGAAATAACATTAAATATGGCAGTAATAACAAAAAAGGCTCCTGAAGTCATCTTGAAAATGACCCTAACCTGTCCCCATCTTGAGGCTGATGACCTAAAAATGGCACCAGAGTCCATGATCTGGTTCAGAGTAGCTATTAGGGGTCACAGGTCATGATTACTAACCTCCAGGACAGCATCACAGGCTGTGATCTGGTTGTGTAGAGATGCTATATTCTCACTCTCTTGAATATCTGATCCACAAAAAGTCAAGGGGCCTCATGGTGAAGATGGGAGATCCTCAGATTTGTAGTACCTCTCCAATTTCTCTTTGAAGTGATAGAAACCTCAGAGATGTTGACCCCAGCTGGGACATCTGTACCACACGCCACAAAATCCCCATGTCAATAGCACCACCCCTTCCCTCTGCTGGAGGATACAATCCCGAATGGATTTCTGTTCAATCTGCTGTAGCTCCAGCTCAACTTGCTTTGAATAGTGACGGAGATCTACACCCTGGGAGAACATAAAGATGACAGGTCAGAAGGAAGTCTCAGTAAAGGGACACTGTAACAGAATCAGTGAAGGACTAAAGGGTCAGATACCAGGCTGATACAACAAAAGCAAGAGACTGTTGTTTTTCCTTTTGGGGTAGAATAGATAGAAGGGCAGATTAGTACAGGGGAAAGCCTCACCGTTTTAAGAGCTTCCTTTACTAACTCATCCTCCAGATTTGCCTGAATGTGAACTGGAAATAGAAGTTTATCATAAGGGTCCAGCTCCACAGCTCCCTCTCCCCACATTGAGTATCTGCACACCAATCCCTACCTTATTCCTTCCAGCCCCCATGCCTCTCAGATTACAGGTACTGCACCCACCCCATGCCATCGCTTACCATCCACTTCATCCAGGATGAATTCATCAGAAGTGATATCCAACTCCCCAAGTTGCAGTGGTTCCTGGAGCCCAGGACCACCCGCCTGGAAAGGGATAAGTTAATGGGAGTAGGGTACGGTGAAAGACAGAAAGAAAAAATATAATTGGATATCCCCAGTCCTTCAAGTGAGAAGGAGCTGCTTTTACTGGGAGCCACAGGTACTGCTTTGAAAAATTCTAAGAGTCTCACGTTGTACCCACTCTCCTATTTTGTGCTGATGGGTAAGGAATACGACAAGGAGTGAGACGATCCAGTGAGACAGTGGAGGTAGCCCAGCATGGTGGTGGGCTCCTTGTAGTCCCAACTACTTAGAAGCTGAGACGGGAAGATTGTTTGAGGAGATCAGGAGTTCAAGGTCAACCTGGGTAACACAGGGAAACCCGTCTAAAGAAAACAAAAAAAGGTAAAAGACAAGACAGTGCAGTGGAGGCCGGACGCAGTGGCTCACGCCTGTAATCCCAGCACTTTGGGAGGCCGAGGTGGGAAGATCACGAGGTCAGGAGATCGAGACCATCCTGGCTAACACAGTGAAACCCCGTCTCTACTAAAAAATACAAAAAATTAGCCGGGCGCGGTGGCGGGCGCCTGTAGTCCCAGCTACTTGGGAGGTTGAGGCAGGAGAATGGCGTGAACCCGGAAGGTGGAGCTTGCAGTGAGCCAAGATCGCGCCACTGCACTCCAGCCTGGGCGACAGAGCAAGACTCCGTCTCAAAAAAAAAAAAAAAAAAAAAAAAGTGCAGTGGAGATGACCGAATGAGGAAAGCTAGGAATTGCAGAGGATAGAGCAGAACTTGCACTTAAATTTAAGACCCTCAGACTCCTGCCATCTTGGGTGTTCTATCACACCTCTGGGGAACCCCAGGCTTTCTAGAAATGTCAAAACACATAGTGTTTACCTGCATGCCAGGTGCAATCTTACACATATTCATCTAATCCTAACGACGATGTATACAATAGGTTCTATCTTCCTCACCTTAAAGGTGTGAGAAATGATGGCACAGAGAAGCTGGTTAACTTGCCCAAGGGCACACAGCGTGTAAGTGGCAGAGATAGAACTCAGGCAGTCTGGCTTCAGAGGCCATGTTCTTAACCTTTACACTATACTACTTCGTGACTCTACCCCAAAATGTGGAGTGAAGTTGAAATTTTGTGCCCCAGAACATGAGTTTCAGCCACTAGGGTCCCGCTCAGGGTCGGGTCTGATCACAGGGAAGGGTACGGGGAGCCAAACAGGTAATATCACGGGTAGCAGCCAAGTTCCCACCCTTGTGCCTAAACCCAGCTCAGGTCTTTCTGAAGCTAGGAGCACCGGAACTACGGAGGAGAAACAGCTCCGCGCTCTCACCAGCGGGCCCTCTTCCTCCTCCATATCTGAGGTCCCAGCCCGCAACACCAGTTCCCGGGCCGCAGCCGCCATGGTCGCAGCGGCGGCCATTCCCCGCAGCCTCACTTCCGGCAACTGTCAGTCCCGGCGAGTCCGTTCCCCGGAGTGGAGCTACAAGTCCCAAAGGGTCTTCCTCAGCGCGAAATCGTTCCCAGATATTTGAGTTAAGTTGTTTGACTCCAGCTGTCCCCTTTCAGCTCTAACCACTTCACCCAACTGCAAATGGAAATATGGAAGTCTGAAACACAAACTAGCCCCGGAACCTTCGCTGTTCTCTTACCTATGAACCTTACGAACTGTAAAGAAAGGCGCACCGGAAGTTGTGGTACCCAAGCCATACTCTCATAAATCCAGCCAGGTCGCGCTGAAACAGTTTCCGGAAGCACTTCTCCTAGATCGCACCGCCTCTTCCTCCTGGAAGCTATATAATGATATCGCGTCACTTCCGCTCTCTCTTCCACAGGAGGCCTACACGCCGCCGCTTGTGCTGCAGCCATGGTAAGACTGGAATCCGTGCCGTGATCCAGCGGCATCGCAGCTCGGGCAAGGAAAGCCGGCTGTCAGGGTTCTGGAAACGTCCTGCCCTGAGGGCCTGCGACTTTCTGTATGGAGCCTTGGATCGCGTCCCTGGAAAGGGACACCAAAGATTTCCAATTCCGGAGAGCGGGCCCGAGGAAGGGTCACTGCTCGGGCGCACGAAAGCTGTCTAAGGCTTGGGCGTATATGGGGAACTCTGGCTTTTGCCACGCACTTTTGGGAATGGGCAGGAGACCTGCTTCCTCTCTCCAGAGGTTGCATTTTCCCAAGCTTGAACGCTTCATGTGCCTACTCTGCAGGACTGAGGAGTTTGCTCTGTGGTGTGAAAACCTAAGGAATGGGGGGCGGGTGTCTTGCCACTTGTGTGACAGGCTTAACCTTTTTGTATGAAGTTCGTTTGCCTTATCGGCCTTACTGTTTGATAGTTTACTGTGTCTGATTTCTTCCCCCGTACTTTTTCAACTAGTCTCTAGTGATCCCTGAAAAGTTCCAGCATATTTTGCGAGTACTCAACACCAACATCGATGGGCGGCGGAAAATAGCCTTTGCCATCACTGCCATTAAGGTAAGTGAAGTAGGGTAAGGAATAGGGAATGTAAATGAGAATTGGGTTGTGAAGACATAAGCAAAAATGAAGCAAGGCTGGGGAGACTTGAGTCTCATCCAGATCACCTTGACTGCTGGATTAAGAAAAGAAAGTGGTTTAGGGAGAGACTGACCCCTTTAGCATTTACCACAGAAAATAAGTGATTAAAGCCAAGATAGTGGTCTAAGGTCAAGCCAAAACATTTCACCTGGGGAAGTGGGGAGGAGGTATGGTTGCTCACCCGAATTCGCTAAGATTTTCCTGAACCACGAGCTTGTGAGATTTCTTCTAGATTCGGTTTCTTTACCCATCCCACCATCATAACAGCAACCCTTCCTGCGAAATTTATATTCCCTGAGAATTGGAGGATTATTGGGCATCTTGAGGGATAAGTAGAAATACCAACAGATAAAAAGTGTGAAGAAGCCTGTAGATGGAGGGTGGAAGAAGTCTGAGTGGGACATTTACTCAGATGAGCCATAATTGACACTCCTTTCCTGTCGAAGTGTGAAGGAGTACATCCATCTTTCTTTGGCTTTTAAGAATCGAATCAATGAATGCAAGAATATTATTTCACTTGAGTATTTCTCTCCACAAACCTAATGAATTCTTGGCTTTCTAGATACATAACGTTCTTTTTTTTTCCCTTAAGTCAGAATGTGTAGTTAGTTGTGGAAATAGCCTACCAGTATGTGTCCATGCGTGCAGGGCTAGGCCTGTCTTCTTGGCTTCTGTTGCATGGTAGGTACTTAGGCGACGTTAGGGAATGGATAGTAGTAGGGATACTGTTGGCTCTGTTGAGGAATTTGTAGAGGGAAATTCCTTCTGTTGGGTGCTCTGTGAAACTAATAAGGCAGTGTGAAATACTGTACTTATTTCAGAGACCGGCTGTGAGGCTTAAGTAGAGGTGCAGCATTCATAAGTGTAATAGAGAATAACCTTCATGGATGTATCTAACTAAAAATTAGAAATCTTATTTCATCTATATCTCTTCCCACACCCATTTTGAAGTAAATCTTTTCACTTGTAAACATATAATTAAATTTGAGGCTTAGTGCAGTGGCTCACTCGGAGGCTGAAGTGGGCGGATCCCCTGAGGTCAGGAGTTCGAGACCAGCCTGGTCAACATGGTGAAACCTCGTCATTTAATTAATAAATTTGAAAGACCCTGCTCTCTTCTGAATCAACCTAATAATTTGACCCTTGGTCATGTTTATTTATTTATCCCGAGACAGAGTCTCACCCCGTCACCCAGGCCGGAGTGCAATGGTGCAATCTTATCTCACTGCAACCTCAGCCTCCCAAGTAGCTGAGATTACAGGCACACGCCCAGCTAATTTTTGTATTTTTAGAAGAGATGGGGTTTCACCATGTTGGTCAAACTGGTCTTAAACTTCTGACCTCAGGTGATCCACCCACCTCAGCCTCCCAAAGTGCTGGGATTATAGGCGTGAGCCACTGCACCCAGCCACATTTATTTTTTGAGACTGTCGCCCAGGCTGGAGTGGCGGAATCACTCTTCACTGCAGCCTCGACCTCCAGGGCTCAAGTCAATCCTCCTACCTCAACTTTCCAAGTAGTTGGGGCTACAGGTGTGCACCACCACATCTGGCTAATCTGGATCTTGCTGTGTTGTCCAGGCTGGTCTTGAACTCCTGGGCTCAGTGATCCTCCAGCCTCAGCCTCCTAAAGTGCTGGGATTACAGGCATATAGGCATGAGCCACGGTGAAGCCAACCCTTGATCTCTTTCTTGCAGATAGGAACTGCCATTTGTTTTAGTTTCCTGGAGCCTACTGTAACAAGTTCATATAAACTAAGCAGAAAATTACTCTTGGCGCTGGAGGCACTTAAGAATCCTACCTTGCCTCTTCCTGTCTTCTGGTGGTTGTCAGTAATCCTTAGTGTTCCTTGGCTTGTAGCTGCATTACTCCAATCTGTTGCTGTCATCTCATGGTCCTCTTCGTGTCTCTCTCATGATTTGTCATTGGATCTAGAGCCCACCCTAATCAAATATAACGTCATTTTACCTAATTATTTCCGTAACGACCTTATTTCCAAATAGGGCCACATTCTGATGTTCTAGTTGGACAAAATGAGGGGCAGGGCTCAGTATTCAGTTCCTCCTTCACTCTCCAAATCACTTTGGTTCATGAGTTCAGATGGCATGGGTGCTAGTGCTGGTGTTGATGTGATGCTACCAATGTAAGCATTAGTTTCTTTTTATAATAACTTGGGCAGTCAGTTCTGGGCACTGACAAAATTGAGTTTGTGATCTTGGAATACTTTGATTATGGGGATACAGTGATTTGCCTAAATAATTGTGACCCTTAGAGATTCTGAGGAACTGACAGCCCAATACCTTAATCAAAGCCTGTAACTCATAAGACCCTGGTTTACTGCATCAGCTTGGAGTGGCAGGCCCCTTGTTCTCCTAAATGCAAGAATCAGAAGGCACTTAGTGACAACTACATATGCTGAGCAATGGGGGAAAAAAAAGATACTGCCTGCTTTCAAAGGGTTGTCTGTAATACTAAATTCTGTGTTCATGATTCAGTCATACCCCTGAACAAAGTTACTTTTTTCTTTTTTTGAGACGGGGTCTCACTGTCGCCCAGGTTAGAGTGTGGTTGCGTGATCTTGGCTTGCTGCAACCTCCACCTCCTAGGTTCAAGCTATTCTGCTGCAGCCTCCCAAGTAGCTGGGATTACAGGCACCTGCCACCATGCTCAGCAACTTTTCTTGTATTTTTAGTAGAGACAGGGTTTCACCATGTTGGCCAGGCTGGTTTTGAACTCCTGCCCTCAATGTCATCTGCCCACTTGGGCCTCCCAAAGTGCTGGGATTACAGGCGTGAGCCACTGCGACCGGCCCAAAGTTAACCTTCTGTCGAACGGTTTATATCTGGAAAGGTGGGTGAGGAAAGGGTGACCTAGGGGATTGCAAAATAGATTATTGCAGATCCTACCTTTGTGAGCTTTTTGAATGAGGCTATAAAGGAATTTAAAAATCAGATTCAACACTAATTCCGAAACCCCTCACTTCATTCAGGGTGTGGGCCGAAGATATGCTCATGTGGTGTTGAGGAAAGCAGACATTGACCTCACCAAGAGGGCGGGAGAACTCACTGAGGATGAGGTGAGGACAAGGAAGGGGGCTGGGGGTGGGGTCAGCCTCAGAAAGGGGTCCATCTAGATCTGACCTTGGTCTGCCTGCCAGGTGGAACGTGTGATCACCATTATGCAGAATCCACGCCAGTACAAGATCCCAGACTGGTTCTTGAACAGACAGAAGGATGTAAAGGATGGAAAATACAGCCAGGTGTGTACTGAAATGAGGGCAGGATTAGAGGAAGGGTGGAGGGTCCTAACAGAATTGGGCATAGGAGGTCAGGGGATAAAACATCCCTTGCCCCCTCCTCTGAATCCAGGTCCTAGCCAATGGTCTGGACAACAAGCTCCGTGAAGACCTGGAGCGACTGAAGAAGATTCGGGCCCATAGAGGGCTGCGTCACTTCTGGGGGTGAGTGGGGGGTCTCATCTCCCTGCCTACCTCGACTCAGCATTCCTCCTACTCGCTCTTCTTTTTCCCCAACCTTTTGTTTCTGCTGTGCATGACCTGTGACTCTTCTCTTTTTACCTGCAGCCTTCGTGTCCGAGGCCAGCACACCAAGACCACTGGCCGCCGTGGCCGCACCGTGGGTGTGTCCAAGAAGAAATAAGTCTGTAGGCCTTGTCTGTTAATAAATAGTTTATATACCTATGGCTTCCTGTCCTTTCTGTCCATTCTAATAGGGAATGTTAAAGTGCTGGGTCCTTTTTCCATTTAGAGCTGCCCTACTCAGTTGCCCACACAGTGCTATTAGTTTTAGCAGTGGTGATGCTGCAGACCCCCCAGTCTCCCTATATGTAGCTAGTGATGTCCCTCTCTGTAAAGAGAAATGTGAGGGTAAAACAGTTCAGCCTTGAGGGGCTGACCCAGACCAGTTTAGAGACCAACACCCTGGGGTTGGTGTGCAGCATCATTGTGGAGTGGGTTAGCTGAGCCTAGCCAGTTGCAGTTAAGGTGAGTTTGCAGGTCTTGGTCACTCTGGGTTTTTTTGTTTTTGTTTTTGTTTTCTTTTAAGGGGTCATCTAGTCATAAGGGAAAATCCTTCGGGCTGTGACCGAAGCAACAAAGGCAAAAACGCGGACGTTGGTTATGAAGGGTGTGGTCTCCCTGGTGGAGTACGTCGGTGGGTTGGGATGGGGAGCGGCTGGACAGACCGGTCTCACTCCGTTTGGTGCCACTCCACCCGCCCGGGTTTCCGCGCCCTGCCGCGCTGCTCCGACGCCGCTTCCGGCGGGGATGGGAGCGCGCAACGCGGAAGCGGGCGGCAGACCGGCCGCCGGGGCGAGGCGGGGGAGGGGCCGTGAGTGCCGCAGTCGGCCAGCCATGGAGCGGAGCTTGCTGGCGGCGAGGCCGCGGCGACAAGGTAGCCACCCCCGCAGCATGCCTCGACCGCGGTCCGCAGCTGCACCGCCTCTCCCCGCCCCCCAGGGTGCGCTGGTCCCGGTCGCGCGCTCAGACCTCCGCATCCCGGGCGTGGTCGGTTAAGTCCCCGGCCGTGACCCAGGCCCGGGGAGCTAGTCTCCGCCCTTCGCTCTTACGGATCCCCTCGGAGTACGCCGCACCATGCAGCTCAGGCTCTTCCGGCGCCTCCTTCTCGCCGCTTTGCTGCTGGTGATCGTCTGGACCCTCTTCGGGCCTTCGGGGTTGGGGGAGGAGCTGCTGAGCCTCTCACTAGCCTCCCTGCTCCCAGCCCCCGCCTCACCGGGGCCGCCCCTGGCCCTGCCCCGCCTCTTGATCCCCAACCAGGAAGCTTGCAGTGGTCCCGGGGCCCCTCCCTTCCTGCTCATCCTGGTGTGCACGGCTCCGGAGAACCTGAACCAGAGAAACGCCATTCGGGCTTCGTGGGGCGGGCTGCGCGAGGCCCGGGGGCTCAGGGTACAGACGCTATTCTTGCTGGGAGAGCCGAACGCACAGCACCCCGTGTGGGGTTCCCAGGGGAGTGACCTGGCCTCGGAGTCAGCAGCCCAGGGGGATATCTTGCAGGCCGCCTTCCAGGACTCCTACCGCAACCTCACCCTAAAGACCCTCAGCGGGCTGAACTGGGCTGAGAAACACTGCCCCATGGCCCGATACGTCCTCAAGACGGACGATGATGTGTATGTCAACGTCCCTGAACTGGTATCAGAGCTGGTCTTGCGAGGGGGCCGTTGGGGGCAATGGGAGAGAAGCACGGAACCCCAGAGAGAGGCTGAGCAGGAAGGAGGCCAGGTTTTGCACAGCGAGGAAGTGCCTCTTCTGTACTTGGGCCGGGTGCACTGGCGCGTGAACCCCTCTCGGACACCGGGGGGCAGGCACCGCGTATCAGAGGAGCAGTGGCCTCACACCTGGGGCCCCTTTCCACCCTATGCCTCAGGCACGGGGTATGTGCTGTCAGCGTCTGCTGTGCAGCTCATTCTCAAGGTGGCCAGCCGGGCACCCCTTCTCCCATTAGAGGATGTCTTTGTGGGGGTAAGTGCCCGACGAGGAGGCCTCGCCCCAACACAGTGTGTCAAGCTGGCTGGTGCCACCCACTACCCGCTAGACCGGTGCTGCTATGGGAAATTCCTGCTGACGTCCCACAGGCTGGACCCCTGGAAGATGCAGGAAGCCTGGAAGCTGGTGGGTGGCTCTGACGGGGAAAGGACTGCGCCCTTTTGCTCCTGGTTCCAGGGAGTCCTGGGCATCCTGCGGTGTCGAGCAATAGCCTGGCTTCAGAGCTGAGAGTGCCTGGGGCCACAGGAAAGGCAGGAACAGGACCTTCTCTCTCCCAGGCCCAACGCAGGGGCCCTCACTGGCTGCAGCTGATCTGTTTCCTTATACCAGATCCTCAGTCTCACTAAAGACAGCGATATGGGAGACACCCAGGGGCCTGGCCCGCCAGCCCAAAAGATGGTCATCGGGAAGAGAAAAAGAAAAAAATGCTGCAGTTGTTCTCTCAAGCTAGGGCAGAAGAGGGGTGTCAAGCTCCTCAATAAACTTGTCTCCACTTCTTCGAGTGCAGTGTGGTCTTCACCAGGACCCCCAGAACACCACAAACCTGGAGAGCCCAGAGGCTGCCAGACCCTGCTGCATGGGAAGGACATCTCCAGGGACATGGGAGAGAGGACAGCCTCTCTGAGGAGGAAGGCCCCTAAAAGGCAAAGCTAAGGCCACAGCAGCCACAAGGTATGGGGTGGGGGTAGAGGCAGGACACTGACCCCTCCGATCCTAGAATGGCCTCATGCTTGGCAAGGGGGAGGGGAACAGGTCCACAAGATGATCCAGACACATTATCCAAAAAATCGCTTTCCTCTTTAATACCAACCCACCCCAGGAGACAGCTGTCCACCCCCAGTTGGGGAAGGGGCCACACTGCCCCCACCTCCTTGTTCCAGGGAACACTCATTTCCCTACAGGTGATCTTGGGGAGAGACTGTTCCCAGGCAACCCTGGAGTCTGGCTCAGCGCACAAATCTGTCCAGGGCAGATGGCCGGGCCCCCGTGGGCTTGGCCTTCGCCTCCTTATGATGCTGCTGCTGAAGGCTCTGCCGGACCTTGTCCTGGGGACCGGAGACGGGGAGGACACAGGCACAGAGTGAGAAGTGGCAGGCTGACAAGGGCAGAGGCACAAGCAGGAGGGTGCAGCCTGTGGAAGGCCCGGCCCATGCCAATGCTCATTTACCCTGTGTTCCTCATCCATGACCTTCCTCTTCCTCTTCACCAGGCTTGCCGTGGAGCTGCGGCCCTTCTGCTTTGGCTTTGGCTGGAAGGGAGCCTTAGCCTGCGGGTCATAGCCCTGAGGGAGGGGACAGGAGTGATATCTGTTACAGCCTCGGAGTCAGGGAACTGGCAGCACCCACCTGCTGGCCGCACTTCTGGGGACAAGCCATGGTGGGGAGAGGATGTGGGGGAGAAGACGGGCCTGGGCATTCAGGGGCCTGCTCCATACCAGCCTCTCTATCTGCTCCTTCTTTCCCTGCTCCAGGGAGATGACATCCACCTCGGCCAGGGCTCGTGGGTCCAGACAAATAAGCTCTGCAGGTACCTGGGGGTGTCACAGAGGGACAGGACTCAGCAAGGAGCCACAGGAGGGTAGCACCAAAAAGAGAAGCCAGGGAGGCTGCTGAACCCCTCTACCCAAGACCCCCAGCATGAGACATCAGGAGAGCTTTCTCTACCTCCAACCCCAAACCACACCTTCCCCAGCAGCAGGGGCCTCACTCTCTGCAGCAGGGGAACCTCACCTCCAACAGGGGCAATCTCACCCTCTCCAGCAGGGGGGAACCTGACCCTCTCCAGGAGAGGGAATTTCACCCTCTCCAGCAGAGGGAAACCTGACCCTCTCCAGCAGGGGGAATCTCACCCTCTCCAGCAGAGGGAAACCTGACCCCGTCCAGGAGAGGGGAATCTCACCCTCTCCAGGAAGAGGAAACCTTACCTTCTCCAGCAGGGGGGAACCTGACCTTCTCCAGCAGTGGGGAACCTGACCTTCTCCAGCAGGGGGGAACCTGACCTTCTCCAGGAAGGAGGAACCTCACCCTCTCCAGGACGGGGGAACCTGACCCTCTCCAGCAATGGGGGGGATCTCACCCTCTCCAGCAGGGGAGCCTCACCTTCTCTAGCAGGGCCTTCACCTCCCACTCCTGGCGCTGCTTCCGGCTTCTGTATGGATTACTCTCCAGGCCATCGAAGTTGGGCTCACCGGCCCCTGAAGGGAGGGAGGGAGAAGCATGGAGCCATAAGGAAGAACCTCAGTCCAACAGCTCCAGCCCAACTAAGCCCCCAGTTCCTGGATGTCTCTGGCCCAAACTTCCACCCAGAGTTCATTCACTTCAAGCCCCATCCCCTGGCCCACTCACCAGGGACCAGCATGCTGGTGATGCCCCCAGTGTGCCCCACCCCCAGCACATCTTCAAAGGGGCAGAACTGAAGGCCATGCACAGGGCCTGAGAGCCGGTGGGTGAGGTAGGGCTGTTCAAGGGAGGGTGGGCTGGCCTTGCCCTGCCCTGCCCAGATGTTGACAACGTCACCCATTCCCGCCACCAGCAGTCCCCTCTGGGAGAAGGCCAGGTGCCCTGCTCCATGGGGCAGGGTCCGAGTGCTCAGAGGCTGGTACGTCCCTCGCAAGTCAAAGATCTTCAGCTGGTGGTCTAGGCCAGAGGTGGCCATGTACCTGGTGAGAGAAGAGGGATCAATTAATATGTCAGTAAATGGGTTTACCAAGCAAGCTGTGGCCAAGTCCAGGCATCAAGTCTGGCTGGGGAGAAAAAGATTAATAGTAATAACCACTGCCATCACCCTGAACACTCCACAGGCATCCTCTCAGTTAAGCTGCACACAACTCATACTATTTTTATTTCCCTTTAAGAGGTGAGGAAACTGAAGCTCAGGGAAAGGAAAGCTAGGTCAGTGAATGGTCAGGCCTGTCTCTTTAGCATCTGCCTCTAACCTGCTAACACCACACAGCCCTCTCAAGACACGGGCGTCAAAAGGAACGCCCACACGACAGGCTGCACCCAAATGTGATGTCCCCCTGTACACACATGCAGCACACAGCCCAGCAAGGGGAAGGAGCATGTGCAGTGGTCAGAAAGGCTTCATGGGAAAGGTGGGATTTGAGCCATTCTAGATAATTCTCAAAAAATTACAGGAAGTAGATACACAGCAGGTTCAAATGCATTAACACCAGAGTGTTGAGACTGAGAGGGAAGCAGAGGTTTGTTAGGATTGGTGGGAAACATGGTCAGGAAAATCAGGAGCAGACAATTTGTGAGGTTTCTTTAAAGTCAGACTGAGGACCCACAGCTCATGATCCCAACATTGCTCTCTGGCAGTGACAAATCACAAAGTGAAGGCTCCAAGGACTTGAGAAGACCTACTCAGGGAAGTGGTGAAGTAATGCACTGGAGGCCCTTGCCCTGCCCCTCTGTGTGCTTTCCCTGGAAGGAAGGAGGGAAGGTTGGTGACCAAATCCTCTCCAGGAATCATGTACTGCATAAGTTGTTTACTTTCAGAAGTTGGAGTTCCTTTTCTTTTTTTGAGACAGGGTCTCTCTGTTGCCCAAGCTGGAGTGCAGTGGCATGACCCTGGCTCACTGCAGCCTCTGCCTCCCTGGTTCAAGTGATTCTCGTGCCTCAGCCTCCCAAGTAGCTGGGATTACAGGCATGCGCCACCACCGCTAATTTTTAGTAGAGCCAGGGTTTCGCCATGTTGACCACGCTGGTCTTGAACTCCTGGCCTCAAATGACCTGCCCACCTTGGCCTCCCAGAGTGCTGGGATTACAGGTGAGGTTGGAGTTTCTATGTTCAAGTTGTTCCTTAGAGAGGGAAGCTGAAGGGGGACCAGCCAGGTAGGGGATGTATGTTTGCCAAGAGGCCAAGGAGTCTCTTTTTTGCCTTGGCTGTGAACCCAGGAGAAGGGAACTGAAGAGTTCTTATGAGCAGAGACTTGCACAGTGATGGAGCCCAAGAGAGGACCAGCTGGATACTTCCGACAAGATAATCAGCGCCCTGACTTTACCAAAGAGAAAGGCCATCAGTGCAAACCAGGAATTACCGAGCGCTCGTGGAACACAGGGTCACATCCTTTGGTGAACTAACAACTCAAGGATGCATGCTGGCTCTTCTCCCCTCCACACACCCATCTATGGGACCCCTGGGTAAAGACCAGCCCAGTGCCAAATGGGAGTCTACTGTACTACTAGTAAGCAGCAGTTCGGCTTTGAGAAGTCAACGCAATCCAATCATAATACAAGCTACCAGAACACCTCTTAAGAAAGATGGTCAGCCTCATCACTGGAGCCCCCGTGGCCTGACAAGCTCCTGAGGAGGACCAGAGAAAAGCAGGGATGGGCTGAAGATCACAAGGACCAGAGCTGTTTAGCATCAAGGTGTTGATTAAACTTCAGGCCTCAGCGAACTAGTGATTAAGCCCTAAGCACAGGAGTGGCTGACCCAGGTAGCCCACGGAGGGCAAGCTACAGCTTTGGCCCAGTGGCCCAGAGAGGGCAGAAACCCTTGGGCAGGCCTTCTGACTCTCCTAGAGCCAGGCTGGTATAAATATGGAGTAAAAAGGGCAGAACCAAATCACTCATTCACAAAGATACAATTACAAAGGCCAGACACGGTGGCTCACGCCTATAATCCCAGCACTTTGGGAGGACAGGCGGGTGGATCACAAGGTCAGGAGTTCAAGACCAGCCTGGCCAACATGGTGAAATTCCATCTGTACTACAAATACAAAAATTAGCCGGGTGTGGTGGCACACACCTGTAGTCCCAGCTTCTCAGGAGGCTGAGGCAGGAGAATCGCTTGAACCCAGGAGGTGGAGGTTGCAGTGAGCCGAGACCACACCATTGCACTCCAGCCTGGGTGACAGAGTGAGACTCCGTCTCAAAAAAAAAAGATACAATTATGCAAAAACAGGGAGCGGGTGGTGGGGGGGGTGGTCCCAGCATCCTGGAGACTTTGAATAAGCTGGTGGCCAAGCTGGATGTGGTGGCTCACAGTAATTACTCTGTAATCCCAGTACTTTGGGAGGTTGAGGTAGGAGGACCGCTTGAGCCCAGGAGTTCAAGACAGAGACCAGCCTGGGCTACATGGTGAAACCCCATCTCTACAAAAAATAGAAAAATTATCCAGGTGTGGTGGTGTGTACCTGAGTCAAATTCTGGGTGACAGGAAAATTCTGGGAGATGAGAGCAGGTCAAGAGAAACTTTAGGAGGCGGTGACCTATCCAGTGATGGACACATTGAGTCTGGGATGACAGAGGATAACTGTGTAGAAACTAATGGCATCACCTGAGCTAGGCGTGGTGGCTCATGCCTGTAATCCCAGCACTTTGGGAGGCCGAGGTGGGCGGATCACCTGAGGTCAGGAGTTTGAGACCAGCCAAGCCAACATGGCAAAACCCCATCTCTACTAAAAATACAAAAATTAGCGCATGCAGTGGCATGCACTTGTACTCCCAGCTACTTGGAGGCTGAGGCAGAACAATCACTTGAGCCTAGGAGGCGGAGGTTGTAATGAACCGAGATCGCGCCACTGCACTCCAGCCTGGGTGATAGATCAAGACTCCGTCTCGAAAAATAGTAATAAAATAAATAAATGCATCACCTGGCCAATCATTCTCAAAAACCATAGCCATGGCCGGGTGCAGTGGCTCACGCCTGTAATCCCAACACTTGCACTTTGGGAGGCCGAAGCAGGTGGATCACGATGTCAGGAGTTCAAGACCAGCCTGGCCAAGATGGTGAAACCCCATCTCTACTAAACATTAAAAAATTAACTGGGCGTGGTTCGTGGGCGCCTGTAATCCCAGCTACTCAGGAGGCTGAGGCAGGAGAATCGCTTGAACCCCGGGGGGCAGAGGTTGTGGTGAGCTGAGATTGTGCCACTGCACTCCAGCCTGGGTGACAGATCAAGACTCTGTCTCAAAAAAAAAAAAAAAATAGCCACAAGTTTTTATACCTAAAGGATAACGGGAGCACCACACCAGGGCAGGCTCAACGATTCATCCTTTTATCTCCAGAACCTCAGCGCAGAGCCCTGCCCACAGCAGGTGCCCAGTGAATACCTGATGACAAAAGGAATCAGAGGAAAATACAAATCAGACAGAAAAGCTGTGGAAAATGCAGATACTCCCTCAGGAACAGCAGAAATCCAAAGCAGACACCACCTCCACCCCTCACATCAGCCAGACCTGGAGAGAACGATCATCTTGAATGACAATGATGAACACAGCGCTCCCTATTTTGCTAAGCGCTGTGCTAAACTATATGCCTTAACTCATCTTAATGTCTACAACAGCTTATATGAGGGCTTTAAACCAAGGCTTGGTAAACTACTGCCCATGGGCCAAACCTGGCCCATCATCTAGTTCTGTATAGCCCACAAGCCAAGAATGGTTTTTACATTTTTAAGTGGTTGAAAAAAAATCAAAAGAATATTTTGAGACTGTGAAAACCGTATGAAATTCAAATTCCAATATCCAACAAATAAAGTTTTATTGGAACGGGGCCACACTATTTACTTAATACTGTGGCTGCTTTTGCTCTACAACACACAGCCGAGTGGTCACGACAGCGACTACAGCATCCTGATTTGCACTGCTGCTTTGTACACTACAAGTCACAGTGACACAGTCGTAAGTGCTTCACAGCATTTCAAGCACCTCACATATCACCTATCATTACCTGTGTGAAAAGATGTTTTCAAAGATGAAATACTTGCAATCTCTACAGATCAGCATGAACATGAATATCTACAGTCAAATTTGACCATCTGGAACACTAACTTTGTACATCAATTAGGCAAAATGTTAACCTCAAAAAGAGAAATTCAGTTCTTCCCATTAGTAGATCTGTATTACACAAATATCATATTTGATTATTATTATTTTTTTTTTCTGAGACCGGGTCTCACTCTGTTGCCCATGCTAGAGTGCAGTGGCATGATCACAGCTCACTGCAGCCTTAACCTCCTGGGCTGAGGTGGGAGGATCACCTCAGCCTCCTGAGTAGCTGGGACTACAGGCATGCACCACCACACCCGGCTAATTTTTCTATCTTCTGTAGAGACAGAGTTTTGCCATGTCATGGGTGACATGGCTTGTTTCGAACTTCTGGGCTCAAGTGATCTGCCCACCTCAGCCTACCAAACTGTTAAGATTACAGGCATGAGCCACTGTGTCCAGTCTCATATTATGTTTTGTTTGTTTGTTTGTTTTTGAGACGGAGTTTTGCTCTTGTTGCCCAGGTTGGAGTGCAATGGCACAGTCTTGGCTCACTGCAACCCCTGCCTCCCAGGTTCAAGCAATTCTCCTGCCTCAGCCTCCCAAGTTGCCGGAATTACAGGCCCCCGCCACGACACCCGGCTAATTTTGTGAATTTTTAGTAGAGACAGAGTTTCGCCATGTTGGCCAGGCTGGTCTCAAACTCCTGACCTCAGGCGATCCACCCGCCTTGGCCTCCAAAGTGCTGGGATTACAGGCGTGAGCCACCGCACCTGGCCATATTACATTTAATTTTATAACCTAAAAATGTGTGGGCCAGGCGCAGTGGCTCACGCCTGTAATCCCAACACTTTGGGAGGCCGAGGCGGGCAGATCATCTGAGGTCAGGAGTTCAAGACCAGCCTGGCCAACACAGTAAAACCCCGTCTCTACAAAAAAATACAAAATTAGCTGGGCATGATGGCAGGTGCCTGTAATCCCAGCTACTTGGGAGACTGAGGCAGGAGAATCGCTTGAATCTGGGAGGCGGAGGTTGCAGTGAGCCGAGATCACGCCACTGCACTCCAACCTGGGAGACAGAGCAAGACTACGTCTCTCTCAAAAGATTTAAAAAAAAAAAGGTCAGGCGCAGTGGCTCACGCCTATAATCCCAGCACTTTGGGAGGCTGAGGCGGGCAGATCACTTGAGGTCAGGAATTCGAGACCAGCCTGAACAACATGCTGAAACCCTGTCTCTACTAAAAATACAAAAATTAGCCAGGTGTTGTAGCAGGCGCCTGTAGTCCCAGATACTCGAGAGGCCAAGGCAGGAGAATCACTTGAACCTGAGAGGTGGAGGTTGCAGTGAGCTGAGATTGCGCCATTGCACTCCAGCCTGGGTGTCAGAGCGAGACTCCATCTCAAAAAAAAAAGTTGTGATAATTTGTTTTCTCTTGGTATTTAAATGCCTACATGGTACCCTTTGATTTTACCTCTTATCAGCAAATCATAAAATATTTACTATCTGACTCTTTACAGAAAAAGTTTGTGGACCCTTGAAATGGACACTCATATTTCCATTTTCGGGGTCAGGAAACTGTGGCACACAGAGGTTATGAAATATGCCTATACTTGCAAGGCCCATCCGTGGTAACACTGCGATTTAAACCTGGGCATCCTGGCTTTAGACTCTGTGCTCCTAAAGCACACTGCCTTCCACACCTTTCTGCCCACCTATGACTCCTAACACCTCACCGCCACCAGTGACTTACGTGCCTGTAGAATCTACTGCCACAGCCCGGACCCCACCACGATGACAGAGAATCTTTGCCAGTGGCTCCTTCATAGCTGGACTCCATAAAGACACAGTACCTGGAAGAGAAGAAGAACCAAAGTTGCTAATACACACCTAAGCCTGAGGTTACTAAACATGGGAAAGATGGGAACTCAAGACCAAGAGATAACAAAAAAGGGAAATAAAAGGGTAACTTTAAGGGACTCATGAAGTACAAATATAGAAGAAAAGCAAGTCAGGATGGTCAGAGTCAAAACTAAGCCAGGTACTGACCATTGCTGTGTCCGAGATGGATGACGGCATTGTAAGGGTTCTGACTCATAACATCGAGCCGCCCAGCTCGAGCATTCAGAGCTGCCACAATCTTCCCCACTGACACATCCAGGTAGGTTAGAAACCCTGTTTCTGACTGAGAGAGAAAGACAGAGAGAAT
Source organism: Homo sapiens (assembly GCF_000001405.40). Taxonomy (NCBI): domain Eukaryota; kingdom Metazoa; phylum Chordata; class Mammalia; order Primates; family Hominidae; genus Homo; species Homo sapiens. The sequence goes on from NT_113891.3 coordinate 4,698,736, forward strand.
GACCCAGTCCTGATTGCCCTCTGTATTCCCTCTGCTGGGGTCCTAAAGGAGAGGTGGTCATCCCAAGGGCTTCCACCCAGTTCCTGAGCTCCATGGCCACTCACAGCTGTAGCCAGGAGGAAGTGGAAGGGCAGGAACTCAAGCCGTGTTACTCGGTCACAGCGGCGGATACAGTGGAGCTCAATGCCCTGATTGTCATAGATGTGGAGCCAGCGGTTCTGAGCAACAGCAAGCAGTGCCTCAGAATGGAGAAACCTGGGGGAGAGGAAGAGTGGTTCAATTGGGAAATGAGGTCACAGGCTATCATTCAATCAGGAATGGACTATCTCACCCCAACTGACCGCTGACAGTGAGGCCACTGACCGGATGTCCCGCACCGCCTCCATGACGTTGATCTCGCACATAAGCTTCTTTGTTACCCAATCAAGGGCAGCCACATGACCTCGGCGCCCTCCAAAAGCCAGGTGTCTGTTGGAGGTGAGGGGCAGGCAGGGTGTTAAGGCAGGGGACCACCGACTCAGACAACTTGAGGTCTGCCCCACGCCAGCCCCATCTCTCCAGGCGGGCAGACACATGTTGCTGTAGGTGCTTACCCTCACACCCAAGCAAATCGAAGGACCCTCCCCTCATCAGCAACCCAAACATACACTGGGAATGGCTGAAGTGGTTAAGGAAACACATCTTAGTTCAAGAGTCACTAGAATTCAACCTTACCTTCCAGTTCGAGAGTAGTTTAGTCTGTAGGGTCCAAACTGCCGCAGATTCAAGTCAAAGTGCTGGGAAAGAGAAGAGTGAAAAAAAAGAGTGCCCTGCAGTAACGCCTTCTTCTAGCCCCCATTCCTCTATTGTCCTGCACCACCAATCAATCCCTTGGCTCCTTTACCTCCTCAGGCTCACCTTGGCTGCACTTGCAATGTCCACAGCCTCCACAATGTCAGCCTGGCATATCTTTGCTGTGTCTTCCCCATCCTCCCCTTCCAGAAACCTGAAAGCAAGGGTTAGGATGGCAGTAAAGCTTCCCAATATGAAGCAAGTATACCAACATAAAAACGAGAAAAGACAGTCCCATAAGGCAGGGAATGGGGGTCCAGATTAGGGCTCACTCACCCAGGTTCTTCAGCAAGCAGCAGCTCAGAACGAGCAGCTTTGATACTTGTTTCCTCTTCCTCAGCTTCAGCCACCTCAAGTCGGCTTCGAGTTTTGGCTTTAGAATGTGGTAGCTGTAACATTGTTGGTGGGGAGGAGTGGCAGAAGAACCACAGGATAAGTGGGGTCACAGGAGAGCTACCTGTCCCAGCCTCCATCCAACTCACCCAGACACTCCCTGCCTCCAGCACTTCCCAACTCTCCGGCTGGACCTCACCTTTCGGGATTTGTCAATGCGACAGAACTTCTGGACCACTTCCACAGGGACGGGGGCGGGGCCTGGGAATGGATCTTGGGCCTAGGGGAAAGGAGGACGCAATTAGCAGACAGCCTTGGATTGACCCCAACCCTCTCACTCTCAAGGAACGAGGCGGCCTGCCTCGCCACCCATCAGGTCCCACGCTCACCCCGGACAAGCCGCGCTGGGACTCCGGGTTCTTCCATTCTCGGGGTTTCTTCGGGACCTGAGGCTTCTTAGAGATCCGAGACTTCTTTAAGATGTAAGCATTTTTTGGTCTCTGAGGACGGAGCTCCCGATTCTTCTTGTTACGAGGAGGCCCTGGAGAGGCTCCGGCTGTGGTCGGAACGGTCTCTTCCTCCCAGTATCGCCGCGGTTTCTACAGGCACATCAGGAACTCCGCACTCACGCCCCGCCCCCCGACCCCACAGCTAAAAACTTCGTTTCCCACCCAGGGAGGCCTCTACCTTTCTCTTGGTCTGAAGTTTGTCTTTCTTGGGCGGGACATCCTTGCCCGGCTTGGGGGCTGTCTCCATCTCGCCCACCCGAACGGCGATCCACGTGCAAAACTCTTCTCAGCTGCCACACAGTCGGCTTGAAAACTCCCGGAAGCCCTCTGTCCTTCATCCAATCAGCAGCGTACCAGGTATGAAGCTCTCTAGGTGCCATCTTGAGTGAGGGCACGCTCTCCTTAGAGGGGCGGAACAGTTTTTGGCACCTTATCGCGAGCGGCAGCTTATGCAAGAGTGACTTAAAAAAGAAAGGCAGGTCCGGGGCCAGGGGCTAAGTAGCGGTGCGGTTTCTTTTTCTGGATTAGTTTCCCCATCTTGCCTAAAAATGTCCTAGTCTAGTCTTTTTAGCAGAACTCCACTCCCTAAACATGTCAGAACTACACTTCCCATCAAGGGTCAGAAAGAAACTTCCGGCACAGTCTTTTCCCAGCATTCCTTGTTTACTTCCGGGTTTATTACTACTGAAGGAAGAACGTGAGTAGGTTAGGATTTCGGTTGAGAGGCTTGGGGTCTTGCGTTTCGCCCACCATCTCCTGGGGACAGGGTGGAGTCGATATCCGGGACGGGGGGGAGGTTGCGGTGCCCCTCAGGGCTACCTCTCAAGAGTGCTATCATTTCCGCAGGCCAGATCAGAAAAGGGAGCTCAGGTACCTTCCAGAGAGTGAGACCCAGCGCCCTTGTCTCGCACCCAGTAGGCTTTCATCCCCGCCATGGCGGAGCTGATCCAGAAGAAGCTACAGGGAGAAGTGGAGAAATATCAACAGCTACAGAAGGGTAAGGGAACAGGGTCGGTATGGTCTCGCCCAATGCACTTACAACCCAAAGCCATTACCGAGATAAGGTTTGTTGCCCCATCTGGGCCCTCGCGTGCAGAGACTTCCCCGCCTCAGTCTCAGTACTCTTCCCTGTTCACTCACCCGCTGCCCCCATCCTTTTCTGCTTCCTCAGATCCATATCCACCTGACTAGGATTGTGGGGATAGGTGGCACATTTGATGTTTCTAAATTGCCTTTCCTCTCATCCCCAGACTTAAGTAAATCCATGTCGGGGAGGCAGAAACTTGAAGCACAACTAACAGAAAATAATATCGTGAAAGAGGTGAGGGACTGGGATTTGTGGGGCGAGGAGGGACCTGTACTAGCCATGGTTCTGATCACATATGTCCCATCCCTCCATCAGGAACTGGCCCTGCTGGATGGGTCCAACGTGGTCTTTAAACTTCTGGGTCCGGTGCTAGTCAAACAGGAGCTGGGGGAGGCTCGGGCCACAGTAGGGAAGAGGCTGGACTATATCACAGCTGAAATGTGAGTTTTTATTCCACCACCGTGTGCTGCACCCTGTGATGCAAGTGAACCATTGGAGTAGAGGTGTTGAACCATTGCAGAACAGCTCTCCATAGTGGCCCCTAGTCCTCCAGTTCCTCCAACCCTTTCCTTCCCTTTTAACCCCCCTTCTTCTCCCTCCCCTGGATCTCAAGTTTTCCACCTATCTCTTTCTTGCGTTTAGCACTCTCCATAGTAAGTCCTACTAATTTCTCCCTTTCTGCTTGTCTCCCTTGTCTCTCCTTAGTAAGCGATACGAATCCCAGCTTCGGGATCTTGAGCGGCAGTCAGAGCAACAGAGGGAGACCCTTGCTCAGCTGCAGCAGGAGTTCCAGCGGGCCCAGGCAGCAAAGGCAGGGGCTCCTGGCAAGGCCTGACCCCATGGTGGGGGGAGGGGAGGGGAGGGGAGGGAATGAGGCAGCTCTAGGATCTATACTGTAGCTAATAAAATGTAAAAACACCTGGCTCTGTTTCCTGACCAGGCACTTCTGTCATATCCCCACAGCCCCTTCCACCTTAACACACACCACCTGTATTACCCCCTCAGGTTCAAACTCTTGCACTTGGAATCTCTTTGTGGCACAGTGTTCTTTCTTGAAAGTGAAATCCTAAATGTCTTCAAACCTACTTCTTGCCTGTATATACAACCCTTAACTCTCCCTCATCTTGGTTGGCATGATTCTTTTGGAAGGGCATTTGCAACATACCATATTGCTAGGAATGTCGGTTTAATTGAAAAAGAATACACAGTTCTCTAACCTGAGGCCCCAGGATGAAATGTGGTTACCCTCCTTGCCAACAGCCCTGGCATCTCTATTAGTACTTTTCAGCCTCTGTCTTCCTAGAATTTGCTTGAATGTAGCTTTAAACTGACTTAAAATCCCAGCATGTAATGCTTTATGGTATTATAAGTCCTCCCAAGTTTATATGTTGTCCATAAAGTTGTTCTGCCATTTCCTTGTCCTAAAATTGTTTTATACACATTTGCAGCAAGGGACCAGTGGTAGAGAGGTTACTGGAGAGAAACTGTTCTGAGGAAACTTTTTTCACCAATACCTCACTTTTTGCTCTGTTCATGGGGACAGAAAACATTGTGCCCCTTCCTGTTCCATGGCATCTACCTTCAGCCAATTCCCCACCCCCACTCATAGCAGCCAGTTCATATGTACTGCAAGGACAGGGGAGTAGAATTCAGGTAGTGTTTTGGTTTATTATCTTAGTGTTGTCACAGTGATAGAAACCCCCAGAGTGGGAAGAAGAGCTCCTGCGAGGACCTACATTTTGCCATTCCCCTCTGCCCTGGGGCTCAGAGCCTTGAAGCCTTTGCTTGGCCCTTGCATGTTAGGATATGGCCAAGAATCAGAAACTGATGCGTTTTTCCAGCACTACCTGTGTGCTGCACTCATGGAAGGTGGGAAGCTATACACAGGTATCCAACTTGGTTATAAGACACCAGTTCCCACAGGGCTGGATTTCTCAGCTGTCTGGTAAACCAGTGGCACTTCACTGCCCCAGGGTGGCTGGCTCCCTTTCTGAATTTCTGTCTCAATGTGATATAATTGCCACCATTCAGGATGGCTACCCACATCTGGTATGAACACCATGACTTCTGTAAGCCAACGGGGCTTCCTCCTCAGAACAGTGCCCGTGCAATCTTCCTCCCTGTGGCCTTGATCCTGGGAAAGGAGCCCCCTCCTCCCTCACTCGGAGGAGTTCCTGAGGCAGACGGGCCACTGGTGACGCCAGGTGTAGCAGTAGAGGACCTTCGCCGCTGCCGCAGGAGGAAATCGTGTGAAGCTCCATCCATGGCGTAGAATACATTAGCCGAGGCTGGGATAGTCAGCTCTGAAGGTTCAGGGGATGGATGTAAAGCACACACACAGTTGTTCCCCCCACAGCCGCCCAGATGTGGAAGTACTCCACTCTCCTCCCGAGTCTGCCTTTCCCTCATGGCCTCTGACCTCGCTCCCCTGGTAGCAGCTGTACCAGCTCATACTCTGAAGCCACTGCAGAGTCACGATTGTTTTTCTTAAGGACACGACTGATGACACTTGGAGCCTTGTCCTGGCTTGTCACCTGGCAGAACAGGAGACCAAAAGAGCAATCAATCAGCCATGATTTCCCATCCTTCTACCCTCAGCCACTGAACCCAACCACAAAATGTTACTTGTGTCCAAGGCTTTAAAATGAACAGGAAAACCCAATATGGTGGCTTCCTATACCCCATAAGCCAGCCCACATGGTGCCCAGTGAAACAGAGCTGCTTCCCTGTGGGGAAACTGCTGTTGATTCTGAAATTTTAACACGGCGACCAAAAGTTTAAGGTGTAGCAACTAATGCAAAATAGCCATCAAAATAAAACAAATTTCAGCTTCTATTGAAGACTAGAGTTTAGAAGATAAAATTAAAAATAAAACATAACTGCCAAAACCAAAGGTCAAAATTAAAACTACATTCAATTCCATTTGGCTGCCCAAACCTCAGACAACATTTATAGTCCAACAAGACACCATCCTTCACCCCAACTCCATCCCAAGGCTCCCTCACCAAAATGCTCTTATAGACACTGCCATCTTCCCCCAACTCCATCTGGACTCGGATGATACGGCAATCAGAGGCCCCTGGCCCAGATCCCTCTCCCCCATATCCAGTCCCCCCGGAGGCCTCTTCTGCACCCCCACTCAGCGGGGAGCCACAGGAGGCTGAGCGGCGGTGACCTCGAGAAGGCCTAGGGGAGGAGGCTGGTGGGGAGAGGTGGCTGGGGTCAGCTGGACTGTGCAGGGATGGACTGCTTTCCAAGGCAGAGTCTAGTGACGAGACAGATGGCCACTTCATGTGCTAGGAACAAACAACATGGGACTGGCATGAAGGCAGGGAGGTTTAAGGAAGAAACATTTACAGAGTGAGGGTCAGCGTCAAGGTCAGAGTCAGGAGCAGAGCTCACCTGGGCCAGCCGAGTCAGCAGAGGAGCAGGAGTTGTAGGCGCCTCATCTCCCCCAGTACTGGGCCGGTCACAGGACACAAGCGGGGTAGGGACCCCAACAGAGCCCAAAACCCTGCAGTGGCAGGAGATTGGGAGGATCAGAGAAAAGTGGAAGTCCCAAGAAACCACCCCCCAGCCAGTGAATCTCTCACTCTGTCCACTGCGAGATGACCAATGTTGGCCGAAGCACCCGTGGGGCAGGAGGGTCACTGGAACCAGGTGGCTCCACCTCACAGGATACACGATGGCTGGGTTAGGGGGGCAATAGGCAGAGCTCAGGACATGACACCAATCCCCCACACCTGGCCAGAACCCTGGAGTCCCAACCTCACCCGCCAGTCACCTCTGAGCCTCTGTCAGTGGCCGGAGCCCCTGTAGCCACCTCTGGATATCATGGTCAGGTTGGAGGTTATAGCCACGACATTCATTCTGGAGCCGTCGCAACTCAGAAAGGACTGCAAACTCCTGGGAAGGAGCCCTCAAACTGCAGGAGCCAAAACTCAGGGACCCCTGACTTTTCCCCCTCCCCTTCCTGGAACATGGATAGGGAAGTCCAGCATCCAGCCCAGACACTCCGCTCACCTTCCTCCGCTTGTCAAAATTGATGTATCCATTCTGCGAGGAAAATGGGGATGGGGTGAAGGTTCCAACCCTACCTTCCGGCCACAGAGAGAGAATATCCCCTCTCTTAAACACACACAGCCACATCCAACTCACAACCACTTCCCTCCAGCCTCTCTGACTCTTCGATCCCTCCCTGCCTTCCTCCTCAATCTATCATGGCCTAAGCACTCCACTTGACCCTTTAAATTGAATTTCTCAGGTAGACAACGAGTCTGCTTTGCAGATGAGAGGACTGGATAGTATCCAATTCGACAGGATTCCTTATCCAGAGAGGATAAGGAACTTGTCCAAGGTCTCAGTATTTGTTTATTTAACAAACTCTAGCAATAGAGCAGGAGCCCATCACAAAACCTAGATGTGCTTACGTTTCAGGCACGTTCTAAGCACTTGACAAATACAAATTCATTTAACCCTTATAACAGATCAATGTAGATGCTATTTCTAGTTTCCCATTTACAGATCACTGAGGCGACTTGGCACAGAAACAGATCTGGCTCTGTCCCACACTCAGCTATTTGTGCCTTACAGCCCCTTGCAAGGGGCGGGGGGGTCTGTCCGACCCTGCAGCCCACTTGTTACATCATTGCAATGACACACACACACACCACTGACCTCCAACTCATCCTTGGAGGCTGCATCCAGCATCACAAGGTCCTTCAGGAAGGTGCCAAGGTATGGGACCACACCCTGAAGTCAGGGGTCAGGGTCAGAAGTGCCTGCCATTGACGTGAGGGCCCTCCATCCCTCCGCACTTGCCCTCCTCATTGCCTCAGAGAACAGATTTCATTCTCCTCACCCCTCTGTGCCTCCCTTACCCATCCTTCAGGCTGCTCCCCCAAAACATACTCCTCACCCCTTCATAATCACCACCCCCACGCCCACCACCCCGCTAGTCACTCACCCCACCCCGGGAGCCAGACCTCGGGGCCTTCTTGGAGTGTGGCTCCAGAGGAGACTGCAGCTTCACCTCCTGGTGGTGACAAAATAAAAGAGACATGGGGGAGCAGTAGGGAACAAGGAGAGGTGGGAATGCCACAAACCAGGCTCTCACCTGCACGAGCAGCTCCCGACTCTGGGAATAATTATCCTCCTCGGAGAAAATCTGGCAGAGGCTGGAAAAGACTCTGAGGCTGTCCCTGGGGAAGGGAGAAAAGTGGCCCTGAGGACAGGCCTGGCTCTGTCACCCCCTCTTCCCCGCCTTCTGAGGAACCCCCACCCCAGTCCAATGCCTCAGCCTCCGCACCTGGTTGCTTCCCCCCAGGCTGCCCGAAGCCTGTGGATGGGGCTGGACTGCAGGGCTGACACCACGGCATAAACTGAAGAGAAGTTTCGGAGCAGCCGGCACTCCTGTGGGGGTCAAAGAAGAGAGCTAAGGCTATGGGAGGCCTCTCCATTCCATGGCCACAAACCGTAGGGCAATCTTCTCTCTCACCTCTGCCACGCGGATCCACTTCTCCAGGAGCCGGGCCCTCTGTGGGGGACGGAGTGGCCGTATGGTCACCTCCCCAGGTCCCTCTCCAGTGGAAGTAGCCCCCAGGACAGAACTAACCACTGCCCCTGCCACCTTGTTAAACTGTGTGACAGTAGCTCGGACAGATGGGCAGAGGTGAGAATGTCCTGGCCGGTCTCTGTGACCCCACAGGCCTCCCAGGCACTGAGAGGGGATCAAATTGAGAAAAAGTTCCTGCAGGGTAGAGGTCAGAGGTTAAAGTTCATAGTCAAGTGAGGTCAGCCTTCCAATATCAGGGATCTGAGGATCTCAGGTGGCCAAGGAACCAGAGGGGCACAGGGTTTGAAGGGTAACGACCAAAGGGAAAAGGGGAGAATCAAAATGGTAGGTGGAGGAGGCTAGGAGCTGGATCAGGAAGGGGTGGAAGCAAGGAAAGGATCTGGAGTCAAGGAGAGGTTAGTAAGGGGTCAGGGGGCATAGGGGCCAGAGGTCAGGGTCTCACCGCATCTAGCAGGGTCAGCTGTTCGGCCAAGTGGTCAGCGAGGAACACCAGGACATCCGTGGGGTCAGCAGGGGGATCGCCGGGGAGGGCCAGGGGCTTAGGAAGGTCGGGGGCCTGGGGGTCCACCCGGGACCGGAGATTGCGGATGAGGTCAGCGCTGCCCCCCCCAACACCCTTCCCTGCTGCATACCCTGTCTGAAGTAAGAAGCTCTCAAGCCGGTCAAGCTGACCCTTGGCCTCAGAGCCAAAATCCTCAGGGTGAGAGGCCAGCCAGGTTGACAGTACAGAGATGGCTACCCTGGGAGAAGGGAATCAGCCAAGGGTGAGAGGTAAAGCTGCAGCCTGGGCAGAGGGGACTGTGAGATTAAGAACCAGGGGTCACTCACTCTGTTGTCCTCTCTAGTTCGTCGGTAGGATGAGATTCAAGGGCTTCCAGCCTGAGGGGGAGAAGAGGATCTATCTGTCCATTTTTCCCAAACCCTCAGTGGCTTTGACTATTTTGGTGGGATGTTGCGGCTTTAGGAAATCCGGGCAGATACTCCACTACCCTGCGTCCCTTATGACTCTGACCTGTCAGCCATAAGCCCTAGCAAGGCAGGCGTGGAGGTGAAGGCCCGGTGGGTAGCCAGGAAGGCTGACATGAAGCTCACATCAGTCCCTGATGTCCGGGTATCCAGTAGGTGTCTGACCAGGGCCTCCAGAGTGCCAGCTCGGAGCCGTCGGGAGGAACGTGGGGGAGGCATAGGGACCTGGAGAACACAGAGAGATGATCGCTAACCCTTTCTCCCACTCTGCACCTAGATTTCTGAGGACAATCCCAGACCCAGGAGATGTTCCAGACTCATTTTTCTGATATTCAGAGAGGGCAAGAGTCTTGGCCTATGTCACACAGCAGAGTCCAGGACTCCAGAACTCCAACCTAGCACTCTGGCCAGAAAGTCAGCCAGAGGAAGGAAAACTGGGAATGAAGAGTCAGAGGTGAGAAGCTAAAGTCATGATCTCACCAAGGGATCAAGAGGTCGATATTGGCGGCTTGTGACGGTAAACACGGCACCATCCTCCTCCTCATCCCAGACGGACACAGGGGCCTGGAGGAGCAAGGAAGGGGAAGTCAGACAGTTCCACACCACCCCCCATTGCCCTCAGCCTTCACCCCAGGCCCTGCTCCTCCCTCTGTACCCCTCACCTGTGGTGGCAGGGCATAGTACCAGCGAGTGCGAGGAAGGGTTGGGGGAGCTGGTGACCCCAGGTCTCCCCCACTGGGGCCCAGACAGCCCCACCCCAGCCGCCTCAGGGCCCCGGTGGAGTCGAAGGGGCTGCAGTGGAGGCGTGGATGGAGTACAGGAATTCTGATCCTGGAGACCCCCAAAGCCCCTTCTCCCCAGAGCTGAACCCACACACGACAGAGAAGCAGGGTACAAAGGGCAGGAGAGGGAAGCGAGAGGCAGCAAGCCAGAGGCAGCGACTAGGGGTAGCTGAAACCTCAGTCCAGGCACTGCCGCATGCCCCGCCCCTCCCGGCCAAGGACTATACCAGCCCAGAGAATTAGTCTTTTTCAGGACCCCTTTCACCCTGGTCCCTCGGGTAGCGCCTCCACTATCTCAGCCCTAAGGGACCCCCGAAGGTAGCAGCTCCAATCCCAGTACAGGAAGGAAAAGGGGAAGTGGGATGATAGGGGGTTGGGGGCGGTAGACTCAGAGAGTCACGTGGCCCCAGCCCCTCCCCCGACCGATCCCGAAAAACCAGCCCTGCCAGTCAACCTGCCCTCACCTAGGATCTGGACCTAGGAGTTTAGGGCCTCGGGGCCCCAAATCCAAATTCTGGCCCCTCCTGAGGCCCGAAATCCTGCTCCTGGCCACCACCATTAATCCCTAATGAAAACAGATGACCACTCTCTACCCACCCTAGGATCTTTCCTCCAGGTCCCAGAACCGTGGCTTCCCGGCCTCTACCCAGGACCGGGGCGGGGCGGGGGGGCGGGGGGAAGGGGGAGAGAGGGAAGGAGGGGTCACGAAATCTGAGGGTTCCCTCCCCAATCCCAGAGTCAGAGGAGCTGGTTACTGTGGAAACAAACCCCTCCCCGCCAAACAAAAACAAGGAGGGAGACAGGGACCAAGACACGACTGCTCAGAGAGGTAGGCACACTCAGGCAGGCAGAGGTGGAGGGCCAAAGACCCGCAGGGACAGGACAGCCAGCCAGAAGTTCCAGGCAGGAACAGGGCAGGTTCCTGCGGGCAGGTCCTGAGTCACACTGACAGAGAACCACGGAGACGCCAGGACTCCCCGCAGCAGAGAAACGGGCCGACACCCAGGGAGGCGCGAGAATAACTGAGGCAAGGAGGAGGAGATGTAGGGACCCAGAGACAAGAGAAAAGTGGAGACTTCAGAAATACATACGCCCCCTACCTCCCACCACCCGCGTCTCACCTCTTCTTCTTCCTCCTCCTCTTCCTCCTGCCCCCCGCCCACGACCAGGCCACCTGGGCCCCCACCCTCTTCGGGGTCCCGGCTTCGGAAGCTGCTCAGTACGACTCCCCCGGGGGGGCTCGTGTCCAAAAGCAGCCGCAGGGGCCGCGGGAGCATGGCCGAGTGAAGGAATCAGCGGGGTCGGGCCATGGGGGCGCCTGGGGAGAGACGGGGTGGGGTGGGGGTGGAGAGTCAGGCAGGCGCGGGGGAACCGGGCAGGGAAGGGACGTGGGTGGGTGTCAAGAAGACCGGAAGGGAGTTCTGCAGGAAGGTTGGGGGAGGGGGCAACAGAAGGGTGGAATAGGGGGGCCCTTGGTGCTGTTGGGGAAGGAGGAGGTCACGAGTACGGGGACGCGCAGGGTGCTCAGGCTCTGACCTGCTCGGGAGGGGTGGGGGCAGCGTGGGTCCTGAGCCGCTGTTGCCGTCGGTCTCCGGCCCCGGACCGAGTCCCCTCCCCGGCTTTTCCGTACCCCCTTGAACCCCCCCGCCGGGCTCCTGGGCCCTCCCGCCCTTTCCGCTCCCCCCCGCGTCCGCCCGCTCCGAGAGCAGGAGCCAAAAGGGGAAGGAAGTGAGGACAGGAGCCAGGGCCGCGGACTAGGGGAGCGCTGGACGCTCAGGGACCAGGACCCAGGCGCCCGAGTCCCCAGCTCCACTGTCCTCCGCCTCTACACTCGGGGATTCTGGAGACCACGTCGACCCGCAATGAACTGGAATAAAGATTCCAGTCTCCAGCCCCTGGGGGAAGGCAGGAGCAGAATTTGACATTCCCTTCCCCAACAATAACACGGCTAAAACTCCCGCGGGAAGCGTTTCAGGCGGAGAGAGAGCCGGTCACTCCATCCCCACGGGATTACCCTCCCTACCACAACCCACGAATGTAGCTGACCGAAATCCCGGCCGGGTTTTCCGAAGGGCCCTCGATTCCCGCCCCCTCGGCAGGGGGCGGGGCAGGAAGCAGCCACATCCGGTTCCAGATTCGGCTCTCAGAGGCTTCCGGCGCCGAGACCGAGATCCCCGTCGGCTCGGTGTATCCTCGCTGGTGGAGTACCCTCTGCTTGAGCGCATCTCATGCGCCAGTAGTGGCGCCCGCCCCGAACGGTGTCGACGGGGCGTTCTCTGAGCGGTTCAGGGTCACTGGAAGGGACCAGAGGTGATTGGAATATTCATTGAGCTTGGAAAGGGGTTGGAATGAGAGAACCGTTTGGAAGCACTGGAATACAGCTTTATTCCTACACGATTAGACCCGTTACCCCGTGGGTCTGGCCGACCGTCCTGACTCGGAGATCCCTGAGCTGCGCCGCCGCTTCCTTCGTCAACATCCAGCAGCTACTTGATGAGCGCCCTCCAGTGGGCCTTAGGTCCCTATGCCGGCGCGGGGTTACAGCAGTGGACAGACAGGCCGGTCCCTGTCCTCGAGGAGCCCATGATCCGCGGGGAGACAGGCATTTAACGACGACTCACACGATCACTTAAATACAACTGTGGTGAACCGCACAAGAGGGACGCGCGGCGGTCTGCGGGGAATGACGAGGCCGACCTCGTCTGCGACCCAGGGAGGGCAAGGGTGGACCAGGCAAAGGGAACAGAGGACTGGGACCTGGAGGTGGGCGGGAGGCGTTTGGTTCATTGGAGGAAAGGAATAGCCCTGTGTGTGATGAGCATTGAGAGGAGGTCTGGCGAGCACCATCTAGGGCTGAAGAACTAGGCAGTGGCTCCAGCGCGGGGCGGTGGGGGGGACAAGTGAGCCAGGGCAAGAAGAATGGATTTGGCCCTAGAGTACGGGTTCTCCAAATGTAACCTCGGCCCTACAGATCTCTGAGACTATGTCAGGGGGTTTGTGAGATTTTATAACAAAATTAAGATGTTAGTACAATATCGTGTTTCGCCGCCGGGCGCGGTGGCTCACGCCTGTAATCCCAGCACTTTGGGAGGCCGAGGCGGGCAGATCACAAGGTCAGGAGATCGAGACCATCCTGGCTAACACGGTGAAACCCCGTCTCTACTAAAAACACAAAAAGTTAGCCGGGCGTGGTGGCGGGCCCCTGTAGTCCCAGCTACTCGGGAAGCTGAGGCAGGAGAATGGCGTGAACCCGGGAGGCGGAGCGTGCCGTGAGCCGAGATCGTGCCACTGCACTCCAGCCTGGGCAACAGAGCGAGACTCTGTCTCAGAAAAAAAGAAAAAAAGAAAGATTATTTGCAGCCGGGCGCGGTGGCTCACGCGGGTAATCCCAATACTTTGGGAGGCCGAGGCGGGCGGATCACCAGGTTAGGAGATCGAGACCATCCTGGCTAACACGGTGAAACCCCGTCTCTACTAAAAAATACAAAATATTAGCCAGGCATGGTGGAGGACGCCTGTAGTCCGAGCTACTTGGGAGGCTGAGGCAGGAGAATGGCGTGAACCCGAGAGGCGGAGCTTGCAGTGAGCCGAGATCGCGCCACTGCACTCCAGCCTGGGCGACAGAGCGAGACTCAGTCTCAAAAAAAAAAAAAAAAAGTTTTTTGCCTTCTTCATTCTATAAGTGTACAGTGGAGTTTTTCAGAAGCTACATGATATGTATTGACACCATGGTTCCCACGATGAATAGAATGTGTGCCTATGTATTCTCGTGTTTTAAATTTTTCTCACTTTTAAGTTCTAGTACCATAAATATTGATAGCTATAACCCACATACCCAAAAGCTTTTTGGGGTCCTTGATGATTTTTAAGAGGTCCTGAGAGAAAAAAATTTTGAGAACCACTGTCCTAGAGCTCCAAGAAGGTGAATGCCATAAGATGTGTGTTTTTTAAAAAAGCATTTCTCGGGCCTGGTGTGGTGGCTCACGCCTGTAATCCCAGCACTTTGGGAGGCTGAGGTGGGCAGATCACCTGAGGTCAGGAATTCAAGACCAGCCTGGCCAACATGGTGAAACCCCGTCTCTACTAAAAATACAAAAATTCACTGGGTGTGGTGGCATGTGCCTGTAATCCCAGCTACTCCGGAGGCTGAAGCCACAGAATTGCTTGAACCCAGGAGGCGGAGGTTGCAGTAAGCCAAGATCATGCCACTGCACTGCAGCCTGGGCGGAAGAGTGAGACTCCGTCTCAAAAAAAAAAAAAAAAGAAAAATTATCCCTTATATAAGTGAAAGAAAAAAAAAAAAGCATTCCAGCCACTCAGTGGAGAGAGATTGGAGGGATTAGGAGCAGATGATAGGGTATTATTTTAGGGAGCTACTACAGAAGCTTGGGCCAGAGATGATGGTGGCTTCCACAGGATGGCAGTGAGTGCCCTCACTCTGCTTTCTGGAAGAGAGGAAGGTGGTGAGGAATTCAGGATATTAAAAGGCAGTTGAGGTGTACATGGTCAGTTTAGAGACATATAAACTATCATGGGCACAGATGATGGGAGAAGGATGAGGCTAATATTTTCTGCCCTCCAGACACTGTGCTGAGTGCTGTATCTCCTGCATCTTCTTAAGGAGATACACTGTCTTCCTTAATCCTCCTAAAAGTCCTCTCAGGCTCCGCTGTCCAATATGACAGCCACCACCCACATTAGGCTATTGAGCATTTGATATGTGGCTAGTCCGAATTGAGATGTGCTGACTATTTAAAATAAACACCTGTGTTTGAATACTTAAGGTGAGAAAAGGGCTGCAATTTATTTTCTTTTCTTTCTTTTTTTTTTTTTTTTTTGAGACAGGGTCTCACTTTGTCACCCAGGCTGGAGTACAGTGGGACAACCTTAGCTCATTGCAGCCTCACCCTCCCAGATTCAAGCGATCCTTCTGCCACAGCTCCCCAAGTAGCTGGGACTATAGCTGTGTGCCACCATGCCCAGCTAATTTGTTTTGTTTTGTTTTGTTTTGTTTTTTGAGACAGAGCCTCACTCTGTTGCCCAGGCTGGAGTGCAGTGGTGCGATCTCGGCTCACTGCAACCTCCACCTCCCAGGTTCAAGCAATTCTCCTGCCTCAGCCTCCTGAGTAGCTGAGATTACAGGTGTGCACCACCATGCCCGGCTAATTTTTCTGTATTTTTAGTAGAGACGGGGTTTCACCATGTTGGCCAGGCTGGTCTTGAACTCCTGACCTCAGGTGATCCGCCCTCCTCAGCCTCCCAAAGTGCTAGGATTACAGGCGTGAACCAACGCACCTGGCCAAGACTGTAATTTCTTTTTCTTTTTTTTTTTGTTGTTGAGACGAAGTTTTCCTTTTGTCACCCAGGCTGGAGTGCAATGGTGTGATCTCAGCTCACTGCAACCTCTGCCTCCCAGGTTCAAGCGATTCTCCTGCCCCAGTCTCCCGAGTAGCTGGGATTACAGGTGCCGTCACATCTGGCTAATTTTTTGTATTTTTAGTAGAGATGGGGTTTCATCATGTTGGCTAAGCTGGTCTTGAACTCCTGACCTCAGGTGATCCTCCCGCCTCGGCCTCCCGAAGTGCAGGGATTACAGGCATGAGCCATCGCACCCGGCCTGTAATTTCTTATATTGTTTACATGTTGCAATAATATTTTGGATGTACAGGTTGAGCATCGCCGATCCAAAACTCTAAAATCTGAAATGTTCCAAAACCTGAAATTTTTTTAGTGCCAACATGATGCCACAAGTGGAAAATCCCACAGCTGCCCTCATGTGATGGGTCACATATATTATTAAAAATATTGTGGTCGGGTGCAGCGGTTCACACCTGTAATCCCAACGCTTTGGGAGGCCAAGGCAGCGGGCGGATCACCTGAGGTCGGGAGTTCGAGACCAGCCTGACCAACATGGTGAAACCCCGTCTCTACTAAAAATACAAAAATTAGCCAGGCGTGGTGGTGGGTGCCTGTAATCCCAACTACTCGGGAGGCTAAGGCAGGAGAATCGCTTGAACCTGGGAGGTGGAGGTTGCAGTGAGCCGAGATCGCACCATTGCACCCCAGCCTGGGCGACAGAGACTCTGTCTCAAAAAAAAAGAGAAGGAAAAAAATCTTCAGGCCATGTGTATAAGGTGTATAGGAAACATAAATGATTTCTGTGTTTAGATTTGGGTCTGATCCCAAAGATATTAAATATATGCAAATATTCCAAAGTCTGAAAAAATCCAACATCCAAAAACACTTCTGACCCAAGCATTTCAGATAAGGGACCAGAATTATTAGATTAAATAAGGTATATTATTAAGTTAATTTTACCTGTTTCTGCTTATTTTTTTAATGTGAGTACTAGAGTATTTAAATTTACATATGTGGCTTGCATTATCTTTCTATTGGACAGCACTGCCTAAGTAACTTTTTAAAATCCCTACACCCAAGGAAACATATAGATTAAGTAGCATGCTCAAAGAGTCCTACAGTTAGGATATAGTGCCAGGTTTTAACCCAGATCAGTGTGAATTCCAAGCCTAGGTTCTGCCTACCACACCAGCAGCCTCCCTCCATGGGTTTTGAGATAGGATGAGGAGATAAAGTGACAAGGGAAAGATACAGAGAGGTGGAGCACTGTACCTTCTTTGAATCCTTGCAGGTGGACAGGTAGACAGCTGTGGGGAAAGATTGAGAAGGGATGGGATGCTGGAGTGGTAGAGGTGGAGGGCAGAGGGATGGGTGTCAGGCTCTTGGGAGTAGGTGGGGAAAGTCCACCAACCTCAGGTCATGGTCAGGGTAGGGCTGACACTTACCAGCCCAGCCCAGTGCCTTGAAGAGCCCAAGCAGAAGAAAGGCAGACAGGAAAAGGCCTACGCTGTCCTCAAGGGAGGGCCCTGAAAGACCTGGCAGGCAGAAGGGGTGAGAGTGAGCTCCTGTCTTCCTGGGTGCTGGCTCAGATTCCGCAGAGCTCCCAGCTCTTACCTGCTACCTCCAGGGTGACCTCAGCGCTGCGCCCCGAGGCAGGCAGGCTGGGATGGTGAATTCGACAGGCATAGCGTGCCCCATGCTGCTCAGTGGTGACTGGGGGCGGCTGCAAGTGCCCAGAGAGGCTGACAGAGCCATCGGAATGGTGGCGCAGGGCCGAGAGCCACCTCTGCCCCTCGGCCTTCTGAGAGCGGCCCCCTGGGCCACCCCGGAGTTCCCACTCCACCTCCAGGCCCCCAGAAGGGTAGAAGTGGGACACAAGGCAGAGCAATTCCGGGGGTGCCTCCCCTGGGGCGGCCCGTGCAAGGGTTGCTGGCATCAGGGACACTTTGGGGGGTTCTGGGGAAAGAGGACGAAATGAGCATAGGGAAATCAGTCCATACTGTCCTCCCTAAGAGACCCTCAGTTTGCCTGCTGGCTTCCTCAGAACTAAAGAAGGTTAGGTTTCTTCTCCTGAAATAGGGTACCCACTGTCTCTCCATTGGTGCGTCACAGAAATACCCATGTCAAAGCCCCTCAAATTTCCAGGAAACTTCTAGCCTCCCATTACCCCTCTAACTCCCAGGAACCTCTTTCTATCTCTACTTACTTGCCCAGGCACCCTCTTATCCATCATCCCTCCCCCTATTACGGTCACCACAATCCAGTGCCCACCCTCTACCCCTGGAGACCTCTGTCCCCCAACTCACTGTACACAGCAAGCTCCAGGGTGACCTGTCCTTGCAGGTATGGCAGGTGTATGGTGGCCAGATAGGTGCCCTCCTGAAAGGGTTGAACTCTAGGCAGCCAGAAGGTCCCATTTCCGGTCCATGGGCCCCATGGCTCATCATCATCCCAAGCAGCAAATGCCACGGCCCCTTCTTGGGCTGCTGGCATCTGGCCATTCAGCCCAGGAGTTGCAGCCAGGAGCAGATGTCCCTTACCCAGGTGCTGGCGTCGCCACTCTAGCCCAAAGGGAGGGGGACCCGGAGCCAGAGATGAGGCGGCCTCGGAGGTGGGGGGCATGTAGGCAAAGCTCAAGTCCAGCAGAGCATCTTGTCCCAGTCTCACTCGAGGGGCAGGGGTGTGGGTGAGGACAGTCAGTACCACTGAGGAAGACAGGGAGATGAGGGGTTGGGAGGGGCATGAGGGAGAGAAAGAAGGAGAAAAAAATAGAGAAATGCAGTTATTGGGGAGGGCTAAACTGCAGTTTACCCACCCCTCAGAGGACACCTTTTCTGATACTCACCATTTCCTAGCCCTCCCTGCAAACTCCTTTTGCTCTGCGACTGGGTGGCACCTAGTGTGGCTGAGGGTGAGCAGAGAGGTCTAGGGGTGGTGAGTAGGGGCAATGAGGGGGTATGGCCTTTGAAGCCTACTCTGAACACATAGCACACTCTAGCTCGGGGGACTGCAGAATCCGAGGCCACTTCTGACACAACCTGAACCACTCTATCTCCAAGCACCACCCTTGAGGAACCAGGCCTTTCTTGATTACAGGCGAAGACAATGATTGAGCCATGACTGTCAGTCTTGTGGTGCTGTACAGAATATTTACTGACTCTAGAAGGTTCCAGCTCTAGCCTAGACCTGAGCACAGACCTCTATGCTCTACTGAAGCAGTACAGTGCAGTGGCTAAGTGCCTGGAGCCTGGCTGACCGGGTTCAAATCCCCTCTGCAGCTTATTTATATGGCCTTGGGCCACTTCCTTTTTCCATGGCTCAGCTTCCTAATCTCTAAAATTAAAAGTTGATGATAATAATAGTACCTACTTCATGAGGTTGTTGTGATGGTTAAATCATTAATACCTCTTGCTACTCAAGTCTATTCAGTTCCCAATTTTAGATAACAGAGACACCTACCCATGAAGGGTGCTTACAACACTGTCTGGAACACAGTAAGTCTACACGTGTTTGCTATAGTTACACCTAACTTAGCATACCCCAAGTCAACAGCATCTCTGCAACATTCCCCACCCTGCTCCAATGCCCATCTTCCCTGTCTTTGATGAATGATCACCAAGCCCGCCAGACACTAAAAGCAAACCCTTGGAGTTACTCAGACTCATTTATTCATTCAGCAACTATTGAGCACTGAAGATGTTCAAGGTATCCTGGTAGAAGACAGAATGGTGAACAAGACAAGCAGTCCCTGCTCTCAAATTGCCTATAGTCCAATGACAGACAAGCAAATTGTCAAAAATAATGTGCTATGTGCTATCCCCACCAGGACCTAACAGATCTCACATCTGTTTCCAATTTAGGTTCTCATCAATGTACGTTTAGACAATTACAACAGCCCTCCTGTCTGGTCTCCCTATTCTCAGTCTCTCCTTCAACTCCTTCTTCACACTGTAGCCAAACAAAGTGACTACAAGTCTGATCCCATCACCTACCTGTTTAAAAATCCCAAATATGGGCCAGACGCAGTGGTTCATGCCTATAATCCCAGCACTTTGGGAGGCCGAGGCGGGTGGATCACCTGAGTTCGGGAGTTTGAAACCAGCCTGACCAACATGGTGAAACCCCGTCTCTACTAAAAATACAAAATTAGCCTGGTGTGGTGGCACATGCCTGTAATCCCAGCTACTCGGGAGACCGAGGCAGTAGAATTGCTTGAACCCGGGAAGCAGAGGTTGCGGTGAGCCGAGATTGTGCCATTGCACTCCAGCCTGGGCAATAAGAGGGAAACCCCGTTTCAAAAAAAAAAAAAAAAATCCCAAATACGGCCAGGCGTGGTGGCTCACACCTGTAATCCCAACACTTTGGTAGCCTGAGGCGGGTGGATTACCTGAGGTCAGGAGTTCAAGACCAGCCTGGCCAACATGGCAAAACCCTGTCTCTACTAAAAATACAAAAATTAGCCAGGTGTGGGGGCAGGCACCTGTAGTCCTAGCTACTTGGGAGGCTGAGGCAGAAGAATCACTTGAACCTGGGAGGTAGAGGTTGCCGTAAGCCGAAATCATGCCACTACACTCCAGCCTGGGCAACAGAGTGAGACTCCGTCTCAAAACTAAATAAATAAATAAAATAAAAATCCCAAATACCTAGGAAGTCAGCTGATAAAGGCATAGGCTGAAGCTATATGGCCTGGGTTCAATTTCTAGCCCTGCTTCTTTTTTTTTTTTTTTTTTTTTTGAGATAGAGTTTTGCTCGTCACCTAGGCTAGAGTATAGTGGTGTGATCTTGGCTCACTGCAACCTCTGCCTCCCAGGTTCAAGTGAGTCTCCTGCCTCAGCCTCCTGAGTAGCTGGGATTACAGGCGTCCACAACCGTGCCCAGCTAATTTTTGTATTTTTGGTAGAGATGGGGTTTCACCATGTTGCCCAGGCTGGTCTTGAACTCCCGACCTCAGGTGATCCGCCTGCTTTGGTCTCCCAAAGTGCTGGGATTACAGGCATGAGCCACCACGCCTGGCCTCTAGCTCTGCTTCTTACACACTGTGTGTCCTTGGGCAAATTATTTAACTGGTTTGTGTCCTATATTTATCCATATGCAATACAGGGATAATATTAAAACCTACAACCTATGGTTGTTGAGAGGAATAAGTGAGATTATGCATATAAAGTGCTTAGAACAGGGCCTGGCATATAGAAAATACTTGATAAATGTTAGCTGTTACTATTTTCATTACCTTCATCACTATCATGGACTTGCTGGTTAACTTGGAAAAATCATTTAACCTGTATTTTCCTCACTAGTCCAAAGATCTGACCTTTGCCTATCTTTTAAAAGAATCAAGTAAAATAACAGGCTTTTTCCGGGCATGGTGGCTAACACATGTAATCCCAGCACTTTGGGAGGCTGAGGCGGGTGGATTACCTGAGGTCAGGAGTTCGAGAGCAGCCTGGCCAACATGGTGAAACCCCATCTCTACTAAAAATACAAAAAAAAAAAAATTAGCGGGGCGTGGTTGTGGGTGCCTGTGATCCCATCAACTTGGGAGGCTGAGGCAGGAGAATTGCTTGAACCCAGGAGGCAGAGGTTGCAGTGAGCCAAGATCACCCCATTGCACTCCAGCATGGGTGACAAGAGTGAAACTCCGTCTCAAAAAATAAATATGTACATAATAAAAACAGGCTTTTTAGAATAACACGCCCTCCAAAAGAACTTCTGATGGTTCGCTCTCACCTACAGAACAAAGCCCAGCTTTCAAGGTATTTGAACATTCAGCCCCTAACCCACCCTTCCAGGCTTCTCCTGCACCCTACAAACCAGCCACATAGAACCCCTTTCTTGTGCCTAGTAGAAGTGGTCATCATTGGTCATCTCTTTGCTTTGGTCATGAGGTCCCTTCAGTTTACATTGTCTTTCCCATTTTCTCCCAAACATCTATCAAGCTTGTCCAACCTCCAGCCCAGGGACCACATGCAGCCAAGGACGGCTTGGAATACAGCCCAACACAAATTCATAAACTTTCTTAAAACATTATGAGATTTTTTCACATTTTTTTTTTTTAGCTTATCAGCCATCGTTAGTGTTCGTATATTTTATGCATGGCCCAAGACAATTCTTCTCCCAGTGTGGCTCAGGGAAGCCAAAAGATTGGAGACCCCTGATCTAAATACTCCATGTACATGAAGGTCACTTTCACTGCTGTTTCTTCCCAGAAATGTCTAGGTCCTTCAGGTAGAAGTAATCTTTTTCTTCTTGTAATTATTTTTATGTTCTTTTTAATCCTAGCTTCTGAGGCCTATAAGGTTAAACTGTTCTCATCTTCATGGAATTGTTCAGTAGAGTAAAAACAGTATGCAATTTCACTTAGTTTGTCAAAATCCAGAAACATACTTTTGAATTGTTAAAAAAAAAAAAAAGATCCACAGGCTGGGCACAGTGGCTCACGCCTGTAATCCCAGCACTTTGGGAGGCCGAGGCCGGTGGATCACCTGAGGTTGGGAGTTTGAGACCAGACTGGAGAAACCCCGTCTCTACTAAAAATACAGAATTATCCGGGCATGGTGGCACACGCCTGTAATCACAGCTGCTTGGGAAGCTGAGGCAGGAGAATCACTTGAACCTGGGAGGCGGAGGTTGTGGTGAGCCGAGATCATGCCATTGCCCTCCAGACTGGGCAACAAGAGCAAAACTTGATCTCAAAAAAAAAAAATCCATAGAATTAATAAACAAAACCTGGCTGGGCAGGGTGGCTCAGACTTGTAATCCCAGTACCTTGGGAGGCTGAGGTGGGAGGATCACTTGAACCCAGCAGTTTGAGACCAGCCTGGGCAACATAGCAAGACCCCATCTCTATTTAAAAGAAAAAATTTAAAAAAATAATAAACAAGACCTAAAGGTTTTACAGTTTAACTCTTTTTTTTTTTTTTTTTTTTTTTTTGGAGACAGGGTCTCACTCTGTCACCCATCAAAGGTGCAATCCTCCCAACACAGCCTCCCGAGTAGCTGGGACCATAGGTACATGCCACGACACCCAACCTTTTTTTTTTTTTTTTTTTTTTGAGACAGTTTCACGCTTGTTGCCCAGGCTGGAGTGCAGTGGCATGATCTTGGCTCACTGCAACCTCCGCCTCCCAGGTTCAAGCAATTCTCTTGCCTCAGCCTTCCGAGTAGCTGGGATTACAGGCATGCACCACCATGCCTGGCTAATTTTGTATTTTTAGTACAGACGGGGTTTCTCCATGTTGGTCAGGCTGGTCTTGAACTTTCGACCTCAGGTGATCTGCCCACCTCGGCCTCCCAAAGTGCTGGGATTACAGGCATGAGCCACTGCGCCCAGCATTTTTTTAATTTTTAGTAGAGACAAGGTCTGGTTATGTTGCCCAGGCTGGTCTTGAACTCCTGAGTGCAAATGATCCTCCCACCTAGACCTCCCAAAGTGCTGGAAGTACAGGCGTGAGTCACCTCACCTGACTCCATAATATTTTAAAAGAATGGTGAGAATTAAACACTATACACACAAAGTATATTAAGAAAGTATAGGCCTGGCGTGGTGGCTCACGCCTGTAATCCCAGCAATTTGGGAGGCTGAGGTGGGTGGATCACCTGAGGTCAGGAGTTCAAGACCAGCCTGGCTAACATGACCAAACCCTGTCTCCACTAAAAATACAAAAATTAGCTGGGCCTGGTGGTGGGCGCCTGTAGTCTCAGCTACTTGGGAGGCTGAGACAGGAGAATTACTTGAACTCAGGAGGCAGAAGTTGAAATGAGCAGAGATCACACCATTGCACTCCAGCCTGGGCAACAGGGTGAGACTCTGTCTCAAAAAAAAAAAAAAAAAAAAAAAGTATATTTGGGGCCAGGCAGCTCACACGTGTAATCCCAGCAGTTTCGGAGGCCAAGGTGGGCAGATCAATTGAGCCCAGGAGTCCAAGACCAGCCTGGGCAACCTGACAAAAACCCATCTCCACAAAAAAAATACAAAAATTAGCTGGGCATGGTGGCACATGCCTGTGGTCTCAGCTACTCAGGAGACTGAGGCACGAGGATCACTTGAGCCACGGAGGTGGAGGTTGCAGTGAGCTGAGATCATGCCACTGCTCTCCAGCCTGCACTGCACTCCAGCCTGGGCGACAGAGGGAGACCCTGTCTCAAATAAATAAATAAATAAGCATATTTGTCAATAAACATTTAAAAATATTTGATAAGACAAGTATAAATGTATATTAGCAAAATCATGAATGATCTTGGACCCTGGAGAGATTTCATTTCTAATTTTACATCAGTACAACAGCTTTCATTTTCTTAAATCCCTGATCAAGCAGAAATGCTTGAAAAGAAAGAGCACAGCAGGCCAGGCGTGGTGGCTCATGCCTGTAATCCCAGCACTTTGGAAGGCCAAGGTGGGTGGATCACCTTAGGTCAGGAGTTCAAGACCATCCTGGCCAACATGGTGAAACCTGTCTCCAATAAAAATACAAAAATTAGGTGGGCGTGGTGGCACAAGCCTGTAATCCCAGCTACTGGGGAGGCTAAGGCACAAGAATTGCTTGAACATGGGAGACGGAGGTTGCAGTGAGCCAAGATCATGCCACTGCAACTGCACTCTAGCCTGGGCAATAAGAGGGAGACTCCGTCTCAAAAATAAATAAATAAATAAATAGCAGGCAGGCGCAGTGGCTCACGCTTGTAATCCCAGCACTTCGGGAGGCGAGGTGGGAGGATCACCTGAAGTTGGGAGTTCGAGACCAGCCTTACCAACATGGAGAAACCTCATCTCTACTAAAAATACAAAATTAGCTGGGTGTGGTGGCAGGCACCTGTAATCCCAGCTACTCGGGAGGCTGAGGCAGGAGAATTGCTTGAACCAGGGAGGCGGAGGTTCCGGTGAGCGTGAGATCACGCCATTGCACTCCAGCCTGGGCAACAAGAGCAAAACTCTGTCTCAAAAATAAATAAATAAATAAAATAAAAATAAATAAATAGCACAGCACCTTGCTTTGACCCCAGTTGTTTGTGAAATACAGACAATCTTACCACCCGGGCACTTCCAGGGCTCCCTGTCTGCATGTCCTTCACTTTCTACTTTACATTAGGATTATCCGTGGCAAATACGCCCAGAACCTCCTGGAGAGCAGAGTCTACATCAGATCATCTTTGTGACCCTTAAGGGCACCCAGGGCCACCCCAGAGATTCTGATTTAATCGGCCAAGCTAAGCATGGGATTGAATCAGGTTTCAGTATATTTTAGAAACCTCCAACAGTGTGGACTGAGAACTGCTGAGTCCTAACTCATTCTTGGTGCTAAAAAGTATTTATTGAATCAATGGATAAATTAACACAGTGCCATCTCTTGATAGTCACAACAAGAAAAGCAGCTGGGAAATAGTATCCACATTTTACAGTTGGAAAAACAAACTCAGAAAGCAAAGACCATTCTCATCATCACCTCGGTGGAGCCAGTAGCCCTAGGAAATATTCCACCCCACCAGAGAGAGCTACTGTCTACACAAGAGCAGTGTTCCTCAGCTTCTGCCAGGGTGGGGGCTTGAGACTAAGAATGGAGGTATAGGCAGAGGTGAGGGTTTCAGCGTGGGTTTCAAGTCTGTCTCCCTGGTTCTGTGGGTAATTCTCAGGAGGGTGGAGGGAAGGGAGGGTGCAGGGATTGGTTGGGGTTGCCCTGTCCATCGGGCTGTGTCGCTGACATAAAATCCAGATAGAAAAGCTAAGAACTCTACCGGTATTCTACCCCGGAATACCCCGCCTCCGCTGCCAGGAGGGAGAGCTCCCAGATATCCAGGTCAGACTCTCCTCATTCTTGAATTATCTGCACAGTCCCTCCCACGTCTCAGCCTAGAAAAGCTTCTGACTCCTGGGCCTCAAACTGCAATGCACCTTTCAGTGCAATAGGAGCTATCCAATCTCCAGCCGCGTCCATCCGCCCACTCGAGCCCACCTGTTTGCGGACCACAGAGCGGCAGCACATCCCTACACGGGGCTGTCAGGCAAGGTCAACGCGCTAGAGTGCAAGAGCCTTTGCTTTGAGGATTGCCGCAGCGCCGGGTGTGGGCGCAGGTGGGGATAGAGTGCTGGGTTTTGAAAGAGTGACCCGCAAAGCTGAGGGTGCAGAGCAAGACACAGATCTGGGAAGAGCAGAGAAAAAACGCTGCTGCTTCTGAACCCCTCCCACCTCGCATCACCTGACAAGTCTCTCAAGGTCTGGTGTCGGGAAACCCCACCTCTTCAAAGCCCCGCCCTTCGAAACACCAGAAAGTAACCCCCCTGCCCGGCCCTGCTTTCCCCCTACCCCCTGCCAAGCTGCAGTTTTTTTTTTGTTTTTTTTTTTAACTGGGTGAGGGCTAGAAGGAGCGGTAGAGATTGATTCATTCTAGCCAAACCACCTCTCTTAACAAAAAAAGGAAACTGAACCCCGATTGGCGAAATGTCTTGCTCAAGTCCATAAAGCGAGACCACCGGCTGATCTGGACCCTTAGAATCTACCCACCCTTCTCCACCTCCCCTCCCCAGCTACCTGTTGCCATGGTGATGAGAACAGGCTCCTGCTGAGGCTCTGGCTGTGGTCGCAAGAGGCTGGAGAGGCTGAGGACTGGGCTGGATATGCTGACCATCAGCCAAGCCCCATCCAGGGCCCGCGGGCAGTTCTGCGCGGGGGTCAGGCCGCTGGCCCATTTCGCAGAGGCGGGGAGAGGCACGAAGCGGCTCATCTCGCAGTGTGGTGCGGGGGCGCCCCGGGGATACCGCCTGAAGGCAGCCTGGAGGGCGCCCGCGGGGTCTGAGTGTAGAGAAGGAAGTTGCAGCTGTAGAGTCACCGCCGGGAAAGGGGCTGGAAGGGCAGCGTTCGGGGAACTTCAAATGCACAGACTACCCCGTAGTGAGACTCACTTTACAAAGGGGAAGCTGAGGCCTGAGGTCACTGCCGGATCTAAAGAGGAGGGGGTTTCGGTGGAGGCGACAGAGGTAGGGGGGCGGCGAGTCCCTAGAGACTCACCGTGTACACTGAGATAGAGCTCAGGGTCGAGGTCCGGCCGGGGCGGCGGTTCCCCCGGTCCCTGGCGCAACAGCAGTGCACCGGGTCTCTTGGCCAGGCCCTTTCCGCTCGCATCCTCCACGAACCAACACTCGATCACCGCGGGTCCTGCTGAGACGGCGGTCGCCAGGCCTGGCGTATAGGGACGCGAGTGAGGAGCGGTTTGTATGTCTGGTGACCTGCCCCACTCCCACCCTGGCATCGGCTCCAGTGGGGCCACCTCCCTCCGCTTCCCTCTAGTTCTTGGGCGATGAGTCGCGGGGTTCGCTCACCCAAAGCCACAGCGAGGAGCAGAGACAGGGACTTCATGGCGCTGCGACCTCCTCAGCCATTTAGCCTCCTCTTCCTCCTTTCACTTTCACTTTCCTCCAAAGGGCGGCATGAGGGGCGGTGGAAATCCCCGCTCTGGTTAGGTGAAGGTGCCTGGGGGACCGGTGTTTCCCCACTGGCCAGGCAGGGACCCGGGTAGATCCTCTCCAGTTCTCACCAGGATACCCCAGCCTTACCGCGCCCTCCTGGACTACCCAGCAGCCCCGAGTTCGAGCCCTCCCCAACCCCAGGCCCTCCCCCGCCCCCCAACTCCTGTGTGTGCTCTCCAACATCCACTTGCCCGAAAACCATTACTCCGGCTTCCCCCTATCTGTGCCGCGTCCCCAGCAAACACACGGGTTGTCGGGAAGCCAAGTAAATGACCAATAAATATTTTAATCACTGTTAAAAAAAATAAAAACCTTGTACTCCTACGACTTACTCCCTCCTTGTCTCC
The DNA here is from genome assembly GCF_000001405.40 of Homo sapiens. NCBI lineage: Eukaryota > Metazoa > Chordata > Mammalia > Primates > Hominidae > Homo > Homo sapiens. The sequence continues at coordinate 4,725,982 of NT_113891.3, forward strand.
ACCCACTCCTCCATGAGAACCGAGTTGGGAATTTCCACGGGAAGTCGGGGGTGGCGGGGAGAGACAGGGTAGAAATAAAGAGCGCATCCTTGAGAGGGGGTAGGTTCTAGGACAAGGGTGGGGCTCAAAGGCCTTGTCTCCACGACAACACAAACACAGACTTCAGGCACAGACTACAACCACCTGACCCCTGACCCTGTGACTGCAGGATGTTCAACACGCCCCCTCTCCCTCCCTCCATGTGCAATCTACTCTGTGGAGCAGGGGCTTCAGTGTACCCATCAGAGGGAAAGGAAGGGTTTAGTTCTGGAAATACCTTGGGGGGGAGGGGTTGAGTAGTAGAATGGGCGGGTGATGGTGAAACTGTGGTTCCCCTTCCAGAATATATACAAGTCCACAGAGATAAAGGAAGACAGTAAGTGTGGTGGGAGATCACCCGGGGGCCACAGCGCCCTTGCATCGTGCTCCTTATTCCCTTTCCCGAAAGCTACCCCACCCCAGTAGCCTGCCCCTTCAGTTTGCTCCTCCACCTCCACCGAAGCCCATCTCCACCTTGTGGACTCTGGGTGGGGACCAGACACGTCTGCTGGACGGGGGCGTGGCCGCACTCGCTTCGTCGCCGCTGCCCCCGCCCACTCCGGGAGACTCTCTCTTGGACGGCAAGGATGGCCCCGTGGGAGTCCCAGGCCCAGGTACGGCCCCGACCCCGCCCAGGCGGTGCCGGCGCTCACAGTGTCCTCGGTGGCGCATGAAGCTGTCTCGCCACATGAACTTCTTGGCGCAGACTCCGCACTCGTAGGGCTTGAGACCTGTGTGCGTCTTCATGTGCTCAGTCAGATGGTGCTTCATCTTGAACTTTTTGTTGCACACGGGGCAGTCAAACGGCCGCAGATTGAGGTGCATGTTCACGTGCCGGTCCCGCATGCTCTTGTGGGAGAAGGCCTTCCCACAATGGCACAGAAAGATCTTATTCCCGTCCCCACTGCCAGTCCCTCCAGGGACCCCACCAACGCTACCCGGCACACCCAGGCTCCCCACCGACGTGCCCCCCACGGTCACTGCCCCGTGTTCTGCTTGGTTCCCTGGTGGTTGGCCAGGAGCCTGTGAGGATGAGGATGAAGACGACGACGGGAAGACCAGGATCTGGTTGCCCTGCATGTCCAAGGGAAGGAGCGGTCGAGGAGGGTGGGAGGGGGCATAGGAAGAGGGAGTTGGCCCCCCTGAGTCATCAAGACCTGCCACAGGACCCCCACCCTCATATGGGCCAAAGTCATTGGAGGACTCACAGAAGTTGACCTGCTCCTCCCCCTTGTCTGGGGGCTCACTCAGGGTACGGACATCACTTATGCTGAGGGTAGCCTCAGGCCCTCCCCCCACTGGAACCCTGGAGCTACCCCCTAGTTCTTCATCTTCATCATCCTCACAGGTCAACACCAGATCTTCCTCCTCCTCTTCCTCCTCCAGATCTGGGTCTTGGGGAACCAGGGGTGCTGGCGCTGGGCAATTACCACCTCGCTTCACGTATACCCAGTGTTTCTGTGGCATGATGCTAGGGGGTGTGTAGGTGGGTCTCCGGAGCCCAGCCCCAGGAACCACTGCCCCCCTCCCATCCCCACCATCATCGCACAGCTCATCTGCCTCCAGCAGCAGCTTTCCAGATGTGGCCCCTCCACTGCCAACGACAGGGGCTGGGAATACAGGGCCACCTCCTCGACGCTCCCCACTGCCCACTGCAGAAGCTGCAAATGCCTCTTGGGAGGAAGATGAGAAATCAGTGGACTCCCTGGGGCTGAAGTAGTTGCTGCTGCTGGGAGATTGATTCTCACTGGCCCGGCTGGAGGCATGGGAGCGCGCAGAGCCCATGGTAGCAGGGGCCACAGTGCCCCCACTCCCGGATGGCACCCCAGCACCAGGGACAGTGACAGAGGTGGCTGCAGCAGTAGTGATGGTGGTGGTAGCTGAGGCCCGGCCTTCTCGGAGTAGTTCAGTGCACTTGTCCACAATGTGCCACATTTGGAGCACAGACCCCACTGTAAGGAAGTTGACAATGTCAGCAGCAGCCATGCTGAGGCGGCCAGTGTAAGCGGAGGCTAGGACAGTCTCAAAGGCGCCTGGGTCCATGACACTGGGCAGCGAGATGGAGGTCATGCCTTTGAGTAGGACCTGATCATGGAAGTAAGGGGAGGAGGCAGCCAGGACAGCCCGATGAGCCCGGAACTCCCGGCCCTGCACTCTGATAGATACATCGCAGAGCTGGCCCTGCAGACGCTGCTGATTGAGGGACTCCAAGAGGGCACTGGTCACCTCAGGGAAGGACACATGTACCACTGCAGCTGCTGGCAGGGGTAGTGGGGGCGGAGCCAGCGACAGCGGCAGGGGAAGTGCTGCCCCACTGGGAGACAGAGGAGATGGCTCCATGTTGTGGAGGGAGGGGATACCCCCCCAGCCACAGGAACAAAGAAAGGAGGAGGGCGGCCGGGGGGGTCTCTGGGAAGAAAAAGAGAAAAGAATAATGATAACATCTCATAACGACACAGCCCGTTACAACTCAAAAATATGTTCACGCTCATTATCTGTGTAACTCCCCACAACAGTGAGGTAGGTATTCCTCTCAACCCCATTTGACAGATGAGGAAACTAAAGCTCAGAAAGATTAAGAGATTATCCAAGGTCACACAGCAAGTGGCAGCGCCAGCAAACACAGGTATCTGACAAATCTTGTGCCCTTTCCTTGGAGGTTAGAGAAATAAGGTGCTCTTAGGGGCTGGAGTGGCTTCCTTCGGAATTATACCCTATTTCCGACTTACCTGAGAGCCTGACATTCCAAAATCTACCTTTTTGGTGTTTTGCACCCACTTTTTGGGAGGGGGCAGGGCAGCTCTGCTACTGAAAACCAACGCTTGCTCCATCTCCCCTCAGGCTATGCCCCCCAAGCTCTCTCGCCGACCACGCCCCCTTTCGCCCCAGCTTCTCTAGCCCCGCCCCTTTCCAGGCCCACCCCCCCCCCGTGCCCCGCCCACTATCGGGCCTTTCGACCCCGCCCCTTGTCTACCTCCGCCCACAACGGACCCCGCCCCCCCCCGCTCCGCCCCAAGCGCTACCTCGGCCTCTTCTCCCACCCGGAAGGCGCCCCCCAACCTCGCGCGTCCCCGCTTACCGGGCCGCGCGCCCCCGGGCCCCCCCCGCCCCTCACTCGGCGGCCAGAGCAGCAACCTGGGCCCCTCCCGCCGCCATCTTGCGCCGACTCCCTCCGCCCTCCGCCTCCGCTCCGCCTCCCGCCCCTCCGCCTTTAAAGGCACAGCCGGGCACCCCGCCCGTGCCGCTGGGCAATACTCGGCCGACTCGGCCACTTTGCCTTTAAAGAAACATCGCCACATTCCACCTTAAAAGATCAGGTCCCCTCCTCCGCTGGGAGCTCAGGACTTGGTTCGGCCGAAGCATTTATTCCCCTTTAAAGCTATAAGCCTGCCTTTTCCCATTGGCGATGGGTCCAGGTATCGTTCCCCAGGCTCCGCCTCTGAGCTGTGACCATTAGCTGGTTGGTGGGATCTAATCGCCCTCTTCCTAGCTCCTTACAGTCCCACTGAAGCCCCGCCCCCTTTCTCCGGGCCTGGATTGGCTAAATAACCTTGAGTCGGCCCCTCATTGGCTTTCTCACTCCTACTGCACGAAGTGAAAAAGTAAAGTGCGTTAAGGCGGCTGAAGCACTTAAAAAAAAAAAAAAGTACTGCCTGAACAACGTGGCGAAACCCCGTCTCTACAAAAAATACAAACAACAAAAACAAAAATTAGCCAGGCATGGTGGCACGCGCCTGTAGTCCCGGCTACTCGGGAGGCTGAGGCATTATCGCTTGAGACTGGGAGGTCCAGGCTGCAGTGAGCTGTGATCTCACCACTGCACCCTGGCCTGGGCGACACAGCGAGACAAAAAAAAAAAAAAAAAAAAAAGGCCAGGCTAGAAAGGACAGAGCGGGACTACCCCGGGGATACTGGGCTAACCCTGAGCAAGGGGACAGCTAATGCCAATCTGTAACAGTAGAAGGACAAGAAAAAGACAGTGATACAGTAAGAAAAGAACTTTATTGTTTATTAATGTTTCTGTGTAAAACTTAAGCTTTTTTTTTTTTTTTTAAAGAAACACCACCAAAAGGGGATTAGCTTAGTCCATCCCTTCCTCAGTCATCTGCTTCCCACCTTCCTCCAAATGTTATCCCAGAACATTCTGGAGGCAGGGAGAAGGGGAGGCAGCTAATCAGAGTCTGAGAGCACGATGATCTCTTCTGGATCGCATTGTGTGGCCACACTTGTCTGCAGGGAAGTGAGAGACAAAGAGTCAAAGAGATCTGGAGTACAGGAGAAAAGAAACAGGAGGATTTAGAGGATAAAATGGGTGGGAAAAAGGAAGAGACAGGATGTGGCACGTGGAATATTCAGACAGAGCAGCTGAAACAGCCAATGAAAGAGAACAAATTGTCAGAGGAAACACGCCCTCCCCTTCTTACCTTGCAAGTACCAGGCCGAGGAGGCTGTGAATGGGGGGTTTGGGACAGCCGGGCTGGAGAAGGGATGCAGAGGGAGCTGGTCACCAGGCCATGGCTGGGAGAGTCCACCCTCGTGGAGGAATCAGCAACTGGGGCCAAGGAAGCCAAGGGGGAAGGTGGGCTGGGCAGGGTACATATCTTTTTCCCATTCTTCTCATGCACTGACCTTTGCCTTTCCACATAGCTAGAAACAGAAACATAAATATGTGGAGGGGTACGGGAAGACTGAGGCTGGAGGGGGGCAGTCCAGTCTCTCCCAGCAGACTCAGTTCCCCAGTATTGCTCTCCGAAAGTCCCCTGCAATCCCTCCTTGGCTTCCCTCTTCCTCCTCCTCTTGTTATTACCTGTTTCCTAATGGCCCTGATCCTGTTTGCTTCTTCTCCTTCCGAGATTTTTTGCAGGGGGGACCAGAATCTCCCCAGTTGTGAGGAGAGACGCCTCCATTGAAGGAAGTAGAAGAGACCATGCCTGCTCCATTCTCTAAGACAGTGGTGAAGGGCTCCTCTGATTGCTTCCTGGAAGAGGAAATGTCCGTCTCCACAGAGGAAGGGGTATCCAGGGGCAAAGCTTCAATCTCTAGCTCAAAGAGCTGAGACACAGGGCTTTCTTCCTCCAGGGTCAGCTCCTCAGGCTGTTCTCCATTGCTTTCAGCATCTATGCTGGAGGGGGCCAGGGGTTCTTCTGACAGTAACGATGGTGACACTATGCGTCCTTTGTTTTGCTGCTCCCCTGAAGATCTGCTGATCTGTTTGCCAGGTTCCAGGTTCTTTTCATTGGAGATCTGTAGTGAGGACATGGGGCTCTTGTCTCCATCTTTACCTGGAAAAGAAGAAAAGGGGAGAGGGTAGCCTGAGAATGAGGGGGAAAAAATACTGCTGAGAGGACACTAGGAGGAGGAAGGGAAAGGTTTCAAACAGGTGGCTCATGCCTAACAAAACAGAAATGACAGGTGAGGAGAATGTTCCCTTGACATACCTGCTGCTGCTTCTTCCTCTTCGTCCTCCTCTTCATCATCCTCCTGACCCTCCTGCATCTGTTCCAGATCCTCCTCCTCTTCAGAATCTGTGGCCTCCTCCTCTTCTTCTTCCTCCTCCTCCTCCTCTTCCTCATCACTCTCCTCATCGTCTTCGTCATCTGTCTCAGCTCTGGAGGCAGAAGGGCACCCCTGGGATGCCATTCCACTAGGGCCCTGGGAGACAAAGAAGTTTCTCTAAGGAATCCCTTGCCCCAGAGGGTTTGGTTCTTGCTTTCCTTCTCATGCTACCCCATCAGTCAACCTGGACTCCCTGGTGGCCAGTGCAGGGGAAGGACAATGTCTCTCTGAAGGCTGTACCCCATCCACACCTCACCAGAATCCAAGGAGGCTTCGGGGGTGTCTGCAGAGTGGGAAGAGGTGCCTTGGAGCCGAGCTCTTCTCTTTTTTCTCTCGCCCTCCTCACTTTTGTCTTGCAACATTGCGTATTTGGAGATGACCTCATCCAGCCGACTCATGGCCAAACTCCGGTTTTCCCGAAGGCGCCGGGCCAACACAGGATCTGATAGTGCAGGGTCAACGCCTACGTGGGAAGACATAAAGTCAGAGCACTCAGCCCTTGAAGGGACTAGAAGAGTAAAAACCCTAGAAAGGACTAGAGAGATGCCCCATCCGCCTCATACCTGACATATAAGGGTCACTGAGAGGCATCCCACCAACCCCCTACCTGGCCTATAGTCATCTGTGAGGTGGCAGCCAAAGTTGTAGATGAGATCGAGGTGACGTCGCTCCTGTAACCTGATGCCCACATCTCGGAAGGCATCCTGAGCCATGAGCTGGAGCTGCTGTCGGGGGAGGCCAAGGCTGTGTCGGGCAGCTGCCTTCTCTACAGCCCGAAGCACATCCCCATAGTCAGGGAAGGTATCAGGCCCTGGCTTGTTGATGAGCCGCTCAATGCGCCTGTTAACCTCTGGGTAGCGGGTGCCACGGTAGGGGATGCGCTGCTCTATGACACGGCCGGTCAGTGAAGAGCAGTCTTTCAGCTCACATAGTCGCCCAAAGAGGCGGATCAGCTTACGCTTCAACCGTGCCTCCTGCAGGTATGCGGAGTCTGGGTCATCCAATTCTGAGAGATCCAACTCCTTTTCCTGCAGCCGCCGGATCTCTGCCACATAGAGCGCCAGCAGCTGCTCCAAACGCTGGATCTGCCGCCGGGAACCACGGGTCCTTGGAGACTGAGAGGCAGTGTTTTCAGCATTTGTGGGGTCCAAGGAGAGGTGTGTGGGAGGGTTATTCCCAGAGGGCTCATTGGAGGTGGTGGCGGCAGGGGCCAAGTTCAGCTTCTTTTTGGCTGAGTGGGCCTTGAGAACAGTGCAGAGCTCATTGATGTAGACATAGAGCTTGGCTGGCCGGCTCCGGGCCCGAGACAGGACCCTAGAGAGGATGTTGCAGAACTCCGCCGAGGCCAAAAACAGAGAGTGGGCACGTTGCTGCCGGTTATAGAGGAATGGGACCACCTCAGGGTGGTCTGCTGTCTGCATCTTACAAAGTTCAAGGAACTAGAAGGTTCAGGGGAAGAAGGAAGGGGAAGAGAGACAAGGGAGGGGGTTGAGAGAAAGGGGAGGTGGGGTTAGTGGGAAAGAAAGGACAGGAGAACCAGTCAGCCATCCCCCTCCCTGGGGTACAACAATCTTCCCCGCTAAAGCTCACCTCTTCGAACAGCTTCTCATTCTCCAGCTTGTAGCATTTCTTGCCGCCCGAACTACTGCTTCCTCTGGCCCCATGAGGCTCAGAGGAGCTAGGGGCTTCTGCCCCAGGTGAGGCCGCATTGGGGAGTGGGTGGGAGGGCCCTGGCTGAGCAGCTGCTTCATCTTCGTCATCATCATCCAGCACGATGATGCTGTTAGCGGTGGCCATAGGGGATCAAATCCCCCGGAGGGAGGAAGTGGTGGGGATTTCAGAATTCCTGCTGGAAGGGGATGGGGCCTCAGAATGAGCCCCTCCAGCATAGCCCCATCCCTTCACCTCACACATTTTCTGAACTCCTTGGGTTTCAGTAACATCCAGCCCTGACCAACACTGTCTTCACCACCTGATTTCAATAACCATTAGTTCTATATGCTTTTTGGGGCCCTTCAAGTGGTGTGGGGGGGGGGGGCAAACCACCCCCACACCTTAAGTTGCCACCTTCTGCTCCACCCCTCACGTCGATTTCCGGTCTTTCTGTTGCATTTCCCCCCTATTTCTTAGAGTTGGCAAGTTGATTCTTCCTCCCACACTGCACCCCAAATCGTCCTGACACCCCCTTGCACAGACAACACACTCCTGTGGGCGCCACCTCATGTGTTTGCCCCCTCTGCTCTCAAACAAGTCAACCCCACACCCACCCTATCCTGAATGATCACCCCAACTCCTAGACTCTCTGAGGTGAAAGAGGTTCCCTCCCAACAGTCCGTTCTCTTTTCTCCTCCTTGAATTATCTCCATATTTCACCCTCCGATGAGTCTCCTCAAACTGGGGCTTTAGGTTGAAGATATTTTACCCAAGTCCCCTCCCTTTCACCCCACCCTAATTTTCCCCATTCTCTCGGTGACCCGTAACTGATCAAAAGTCCCCCCACACCGCGCTACGCTCTCGCGATTCCTCTTAGATCCCAACCGTGGGTCCGGCCGGTCCGCTAGATGCGCTTCCCGCCAAATCCCCCTCCCCCAGTTCAGCCCCCGGCCGCTCCACTCCCTTTCAGGGACAGGAAGGTACCACAGCATTCCCCTCAGACTCAGCGCCCAGCTCTCCCCAATACCTCTCCCTCTATATCCCCGCCCCCGCCTCTGATCCCCGCACCGTCCGGCCCCCACCTCAGAAACCGTCTCTCGAGGCGACCCTCGCCGCAATTCTCAGAACCTCGCATGGTTCCCTCCGCCTTCCTTCCCACTCCCACCGCAGGCCCCACTACGGACCGGAAGTCACAGAGTTTCCGCCTTCATGCAACTAAGCGCCGCCATATTGTCGTACGGAACACAGGCTTCCTGTGGCCGGAGGTGGCAGTAGGCCCGCCCCGCGAACACCTCCAGTGCGGCCCACATAGTCAACGGTCTCTTCCAGGTCGGAGTTTGTCTCCCCGAACCCAGGCGTCCCAAAGCAGCTGGGGGCCGCCATTTTGCCGTACGGCACTGGCTACGCCCGGACTCCGGTGCGCAGCCAGTGGAGCTCTTTTCACCCGGTGCTTCTACGACTCCGCCAATCAGAAACTTCCTGCCTGGGGCCCAACCGCCGGAGAGTAGCGCGTAGGGAGGACCGAGCCTCGTTTCCAAGGAGGGGCAGGGGAACCGAACAGGGTGGATTAGGAATTGGGCTTTCCAAAGCTGTGCAGAGTTTCAGGGAAGGGCAGAAGTCTCTTAAAAGGGAAGTAAAACCTTTTCTTTCAGTTGGGCTATTGGCAAGCTATCTGGCCCTGCTTTCCTGTCCCCCAGGTTCCCATTTCCACGGCTTATTCGGCTGACCCAGCCCCTTCCCCTGCAAGGGCGGCGCGCTCCTTGCCGCTGTCCAGCAGCTGTTTCTACTGCCAGGTGCTGCGTCCCGCGATCGTTATAACACATGCGTACAAATGAGCACAACGCGCCATAAAAGTGTTATTGTTATTACTATTGTTGCTGATTTGCTTTTCAAGCTTCACCACAGAACTAATGACCAGCCAGACCGTTGGGACCTGAATGGTTCTTCTCCAGAGGGGGTCCTCGAAGGGCCGTCTGTGCTGACCAGGTGGCCGTGCTTTGTCGTGGGAGGCCTAGGGTCTGCGGATGGGCGATGATGGGGTGGGGCTTGGAGGAGAGTTTGTGCAAATTGCCGCTGCGAGGGCTGCTGTGAGGCGAAATGAGGCTCATAAAATACTTTGGGTCTCCTCCTCCTCCTCTTCGGGGAGAGGGGAAAAAAGAATGAAGGATGAAGAAACAGATTTGATACCCACCTCGTTGTGTTTAGGGAGGCTGGAGGGACTCGTGGAGGCAAGGCTGGGTCCAGAGGTGAGCTTATGAGGAAACCAGAAAGATTAACAGGGTCCCAATCGCTAAGATTCCCATTTCCACAAGTGGTGGGCATCTTGCCACTTAACTAGGGTCACAGAGCTTATTAGATCCCTAACGCTGAGTCCTAGAATCGCAAACACCCGTCCGTTGAACAATCCCACATCACTTCTCTCCAGTCGTCAAAGTCTACAGCTTTCAAAATGGGGAACATAAAAACTCTCCGCGAGGACTGGGACTTGGAAGATGTAAGGGATTTAATTTCAAGAACCTCAACTTTCCCAAAATTGGTCTTCCTAAGGAAACACCTGCAGTACAGGTTCTCATTCTTCACTTCTCCTTTTACAATAGAGTCACCCTCTTAAGAAAAAAAAAAAAAGAATAGTTCTCTTTTTTCCCCTCCCCCCTCAAAAGTATAGTTCTCAACCATGAAATCTCCTGGGGGTAATCTTACCTGTTTAAAATAAAGGGAAATGTACCCTGTTTCTTTCACCAAGGCACCATGAATACCACCTTTTCTTTTTTTTTTTTTTTTTTTCCTTTCTTTTGTCTTTTTTTTTTTTAAATGCAGGGTCGGCCGGGCGCGATGGTTCACGCCTGTAATCCCAGCACTTTGGGGGTCCGAGGTGGGCGTATCATGGGGTCAAGAGATCGAGACCATCCTGGCCAACATGGTGAAACCCCGTCTCTACTAAAAATACAAAAAAATTAGCTGGGCGTGGTGGCAGGCGCCTGTAGTTCCAGCTACTCAGGAGGCTGAGGCAGGAGAACCGCTCGAATCCGGGAGGCGGAGGTTGCAGTAAGCCGAGATCGCGTCATTGCACTCCAGCCTGGGCGACAGAGCGAGATTATCTCAAAAAAAAAAAAAAAAAAAAAAAAAAAAAAAAAAAGGAAAAAAAAAGGGTCTTGTTCTATCACCCAGGCTGGAATGCGGTGGTACGGTCATAGCTCACTGTAACCTCAAATTCCTGGGCTCAAGCCATCCTCCCACCTCAAGTAGCTAGGACTACAGGCGCACACCACCTCACCTGGCTAATTTTTTTAAAAAAAGTTTTTTGTGGAGGCTGGGCGCGGTGGCTCATGCCTGTGATCCCAGAACTTTGGGAGGCCGAGGCGGGCGGATCACCTGAGGTCAGAAGTTTGAGACCAGCCTGGCCAACATGGTGAAACCCCGTCTCTACTAAAAACACAAAAATTATCTGGGCTTGGTGGCACGCGCCTGTAGTCCCAGCTACTCGGGAGGCTGAGGCAGGAGAATCGCTTGAACCCGGGAGGCGGAGGTCGCAGTGAGCTGAGATCAGCCACTGCACTCCAGCCTGGCGACAGAGCAAGACTCTGTCTCAAAAAAAAAAAAAAAAAAAAGGTTTTTTATAGCGACAGGGTCTTACTGTGTTGCCCAGATGGATCTTGAGCTCCTTGCCTCAAGCAATCTTCCCACCTCAGCGTCTCAAAGTGCTGGGATTATGGGCGTGAACCGCCACTCCCAGACTACTATCTTATTAAATATTTCTTTTTAACAGTTATAAAAATGTTTACGATCGGCCAGGCACGGTGGCTCACGCCTGTAATCCCAGCACTTTGGGAGGCCGAGGCAGGAGGATCACGAGGGCAGGAAATCGAGACCACCCTGGCTAACACGGTGAAACCCTGTCTCTACTAAAAATACCAAAAAAAAAAAAAAAAAAAATTAGCTGGGCGTGGTGGTGGGCGCCTTGTAGACCCAGCTACTCCGGAGGCTGAGGCAGGAGAATGGCGTGAACCCGGGAGGCGGAGCTTGCAGTGAGCCGAGATCGCGCCACTGCCCTCCAGCCTGGGCGACAGAGCGAGACTCCGTCTTAAAAAAAAAAAAAAAAGTGTACGATCACATGTTTATAAGAACATTCTGTTCTTATAATAATTGTAACAGTAACTCCTCCAGAATAATTTTTAACAACTAGAGTCTTACAATCACAAGAAAGATATTTTTCATCTCAATTAATATACATGTATATGCAGGAAGATGTAAAAGATTGGTCAATAAAGGACTTTCAAGTATAAAAGCATAAAGTTTGTGGGGAAGTGGAGTAGTAGTAGGAGCTCAAGGAAAAAAGAGGTGATGAAAGAAAAAAGGAATGATTCCCAACTGGTAAGAACTAATTTATACTTTTTTTTTTTTTTTGAGATGGAGTCTTGCTCTGTCGCCCAGGCTGGAGTTCAATGGCACAATCTCTGCTTACTGCAACCTCCCACTCCCGGGTTTAAGCGATTCTCCTGCCTCAACCTCCTGAGCAGCTGGGATTACAGGCACACAACACCATGCCCAGCTAATTTTTTGTATTTTTTGTATTTTTTTTTTTTTAGTGGATATGGGTTTTTGGCATGTTGGCCAGGCTGGTCTCAAACTCCTGACCTCGTGATCCACCCAACTCAGCCTCCCAAAGTGCTGGGATTACAGGCGTGAAGCACCGTGCCCGGCCATCACTATGATATTTCAATTCCACTGGACAATAAATGGTGATCTAATTGTTTTATTTTAAAATGTGGGGCCAGGCATGGTGACTCATGCCTGTAATCCTACCACTTTGGGAGGCCGAGGCGGGCAGATCACTTGAGGTCAGGAGTTCGAGACCAGCCTGACCAACATGAGGAAACCTCGTCTCTACTAGAGATACAAAAAATAGCCAGGCGTGGTCGTGGGCGCCTGTAATCCCAGCTATTTGGGAGCTGAGGCAGGGGAATCCCTTGAATTTGGGAGGCAAAAGTTGCAGTGAGCCAAGATCACGCCACTGCACTCCAGCCTGGGCGATAGAGCAAGACTCTGTCTCAAAAAATAAAAAAATAGGCCGGGCGTGGTGGCTCAAACCTGTAATCCCAGCACTTTGGGAGGCCGAGGCAGGCAGATCACCTGAGGTCAGGAGTTCGAGACCAGCCTGCCCAACATGATGAAACCCCGTCTCTACTAAAATTACAAAAAAATTAGCTGGGTGTAGTGGCGGGCGCCTGTAGTCCCAGCTATTTGGGAGGCTGAGGCAGGAGAATCGCTTGAACCCGGGAGGCAGAGGTTGCCGGAAGCCAAGATCGCACCACTACACTCCAGCATGGGCAACACAGAGAGACTGTGTCTCAAAAAAATAAATAAATAGGCCAGGTGCAGTGGCTCATGCTGTAATTCCAGCACTTTGGGAGGCCGAGGCAGGCAGATCACGAAGTCTAGGAGTTCGAGACCAGCCTGGCCAATATGGTGACACCCCCGTCTCTACTAAAAATACAAAAATTAGCTGGGCGTGGTGGCTCGCGCCTTTAGTCCCAGCTACTTGGGAAGCTGAGGCAGAAGAATCGCTTGAACCCAGGAGGCGGAGATTTCAGTGAGCCAAGATGGTGCCACTGCACTCCAGCCTGGGTGACAGAGCAAGACTCTGTCTCAAAAAATAAATAAATAAAATAAAATGTGGCCAGCTGTGGCTCACCGCCTATAATCCTAGCACTTTGGGAAGTTGAGGTGGGTGGATTGCTTGATCTCAGGATTACAGACCAGCCTAGGCAACATAGTGAGACCTCATCTCAATAAATCAATAAATAGGCTGGGCGCAGTGGCTCATGCCTGTAATCCCAGCACTTTGGGAGGCTGAGGTGGGCGGATCACTTGAGGTCAGGAGTTCCAGACCAGCCTTGCCAACATGATGAAACCTTGTCTCTACTAAAAATACAAAAATTAGCTGGGCACGGTGGCACACACCTGTAGTCCCAGCTATTTGGGGGCCTGAGGCAGGAGAATCGCTAGAATCTGGGAAGTGGAGGCAGGCTGCAGTGAGCAGAGATCACTGCCACTGCACTCCAGCCTGGGCAACAGGAGACTCTGTCACAAAAAAAAAAAAAAAAAAAAAAGAGTTCAAGACCAGCGTGGCCAACATGGTGAAATCCCCATCTCTACTAAAAATATAAAAATTAGGGGTGCTGGTGCACACCTGTGGTCCCAGCTACTCAGGAGGCTGTGGCAGGAGAATTGCTTGAACCCCAGAGGCAGAGGTTGCAGTGAGCCGAGATTGCACCACTGCACTGCAGCCTGGGCGACAGAGCAAGACTCCATCTCAAAAAAAAAATAAAAATTAAAAAATAAATAAAATGTGAATATTTTCAATATGCCAGAATTACATCCTTGAAACAATTTTTATTTATTTATTTTTATTTTTATTTATTTATTTATTTATTTTTGGAAGGAGTCTCGCTCTGTCACCCAGGCCGGAGTGCAATGGTGCGATCTCGGCTCACTGCAACTGCCTCCCGGGTTCAAGCAATTCTCCTGCCTCAGCCTCTGAGTAGCTGAGGCAGAGAATCAGGTGCCCACCAACTTTCCCGGCTAATTTTTGTATTTTTAGTAGACATGGGGTTTCACCATATTTGCCAGACTGGTCTTGAACTCCTGACTTTAGGTGATCCCCCTGCCTTGGCCTCCCAAAGTTCTGGGATTACAGGCATGAGCCACTGTGCCCGGCCACAATTTTAATTTATGATGAAAATTTTTAGATACCTACTTAAAGATATATGAAGGAGTATATACTTCTTCAAAATTATTTCCCTGAGTATAGGTGCAGAATTTAAGACTGCTGCCCTGGCCGGGCGCAGTGGCTCACACCTGTAATCCCAGCGCTTTGGGAGGCCAAGGCAGGCAGATACCTGAGGTCGGAGTTGGAGACCTGCCTGACTAACATGGAGAAACCTTGTCTCTACTAAAAATACAAAATTAGCAGGGGGCGGTGGCGCATGCCTGTAATCCCAGCTACTCAGGAGGCTGAGGCAGGAGAATCCCTTGAACCCTGGAGGCAGAGGTTGCAGTGAGCCAAGATTGTGCCATTGCACTCCAGCCTAGGTAACAAGAGCAAAACTCCATCTCAAAAAAAAAAGACTGCTGCCCTAAGCTATCCAAGCATCTCCTCCATAGCCCCCAACACTCCCATTTCCCTCCTGTCTCCCCTCTCACCTCCTTGGTGGGGAAAGAAGATGTTTATAGGAAAGGTGGTCACAATTCCAGCTCCTCCTCCTTCTGAGGTGTCCCCAGGAGCCAGTCCCCTAACTTTGCCCATAGTAGTAACCACAGCAGCTTATAAGCAGCCTCCAGCATCAGCAGTGTCAGGAAGAGGGCCAGGAAGATAAAGAAAGCCTTGTCCAAGGCACGTCGCACGGGACCCCTGGGAGGGGAGGGACCCTGGGCAAATGCCAGGAACACATCCGCCTCGTCCACATCACCTTCCTCTGCCATCCTGACTCACAGTCAGACAGCTGGCTGGATCAGGGGGCTGGGATGCAAGGCCTTGCTCAGCACTGCCAGGATTAAGGAGCATGGCTGTGGCAAGTCCTGCACCTGCCAGTCCTGACCTTAATTCCCACACCTAAGAGAAAAGAGAAAGGACCCTATGAGCCTTCAGATCAATTATTTAAACATCCAGTGTGATGTGAAAGGTCTGGACTAAATGATCCATGAACTCTATTCAGCTTTTTCATAGTATAATTCTGTGATTTGGAAACTGAAGGCCCAACATGAAGGCATAAGCTAGAACTGCCTGTCACTCTGGGTCTCAAGTCTCAAAGACTCAAGGCTCAAAATCTTGGGCCCCAACTGATAGAGAGTGAGGAAATGGACCTACCATGCATCTGTGAGCCATGGTCAGTCAAGGATCTAAAGCCCCTTCTGGCTGGATGGTAGGGGGTGAGATGGTCTATCCTAACCAAGGCGGGTAGGAACAAGCAGAGGGGACTTGAGTTCTCACAGGAGTAGTTCTCCCCACTGGGTCTGCAGGCAGCTAAGTTTGAGATGGTATAACCCAGAACACTCTCTTCCTAACTTTTGGTCTCTGCAGTACCAAGGGAGGATTATCATTGACTGCATGAGCCCAAGGGGAGGCTTATAAAAAGACAAAGACCGTGATGGATCAGCAGGGCAAGGGTATGTGATTGGGACTTGGCTGTTGGGTTGGGGTTATTTTACTTTACTTTACTTATTTATTTACAGACGGAGTCTCGCTCTGTCTCCCAGGCTGGAGTGCAGTGGCACGATTTCGGCTCACTGCAACCTCTGTCTCCTGGGTTCAAGAAATTCTCCTTCCTCAACCTCCCAAGTAGCTGGGACTACAGGCATGTGCCACCATGTCCGGCTAATTTTTTTGTATTTTTAGTAGAGACGGGGTTTCACCATGTTGGTCAAGCTGGTCTGGAACTCCTGACCTCAAATGATCCACCCACCTTGGCCTCCCAAAGTGCTGAGATTACAGGTGTGAGCCACTGCACCCAGCCAGGGTAATTTTAAAGAAGAGTGAAGTTTTGCCATCGATGGTCCAGGTCTCAGAGGCTACCAGTGGAGGATGTGGTTGAGGAGGTTGTAGGAGCAAGGACTGAAGACCTTTTCTTTTCTTTCTTTTTTTTTTTTTTTTTGACTGATTGAAGACCTTTTCTTAGGCCAGGCGTGGTGGCTCACGCCTGTAATTCCAGCACTTTGGGAGCCCGAGGCGGATGGATCAATTGAGGTCAGGAGATCAAGACCAGCCTGGCCAACATGGTGAAACCCTGTTTCTACCTAAAATACAAAAATTATCCGGGAGTGGTGGCGCATGCCTGTAATCCCAGCTACTCGGGAAGCTGATGCAGGAGAATCTCTTGAAACTGGGAGGCGGAGGTTGCCATGAGCTAAGATCATGCCGCTGCAACTGCACTCCAACCTGGGTGACAGAGTGAGACTCCGTCTCAAAAAAATAAAAATAAAAAAAGAAGATGTTTTATTGACCCTGTTCCCCAGGCATTGGCCTGAAGGTTGGGTAATGAAATTGAAGCCCATCTGGAAACAAGGGATTCGCCCAAGTGAGGCTGAGGGAGGGGAGGGGGAACGGTGGAGGAAGCAGTGTGTGTAGTAGTGAACCTTATACTGGGAACCTTTGGAGCCTCCTACCTAAACTATTTCATTTTCATTTTCACCTCAATAGGAAGATCTTGTTCCTTTTTTTTTTTTTTTAACCGGATCTTTTTTTTTTTTTGAGATGGAGTCTCGCCCTGTCCCCCGGGCTGGGGTGCAATGGCACGATCTCGGCTCACTGCAACCTCCGCCTCCCGGGTTCAAACCATTCTCCTGCCTCAGCCTCCCAAGTCGCTGGAATTACAGGTACGTGCCACCACGCCTGGCTAATTTTTTGTACCTTTAGTAGAGACGGGGTTTCACAGTGTAGGCCAGGCTGGTCTCGAACTCCTGACCTCGTGATCCACCCACCTCAGCCTCCCAAAGTGCTGGGATTACAGGCATAAGCCACCGCACCCGGGCTACAGGATCTTGCTCTGTCACCCAGGCTGGAGTGTAGTGGCTCAAACGTGGCCCACTGCAGCCTTGATCTCCCCAGCTCAAGCAATCCTCCCATCTTAGCCTCCTGAGTAGTTGGGACCACAGGTGTGTGTCACCACGCCTGGCTCATTTTTGAATTTTGTAGAGACAGGGTCTTTCTATGTTACCCAGGCTGGTTTTTAACTCCTGAGCTTATTAAACAATCCTTCCACCTCAGCCTCCCATCATTCTGGAATTACAAGCATAAGCCACCATGCCTAAGAATACCTTCTTTACTTGGGAAGTCAGGTCACCCCCCAAAAGAGCAGAAATGATGTTATAATGTTGTTTTGAGGGCTGGGCGCGGTGGCTCACGCCTGTAATCCCAGCACTTTGGGAGGCCGAGGTGGGCGGATCACAAGGTCAGGAGATTGAGGCCATCCTGGCAAACACGGTGAAACCCCGTCTCTACTAAAAATACAAAAAATTAGGCCAGGCGCGGTGGCTCACGCCTGTAATCCCAGCACTTTGGGAGGCCGAGGCGGACAGATCACGAGGTCAGGAGATCGAGACCATCCTGGCTAACACGGTGAAACCCCGTCTCTACTAAAAATACAAAAAATTAGCCAGGTGTGATGGCGGGTGCCTGTAGTCCCAGCCACTTGGGAGGCTGAGGCAGGAGAATCACTTGAACCCGGGAGGCAGAGTTTGCAGTGAGCCAAGATCATGCCACTGCACTCCAGATTGGGCGATACAGTGAGACTCCGTCTCAAAAAAAAAAAAAAAATACAAAAAATTAGCCGGCTGTGGTGGCGGGAGCCTGTAGTCCTAACTACTCGGGAGGCTGAGGCAGGAGAATGGCATGAACCCCAGAGGCGGAGCTTGCAGTGAGCCGAGATTGCTCCACTGCACTCCAGCCTGGGCGACAGAGCGAGACTCTGTCTCAAAAAAAAAATGTTGTTTCAAGTCATGCCGCATTGTCTTTTGCTGCAGCTGCAAAGGAGTCTCGAAAAAGTGAAAAAACCCTGGACTAGAATTTAAACTGATCACTTAGTTGTGTGAAGCTGTGGACAAGTCACATGACCTTTCTTTAGTGTTTTGTTTTGTAATAAAATCAGAAAAAGCTCTTGCCTCCCAGAATTATTCTGAGAGATAAATGAAATAAAGGTTTTTTGATGTTGTTGGTTTTTTGTAAATTATAAAGCACTATGTAAATGTAACATATTAATCTGATACCCTCACTTACATCCCAGGCAAGTGTGCAATAAGGCCACACAAACACCTTTATTGTCTCTTTACATGGTAGGTTCAGCACCAACATCTTGTGTAATAAATAAACCTAGCATCTTGTTGGAATTTTTTTAATTTTGAAATAATTTTCAGCTTACAGAAAAATTTAAGAACAGTTCCAAGAACTTTGGCATGTACCTCTTTCACTCAGATTTTCCATTTGTCAACACTTGGCTGTATTTGTTCCATCTCGCTCTCAACCCCAGTATAACCATGTGTTACAGGTTGAATTGTGTCTCCTAAAAATTCATATGTTGTGCAGCCATAAAAATGAATAAGGGCTGGGCTGGGCGCAGTGTCTCATGCCTGTAATCCCAGCACTTTGGGAGACCGAGGCGGGCAGATCACAAGTTCAAGAGATCGAGACCATCCTGGTTAACACACTGAAAGCCCATCTCTACTAAAAATACAAAAAACTAGCCGGGTGTGGTGGTGGGCGCCTGTAGTCCTAGCTACTCAGGAGGCTGAGGCAGGGGAGTGGCTTGAACCCGGGAGGCGGAGGTTGTGGAGAGCTGAGATCGCACCACTGCACTCCAGTCTGGCAACAGAGTGAGTTGTTGCCAAAAAAAAAAAGAAAAAAGAACAAGATCAGGCCAGGCACGGTGGCTTATGCCTGTAATCCCAGAACTTTGAGAGGCCAAGGTGGGCAGATCACAAGGTCAGGAGTTTGAGACTAGCCTGGCCAACATGGCAAAAACCCATATCTACTAAAAATACAAAAATTAGCTGGGCATGGTGGCAGGCCCCTATAATTCCAGCTAGTGACATGGGAGGCTGAGGCAGGAGAATCACTTGAACCCAGGGGGCCGAGGTTGCAGTAAGCTGTGATCTCACCATTGCACTCCAGCCCCAGTGACAGTACGAGACTCCTCTCAAAAAAAAAAAAAAAAAAAAAAAGGTGAAGAATTCATTTGTTCGCATGTTCTCACTTACAAGTGATGATGAGAATACACGGACACACGGTGGGAAACAACACAACTGGGTCCTGTCTGGGGGAGTGGGGGAAGGAAGGGCACCAGGAAGAATAGCTAATGGATGCTGGGCTTAATACCTGGGTGATGGGATGATCTGTGCAGCAAATCACCATTGCACACGTTTACCTATGTAACAAACCTACACATCGCACACATGTACCCCTGAACTTAAAATAAAAGTCGAAGGAAAAAAATAAAATTTATATAATGAAGTCCTAACTCCCAGTTCCTCAGAATGTAACCTTATTTGGAAATAAGGTTGTTGCATATGTAATTGGTTCAATGAGGTCATACTGGAGTTGAGTGGGCCTCTCACCCCCTTTATTAGAAAGGAAGTTTGGACATAGGCTTGCGGATAGAGAGAATGACATGTGACCATGAAGGCAGAGATCAGGTTGATATGTCAAAGATTGCCAGCAGGCCAGGCACCATGGCTTATGCCTGTAATCCCAGCACTTTGGGAGGCCAACACAGGTGGATCACCTGAGGTCAGGAGTTCGAGACCAGCCTGGCCAACATAGTGAAATCCCATCTCTACTAAAAATACAAAAAATTGGCCGAGCACAATGGCTCACGCCTGTAATCCCAGCACTTTGGGAGGCTGAGGCGGGCAGATCACGAGGTCAGGAGTTCAAGACCAGCCTGGTCAACATGGTGAAACCCTGCCTCTACTAAAAATACAAAAATTGGCAGGGCATGGTCATGGGCACCTGTAATTCCAGCTATTCTGGAGGCAGGAGAATTGCTTGAACCTGGAGGCGGAGGTTGCAGTGAGCTGAGATCGTGTCACTGCACTCCAGCCTGGGCGACAGAGCGAGACTCTGTTTCAGAAAAAAAAAAAAAAAAATACAAAATGTTAGCCGGGCGTGGTCGTGGGTGCCTGTAATCCCAGCTACTCAATCGGGAGGCTGAGGCAGGAAAATTGCTTGAACCTGGGAGGCAGAGGTTGCACTGAGCCGAGATCTTGCCATTGCACTCCAGCCTGGGTGACAGAGCAAGATTCCGTCTCAAAACACACACACACACACACACACACACACACACACACACACAAAAGACTGCCAGCAAACCACCGGAAACTAGTAGAAAGGCCTGGAACAGATTCTCCCTTACACCCCTCAGAAAGAACCAACCCTGCCTACACCTTGATCTCAGACTTCCAGCCTCCAGAACTGTAAGGCAATACATTTCTGCTGTTTAAGTCTCCCAGTTTGTGATACTTTGTTATGGCAGCCCTAGCAAACTAAAACACCATTCTAATCAGGAAATCAATATCACTCTTCAATTCATAGATCCCATTCAGATTTCACCAGCTGTCCCAGTAATGACCGCCTCTTCTTTTTTAAATTATCTTTTTTTTTTTTTTTTTTTTTGGAGACAGGTCTGTCACCCAGGCTGGAGTGCAGTGGTGCGATCTCGGTGCACTACAACCTCCACCTTCCGGGTTCAAACAATTCTCCTGCCTCAGCCTCCCAAGTAGCTGGGACTATAGGCACACGCCGCCACAGCCAGCTAATTTTTTGTATTTTAGCAGAGACGGGGTTTCACCATGTTGTTCAGGCTGGTCTTGAACTCCTGAGCTCAGGCAATCCACCCGCCTAGGCCTCCCAAAGTGCAATTATCTTTTCTTTTAACAGCTGTTTTTTTCTTTTTCTTTTTTTTTTTTTTGAGATGAGGTCTCACTCTGTTGCCCAGGCCAAAGTGCAGTGGTGCTATCAAGAGCTCACTGCAGCCTCAAACTCCTGGGCTCAAGTGATCCTCCCACCTGAGCCTTCCAAAGTGCTGGGACTACAGATGCGTGCCACCATACTTGGCCTATCTGTCCTTTCTAGTCCAGGATCACATACTGCATTTGACTGTCACATATCTATCTGTAGTCTCCTTCAATCTGGGAAGTTCTCAGTCTTTCCTTGTCTCTCATGAATTTGACAGTTTTGAAGAGGTCTTTCATTTCTTTCTTTTTTTTCTTTTCTTTTCTTTTTTTTTTTAAACAGGTTCTTGCTCTGTCGCCCAGGCTAGAGTGCAGTAGCAGGATCATAGCTCACTGCAGCCTCAAATTCCTCGGCTCAAGCAATCCTCCCACCTCAGCATTCTGAGTAGCTGCGGCTACAGGTGTGTGCCAGCACATCCGGGGAATTTAAACATTATTTGTAGGCTGGGCACAGTGGCTCATGCCTGTAATCCCAGCACTTTGGGATGCCGAGGCAGGCAGATCACAAGGTCAGGAGTTTGAGACCAGCCTGGCCAGCGTGGTGAAACCCCATCTCTACTAAAACTCCAAAAAATTAGCCAGGCATGGTGGCACATGCCTGTAATCCCAGCTAGCTACACAGGAGGCTGAGGCAGGAGAATTGCGTGAAACCGGGAGGCAGAGGTCACAGTGAGCCGAGATTGTGCCAATATGCTCCACCCTGGGAGTCAGAGCAAAACTCCATCACAAGAAAAAAAAAAAAAAAGACAGGACTTTCTACTTGCTAGCCTCTCTATTGCTGGCTTTGATGATGTAAGATGCCATATTGGAGAAACCCACATGGCAAGAAACTAGGTGTGGTCTCCAAACACTAACCAACAGGGAACTGAGACCCTCAGTCAAAAAACCCTTTAGAAACTGAATCCTGCAAACAGCTATGTGAGTGAGCTTAGAAGCAAAACCTTCCCCAGTTAAGCTTTATTTTTATTTTTATTTTTATTTTTTTTGAGACAGAGTCTTGCTCCGTCACCCAGGCTAGAGTGCAATGTGCTATCTCGCCTCATTGCAACCTCCACCTCCCAGGTTCAATCGATTCTCCTGCCTCAGCCTCCCAAGTAGCTGGGATTACAGGTGCCCGCCACAACACCCAGCTAATTTCTGTATTTTTAGTAGAAACCGGGTTTCACCAGGTGGGCCAGGCTGGTCTGGAACTCCTGACCTCAGGTGATGCACCTGCCTCAGCCTTCCAAAGTGCTGGGATTACATGCATGAGCCACTGAGCCCGGCCCTGAGCTTTCAGATGAGATCACAGGCAACTCATAGACTGCAGTCTTATGAGAGCCTCCGAAGCAGAGGATCCAGCTAAGCTGTTCCCAGATTTCTCCCCCACAGAAGCCATCAGATAACAGTGTGTTGTTTTGAGCCACCGGGTTTTGGGGTAATTTGTTACACAGCAATAGATAACTCATACACTGTGCTAGAATTGAGCACCAGATCTTCAGTAACAGATACACCCATATATTCCTTCCAAATTTATTCTTTTAACATTTATGATATGTGGGGCCTTCTGAAATGTGGGGCTCCAGGCAGGATCTCCTCTTGCTTGGATATAAGAGCAGCACTAGAATTAGTCTATCAGTCTTCACATTTTCTTGCTTGCATGCTCCTTAAAAACATTTTGGAAAATTATGTGCCATTTTGTATATATTTTTATTTGGCATCTAATTTTTTTCCTTGTTGATTTAAATAACTGCAAAGAGTATAACAAATCGGCTTGGTGCAATGGCTCACACCTGTAATCCCAGTACTTTGGGAGGCCGAGGCAGGTGGATAACGAGGTCAGGAGTTCAAGACCAGCCTGGCTAACATAGTGAAACCCTGTCTGTACTAAAAATACAAAAATTAGCTGGGCATGGTGGCGTATGCCTGTAATCCCAGCTACTCGGGAGGCTGAAGCACAAGAATTGCTTGAACCTGGGAGGCGGTGGTTGCAGTGAGCCGATATCATACCACTGCATTCCAGCCTGGGCAACAGAGCGAGACTCCATCTCAGAAAAAAAAAAAGAGTGTAACAGATCTTGTGTCTTATATAAATATTGACATTGTAAAATAAAACTGTCAACTGGGCACGGTGGCTCACGCCTGTAATTCTAGCACTTTGGGAGGCCGAGGCAGGCGGATCACGAGGTCAAGGGATCGAGACCAGCCTGGCCAACATGGTGAAACCCCATCTCTACTAAAAATACAAAAATTAGCTGGGCGTGGTGGCACGCGCCTGTAGTCCCAGCTAATGAGGAGGCTGAGGCAGGAGAATAGCTTGAACCCAGGAGGAGGAGGTTGCAGTGAGCTAAGATCACACCACTGCACTCCAGCCTGGCTGACAGAGCCAAACTCCATCTCAAAAAAACAAAAACAGGCTGGGTGCGGTGGCTCACGCTTGTAATCACAGCACTATGGGAGGCCGAGACAGGCGGATCACGAGGTCAGGAGATCGAGACAATCCTGACTAACACGGTGAAACCCCGTCTCTACTAAAAATACAAAAAAATTAGCCGGGCATAGTGGCGGGCGCCTGTAGTCCCAGCTACTCGGGAGGCTGAGGCAGAATGGCGTGAACCTGGGAGGCGGAGCTTGCAGTGAGCCAAGATCGCGCCACTGCACTCCAGCCTGGGCAACAGAGCCAGGCTCCATCTCAAAAAAACAAACAAAACAAAAACAACAAAAAAAACAAAAAACTGTCTGGCTGGGTGCAGTGGCTCACGCCTGTAATCCTAGCACTTTGGGAGGCTGAGGTGAGTGGATCACCTGAGGTCAGGAGTTCAGACCAATCTGGCCAACATAGTGAAACCTTGTCTCTACCAAAAATACAAAAATTAGCCAGGCATGGTGGCACATGCCTGTAATCCCAGCTACTCCCGGGTTCAAGCAATTCTTGTGCCTCAGCCTCCCAAGTAGATGGGATTACAGGTGTGCACCACCACACACCTGGCTAATATTTTTGTATTTTTAGTAGAGATGGGGTTTCACCATGTTGGCTAGGCTGGTCTGGAACTCCTGACCTCAGGTAATCTGCTCGCCTCAGCCTCCCAAAATGCTGGGATTACAGGCATGAGCCACCACACCTGGCCACAAAATAAATAAGGAAATAAATAAATATATATATGTAAAATATATATATGTAATATATGTAAAATATATATGTTATATATGTAAATATATATATATATACACACATATAGTTTGTTTGTTTTTGAGATGGAGTTTTGCTCTTGTTGCCCAGGCTGGAGTGCAATGGCACGATCTTGGCTCACTGCAACCTCCGCCTCCCGGGTTCAAGCGATTCTCCTGCCTCAGCCTCCTGAGTAGCTGGGAATACAGGCATGCACCACCACGCCTGGATAATTTTTTATTTTTAGTAGAGATTGGGTTTCTCCATATTGGTCAGGCTGGTCTCGAACTCCTGACCTCAGGTGATCCACCCACCTCGGCCTCCCAAAGTGCTGAGATTATAGGTGTGAGCCACTGCACCCAGCCCGCTCTGTCTTAAATATGAGTGCCCAGTTAAGGAACACCAGATATTTGAGGAAGACTTCAGACATGAGCAAAAACCCAAAATTAAAAGTAAAAACGACACAGCATTGTGCTCTTCGCCTTCCCTCATCGTCTGGCGCAGGGCAGCCCACTTCTGGTGTTTGGCGCTGGAATTAAACAACCACCATGTGGAGCAAAAAGGCAAGACCAAGACCACCAAAAAGCGCCCTCAGCGCACAACATCCAACGTGTTTGCCATGTTTGACCAGTCACAGATTCAGGAGTTCAAAGAGGCCTTCAACATGATTGATCAGAACAGAGATGGTTTCATCAACAAAGAAGATTTGCATGATATGCTTGTTTCCCTAGGGAAGAATCCCACCGATGCATACCTTGATGCCATAATGAATGAGGCACCAGGGCCCATCGATTTCACCATGTTCCTCACCATATTTGGTGAGAAGTTAAATGGCACAGATCCTGAAGATGTCATTGGAAATGCTTTTGCTTGCTTTGATGAAGAAGCAACAGGCATTATTCAGGAAGATTACCTGAGAGAGCTGCTGATAACCATGTGGGATCGGTTTACGGATGAGGAAGTGGATGAGCTGTACAGAGAAGCGCCTATTAACAAAAAGGGGAATTTCAATTACATCGAGTTCACATGCATCCTGAAACATGGAGCAAAAGACAAAGACGACTGAAAAGAACTTTAGCTAAAACCTTCCAACTACATTGTCTTACTCTGTTTTATTTCTCAGACACTTCCCCCATCCTCATAGAACCTGTTGCATGCAACTTAGTTTCACAGCTTTGCCTCTTTTTTTTTTTGATGTATTTATTCCAGACCTTTCTGTCACACAGCACTTGTATAATCAGACTGAAAATGGGGATGAGGGTGTAAATTGTATTGAAAAAGAGATCATGGCCGGGCGCAGTGGCTCACGCCTGTAATCCCAGCAACTTGGGAGGCCGAGGCGGGTGGATAACCTGAGGTCAGGCGTTCAAGACCACGCTGACCAACATGGTGAAACCCCGTCTCTACTAAAAATACAAAAAGTTAGTTGGGCGTGGTGGCGGGCACCTGTAATCCCAGCTACTCAGGAGGCTGAGGCAGGAGAATCGCTTGAACCCAGGAGGCAGAAGTTGCAGTGAACCAAGATCACACCGTTGCACCCCAGCCTGGGCAACAAGAGCAAAATTCAGTCAAAAAAAAAAAAAAGAAAGAAAGAAAAGAAAAGAAGGCCAGGCACGGTGGCTCACGCCTGTAATCCCAGCACTTTGGGAGGCTGAGGCGGGTGGATCACGAGGTCAGGAGATCGAGACCATCCTGGCTAACACGGTGAAACCCCGTCTCTACTAAAAATACAAAAACATTAGTCAGGCATGGTGGTGGGCTCCTGTTGTCCCAGCTACTCGGGAGGCTGAGGCAGGAGAATGGCATGAAGCCAGGAGGCAGAGCTTGCAGTGAGCCGAGATTGAGCCACTGCACTCCGGCCTGGGCGACAGAGTGAGACTCCGTCTCAAAAAAAAAAAAAAGAAAAGAAGAAAAAGAAAAAGAGATAGCAAATAAAAATCAACAAATGTGAAAAAAAAAAAGTAAAAACAAACATGGAGGAAAGAGACAGAAGAGGAAAACTTCATATAAACTGTAATAAATTTCCACACTGATGAGAGAAAATGAGTATCAGAAGAAGAAGAAGAGTTGTAAGATCAACAGGATATGAGAAATGAAAACTTGAGCCAGGTGCAGTGGCTCACACCTGTAATCCCAGCACTTTGGGAGGCTGAGGCAGCCAGATCACTTGAGGTCAGGAGTTCAAGACCAGCCTGGCCAACATGGTGAAACCCTGTCTCTACTAAAAACACGAAAATTAGTCGGGTGTGGTCATGGGTGCCTGTAATCCCAGCTATGCAGGAGGCTGAGGCAGGAGAATCGCTTGAGCCTGGGAGGCGGTGGTTGCAGTGAGCCGAGATCGCACCACTGCACTCTAGCCTGGGTGACAGAGTGAGACTCCATCTCAAAAAAAAAAAAGAAGAAAAAAGAAAAAAAAACTTGAACCCAATTATAAGATCTAGATTTTGGCCAGGTGCGGTAGCTCATGCCTGTAATCTCAACACTTAAGAGGCTGAGGTAGGAGGATTGCTTGAGCCCAGACATTTGAGACCAACCTGGGTAACATAGGGAGACTTGTCTCTACAAATAATTTAAAAATTAACAGGCAGGGCGCAGTGGCTCATGCCTGTAATCCCAGCACTTTGGGAGGCCAGGGCAGGCAGATCATGTGAGGTCAGGAGTTCGAGACCAGCATGACCAAAATGGTGAAACCCCATCTCTACTAAAAATACAAAAAAAAATTAGCGGGGCATGGTGGCTCGCACCTGTAATCCCAGCTACTTGGGAGGCTGAGACAGGGGAATTATTTGAACCCAGCAGGTGGAAGTTGCAGTGAGCCAAGATCGCACCATTGCATTCCAGCCTGTGTGACAGAAAGACTCTGTCTCAAGAGGAAAAAAAAAAACATTAGCCAGGGCCGGTCGCGGTGGTTCATGCCTGTATTCCCAGCACTTTGGGATCCCAAGGTGGGCAGATCACTTGAGGTTAGGAATTCGAGACCAGCCTGACCAACATGATGAAACCCCGTCCCTACTAAAAATACAAAAAAATTAGCTGGGTGTGGTGGTGCATGCCTGTAATCCCAGTTACTCGTGAGGCTAAGGCAGGAGAATTGCTTGAACTTCGGAGATTTTGCAGTGAGCCAAGATTGGGCCACTTGCACTCCAGCCTGGGTGACAAAGCAAGACTTCCTCTCAAAAAAAAGAAATCCATGGCCGGGCGCAGTGGCTCACGCCTGTAATCCCAGCACTTTGGGAGGCCGAGATGGGTGGATCACGAGGTCAGGAGATCTAGACCATCCCGGCTAACATGGTGAAACCCCATTTCCACTAAAAATACAAAAAATTAGCCAGGCATGGTGGCGGGCACCTCTAGTCCCAGCTACTTGGGAGGCTGAGGCAAGAGAATGGTGTGAATCCGGGAGGCGGAGCTTGCAGTGAGCCGAGATTGTGCCACTGCACTCCAGCCTGGACAACAGGGAGAGACTCTGTCAAAAAAAAAAAAGAAATCTCAAAAAAGAAAGAAAAATGGCCAGGCACAGTGGCTCATGCCTGTAATCCCAGCAGTTTGGGAGGCTGAGGTGGGCACATCAACTTAGGTCAGGAGTTCGAGACTAGCATGATCAACATGGTGAACCCTGTCTCTACTAAAAATACAAAATTAGCCTGATGTAGTGGCACATGCCTCTAGTCCCAGCTACTCAGGAGGCTGAGACAGGAGAATCACTTGACAGGAGGCAGAGGTTCTGGTGAGCTGAGATCACACCATTGCACTCCAACCTGGGCAACAAGAGTGAAACCCCAGTTTAAAAAAAAAAGGAAAAAAAAAGAAAAAAAAAAAACCACGGTAGCGTGCACCTGTGTTTCCAGCTATTCAGGAGGCTGAGGCAGGAGGATCATCTGACCTGGAGGTCAAGGCTGCAGTGAGCCATGATCACACCACTGCACTCCAGCTTGGGCAACATAGTGAGACTCTGTCACGAAGCCTGCAGTGCAGTGACGAGATCTTGGCTCACTGCAATCTCTGCATCTCAGGTTCAAATGATTCTCTGCCTCAGCCTCCCAAGTAGCTGGGATTTACTGGCATTTGCCACCATGCCTGGCTAGTTTTTGAATTTTTTTAGTAGAGACAGTGTTTTGCCATGTTGGCCAGGCTGGTCTGTACCTAATTTTGTATTTATACTTTTGGTTTTTTTTTTTTTTTTGAGACGGAGTCTCGTTCTGTTGCCCTGGCTGGAGTGCAGTGGCGTGATCTCAGCTCACTGCAACCTCCGCCTCCTGGGTTCAAGCGATTCTCCTGCCTCAGCCTCCTGAGTAACTGGGATTATAGGCACTCACCACCGTGCCTGGCTAATTTTTATATTTTTTTTTAGTAAAGATGGGGTTTGGCCATGTTGGCCAAGCTGGTCTCAAACTCCTGACTTCAGGTGATCTGCCCACCTCGGCCTCCCAAAGTGCTGGGATACTTTTGGTATTCTTTCTCTTAAAACAGGTATCCAAAATTGTACACGTGTCAGCCTCCCACCAACCTACATCTGCTGCACTTGCAGAGATAGAGTCTATATATATAAGCATGTATTAATATATATAAGTGTATATGTATAAATGTATACATACATATAAATACATGATCACTACTCTTTTCCTTGCTTTTCCTCACTTAATACCTTGAAATCAAACAGAGAGGTGCTTCCTTCTTTTTTTTTTTCGGAGTCGGAGTCTTGTTCTGTTGCCCAGGCTGGAGTGCAGTGGCCCAATCTCGGCTCACTGCAACCTTCACCTCACAAGTTTAAGTTTTTCTTCTGCCTCAGCCTCCCAAGTAACTTGGACTACAGGCGCACACCACCATGCCTGGCTAATTTTTGTATTTTTAGTAGAGATGGGGTTTCACCATATTGGCCAGGCTGGTCTCGAACTCCTGACCTCATGATCCTTCTGACTTGGCCTCCCAAAGTGCTGAGATTACAGGCTTGAGCCACCACGCCCGGCCTCTTTTTTTTTTTTTTTTTTTAAATTTAATTTAATGGAGATGAGTTCTCTCAATATGTTGCCCAGAGTAGTCTCAAATTCTTGGGCTCAAGTGATCCACCTACCTTGGCCTCCCAAAGTGCTGGGATTATAGGAGTGAGCCACCGCACCCGACCCCTTGTTTGTTATAGTGCTCCCTTGACTCTCAAAAATGTCCAGTGTAGGCCAGGCGTGGTGGTTCACACCTATAATCCCAGCACTTTGGGAGGCCAAGGCAGGTGGATCACTTGAGGTCAGGAGTTTAAGACTTGCCGGGCTAACATGGTAAAACCCTGTCTACAAAAAATACAAAAATTAGCTGTGCGTGGTGGTGCGCACCTGTAATCCCAGCTACTCAGGAGGCTGACTGAGGCAGGAAGACTGCTTGAACCTGGGAGGCAGAGGCGGAGGTTGTAGTGAGCTGAGATTGTGCCACCGCACTCTAGAGCAAGACTCCATCTCAAAAAAAAAAATGTCTAGTGTAAATGTATGTTCTTTGAAGTAGAATTGCTAGGTCAAAGAATACGTAAATACTTGATTTGGGTAGATATTTTTAAAATGCTTTCTGTAGAAGCCGCACCAGTGTACCTTCCTTCCTGTCGGCAATGTGTGACAGTACCAGTTTCCTTTCCCCACCCCATCAGCTGAGTGTGTTATCAAACTTTTTTTTTTTTTTTTTTTTGAGACAGAGTCTCTCTCCATCGCTCAGCCTGGAGTGCAGTGGCATGATCTCGGCTCAATGCAACCTCCACCTCCTAGGTTCAAGCCATTCTCATGCCTCAGCCAATAGCTGTGATTACAGGTGCATGCCACCACCGGCTGATTTCTGTATTTTTAGTAGAGACAGGGTTTTGCCATGTTTTTTTGTTTGTTTTGAGACAGGATCTTTCTCTGTTGCCCAGGCTAGAGTGCAGTGGCATGAACATGGATGGTTCACTGCAGCCTCGACCTCCTGGGTTCAAGTGATCCTTTTGTCTCAGCCTCCCAAGTAGCTGGGATTCCAGGTGGGAGCCACCATGCCCTCCTAAACTCTACCTTTTGGTGAGAGTGACTAGCCACCAAGGCACACTGTAAAGGCCTCAGATAACAGGAAGTGGTAGAGAACTGCAGCCAATCTAACACCTAGACAAATTCAAGGTGGGACCTATCAGGTACTATGCTTGTTACTTGGGTGATTAAATTACCTGTACACCAAAGCCCCATGACACACACTTTACCTATATAAGGAACCTACACATGTACCCCTGAACCTAAAGTAAAAGTTAAAAAATAAAATAATATAATTCAAAGTTTGGGCTACAGAGTATAAGTGAGAGATATTCAGCTACTGGGAGTTTATAAAAGACACACAAACATCGCACAAGAGCAAAAGTCAATTTGAACATCCACCACAGCCAGAGGAAACCAAAACCACTTCCAGTGTATGGCCGTCAGGTAAAGCATTTTGTCCCCCTCACCTCCTCTGCTTCTGGCTGTGAGGGAGAGGGTGGAGAGTCAGACACAGGAAGGCAAGAAAGAAA
Source organism: Homo sapiens (assembly GCF_000001405.40). Lineage (NCBI taxonomy): Eukaryota > Metazoa > Chordata > Mammalia > Primates > Hominidae > Homo > Homo sapiens. The sequence goes on from NT_113891.3 coordinate 4,756,422, forward strand.
TTCTTGAGGAAGCCAGCCACTCTGCCAGTTTCACACTGGCAGCTTCCCATGTCAAACCACTCAGTCGGAGCTGGCCGAGAGAAAAAACGTAATTCAGAATGATGCTTGGAGGATTTTTTTTTTTGTTCCAAGGATTGAGCAGGTATGCTCTGTGGCCTGCCTGAGTTATCTTTCATGGGCAATGGAAGAACTAGCCCCACACAACATATTTAAAGGGGTGGGGACACTTGAGTGTGGGGGGTGCACAGCAACATATTCAAGCTTATGTACATGGCATCTGAGGTCGGGGCATGGAAGAATACTGAGGCACTGTGTGTATGTTATTTGTGCGTGAGAATGAAATTCCTTGACCCTGAAAACAGGACAGGGAGTGGAGTGTGTGGTGTGATAAGGAACGCTGAAAACAGCCTCCTGAGAATGCGGTTTGAGTGCTTTTACGAGGCCGCAGGTGTCTCACGACCCGACCTCAAAAAGCCATCTAGTGGATGTTTGTGGTTTAACAAGCACTTTCAATAAATACTTGGCAGACGGATGCTGGGGCGGGTTCTCTTAGAAGAAATGCCCCCCCCATTCCCCCGGCCCCACTCAGCTGGAATTGTCTAAGAACTCATTCTTGGCGTTCACTGCAAGCTATAAACTCTGCAAGTGGTGCACCCGACGTGATCGCCTTGAAGTTATGCGTGAAAGGAGGAGAGCTCATCAATTTTCAGAAAATCCCGGTAAGGGACAGTCCTGACTACCATCAGGTGGACAGGACCCACGCGAAAAATACCAGGGGTTCGGTTATCATGGGTCAGGAAATGAACAAAGAATAATTTTTTTTTTTTTTTGAGATGGAGTCTCACTCTGTCGCCCAGGCTGGAGTGCAGTAGCGTGATCCCGGCTCACTGCAACCTCCACCTCCCTGGTTCAAGCTATTCTCCTGCCTCAGCCTCCTGAATAGCTGGGATTACAGGTGCACGTCACCCCACAACAGGACTTAATTAACCTTGCCTTCAAGGTGTACAATAATAGAGAAAAGTTACAATTACTTGCCTCTGCTGTGAGACAAAACCCAGCTGCACCTCCAGCACACGAGAACTTCAAAATGCCTAAGCCGCACATGCCTAAACCGCAGTGGTCAAGCATTCCTACAGGACCTTCTTCATCAGGATCTTGCTTCAAGTGCCAGAAATCTGGCCACTGGGCCAAGAAATGCCCACAGCCCGGGATTCCTCCTAAGCCGTGTCCCATCTGTGCAGGACCCCACTGAAAATCAGACTGTCCCACTCGCCTCGCAGTCACTCCCAGAGCTCTGGGATCTCTGGCCCAAGACTCTCTGACTGACTCCTTCCCAGATCTTCTCAGCTTAGCGGCTGAAGACTGATGCTGTCCGATCACCTTCGAAGCCTCCCGGGCCATCACGGACACTTTGGGTAACTCTTACAGTGGAGGGTAAGTCACCCTTCTTAATCAATATGGAGGCTACCAACTCCACATTACCTTCTTTTCAAAGGCCTATTTCCTTTGCCTCCATAACTGTTGTGGGTATTCATGGCCAGGCTTCTAAACCTCTTAAAACTCCCCAACTCTGGTGCCAACTTGGACAATATTCTTTTATGCACTCCTTTTTAGTTATCCCCACCTGCCCAGCTCCCTTATTAGGTCGAGACATTTTAACTAAATTATCTGCTTCCCTGACTAATCCTAGGCTACAGCCACATTTCGTTGCTGCCCTTTTCCCCAGTTCAAAGCCTCCTTCACGTCCTTCTCTTTTATCTCCTCACCTTAATCCACAGGTATGGGACACCTCTACTCCCTCCCTGGTGAACTATCCACGCCCATTACTATCCCATTAAAACCTAATCACCCTTACCCCGCTCAATGCCAGTATCCCATCCCACAGCATGCTTTAAAAGGATTAAATCCTGTTATCACTCACCTGTTACAGCATGGCCTTTTAAAGCCTATAAACTCTCCTTACAATTCCCCCATTTTACCTGTCCAAAAACCAGATAAGCCTTACAGGTTAGTTCAGGATCTGCGCCATATCGACCAAATTGTTTTGCCTATCCACCCTGTGGTGCCAAACCCATATACTCTCCTATCCTCAATACCTCCCTCCACAACCCATTATTCTGTTCTAGATAAACCTAGCTGACCCCATAGATCCTAAATCCTTTCTCCTCTCCCCTTTCCATTCCTTAAAACACAGCTCCCACACTAGCTCTCCATGACTCATCCCGACCCTTTTCATTACACACAGCCGAAGTGCAGGGCTGTACAGTCAGAATTCTTACACAAGGACCAGGACCGCACCCTGTAGCCTTTTTGTCCAAACAACTTGACTTACTGTTTTAGGCTGGCCATCATGTCTCCGTGCAGTGGCTGCCACTGCCCTAATACTTTTACAGGCCCTCAAAATCACAAACTATGCTCAACTCACTCTCTACGGTTCTCATAAATCTATTTTCTTCCTCACATCTAACACGTATACTTTCTGCTCCCCGGCTCCTTCAGCTGTACTCATTCTTTGTTGAGTCTCCCACAGTTACCATTGTTCCTGGCCAGGACTTCAATCCAGCCTCCCACATTATTCCTGATACCACACCTGACCCCCATGACTGTATCTCTCTGATCCACCTGACATTCACCCCATTTCCCCGTATTTCCTTCTTTCCTGTTCCTCACCCTGATCACACTTGGTTTATTGATGGTAGTTCTACCAGGCCTAATTGCCACACACCAGCAAAGGCAGGCTATGCTATAGTATCTTCCACATCTATCATTGAGGCTACTGCTCTGCCCCTCTCCACTACCTCTCGGCAAGCTGAACTCATTGCCTTAACTCGAGCCCTCACTTTTGCAAAGGGACTACATGTCAATATTTATACAACTCTAAATATGCCTTCCATATCCTGCACCACCATATTGTTATATGGGCAAAAAGAGGTTTCCTCACTACGCAAGGGTCCTCTGTCATTAATGCCTCTTTAATAAAAACTCTTCTCAAGGCCGCTTTACTTCCAAAGGAAGCTGGAGTCATTTACTCCAAGGGCCATCAAAAGGCGTCAGATCCCATCGCTCAGGGCAATGCTTTTGCTGATAAGGTAGCTAAAGAAGCAGCTAGCATTCCAAATTCTGTCCCTCACGGCCAATTTTTCTCATTCTCATGGGTCACTCCCACCTACTCTCCTGCTGAAACTTCTACCTATCAGTCTCTTCCCACACAAGGCAAATGGTTCTTGGACCAAGGAAAATATCTCCTAACAGCCTCACAGGCCCATTCTATTCTGCTGTCATTTCATAACCTCTTCCATGTAAGTTACAAGCTGCTAGCCCACCTCTTAGAACCTCTCATTTCCTTTCCATCGTGGAAATCTATCCTCAAGGAAATCACTTCTTAGTGTTCCATCTGCTATTCTACTACTCCTCAGGGAGTGTTCAGGCTCCCTCCCCTCCCTACACATCAAGCTCAGGGATTTGCCCCTGCCCAGGACTGGCAAATTGACTTTACTCACATGCCCCAAGTCAGGAAACTAAAATACCTCTTGGTCTGGGTAGACACTTTCACTGGATGGGTAGAGGCCTTTCCAACAGGGTCTGAGAAGGCCACTGCGGTCATTTCTTCCCTTCTGTCAGACATAATTCCTCGCTTTGGCCTTCCCACCTCTATACAGTCCAATAACAGACTGGCCTTTATTAGTCAAATCACCCAAGCAGTTTCTCAGGCTCTTGGTATTCAGTGGAACCTTCATACCCCTTACCATCCTCAATCTTCAGAAAAAGTAAAACAGACTAATAGTCTTTTAAAGACACACCTCACCAAGCTCAGCCTCCAACTTAAAAAGACTGGACAGTACTTTTACCACTTGCCCTTCTCAGAATTCGGGCCTGTCCTCGGAATGCTGCAGGATACAGCCCATTTGAGCTCCTGTATGGATGCTCCTTTTTATTAGGCCCCAGTCTTATTCCAGACACCAGCCCAACTCGGACTGCACCCCAAAAACTTGTCATCCCTTCTATCTTCTGTCTAGTCATACTCCTATTCACCATTCTCAACTACTCATAAATGCCCTGCTCTTGTTTACACTGCCGGTTTACACTGTTTCTCCAAGCCGTCACAGCTGGTATCTCCTGGTGCTATCCCCAGACCGCCACTCTTAACTCCCTCTTAAAGTAAATAAATAATATTTGCTGGCAGGGCACACTCCAATACTTTCACCCTGATGAAGTCCTATTCTTTACTTTTATACTCACTCCTATTCTTGTTCCCATTTTTATGCCACCCTCTACCTCTCCCCAGCTAGCTCCACCACACTATCAATCTCATTCACTCTCTCCTAGCCGTTTCTAATCCCTCATCGAACCATTGCTGAATTTGCATTTCCCTTTCTTCCTGCGCCTACACAGCTGTCCCCGCCTTACATACAGACTGGGCAACCTCTCCTATCTCCCTACACCTCCAAACTTCCTTTAACAGCCCTCACCTTTACCTTCCTAAAGAACTTCTTTACTTTCTAGACAGGTCCAGCAAGACTTCCCCAGACATTTCACTTCAGCAAGCTGCCGCCCTCCTCCACACTTACTTAAAAAACCTTTCTCCTTATATCAACTCTACTCCCCCCATATTTGGACCCCTCACAACACAAACTACTATTCCTGTGGCCGTTCCTTTATGTATCTCTCGGCAAAGACCCACTGGAATTCCCCTAGGTAATCTTTCACCTTCTCGATGTTCCTTTACTCTTCATCTCCGAAGCCCAACTACACACATCACTGAAACAATTGGAGCCTCCCAGCTCTGTATTACAGATAAGCCCTCTATCAATACTGGCAAACTTAAACACATTAGCAGTTATTATTGCTTAGGAAGACACTTACCCTGTATTTCACTCCATCCTTGGCTACCTTCCCCTTGCTTGTCAGACTCTCCTCCCAGGCCCTCTTCTTGTTTGCTTATACTCAGCCCCGTAAATAACAGTGAAAGGTTGCTCGTAGACACTCAAAGTTTTCTCATACACCATGAAAATCAAACCTCCCCCTCTACGTAGTTACCCCATCAGTCCCCATTACAACCTCTGATGGCTGCCGCCTTAGCTGGATCCCTAGGAGTCTGGGTACAAGACACCTCTTTCAGCACTCCTTCTCATCTTTTTACTTTGCATTTCCGGTTTTGCTCCGCACAAGGTCTCTTCTTCCTCTGTGGATCCTCTACCTACATGTGTCTACCTGCTAATTGGACAGGCACATGCACACTAGTTTTCCTTACTCCCAAAATCAATTTGCAAATGGGACTGAACATCTTCCTGTTCCCCTCATGACACCGACACAACAAAAAAGAGTTATTCCGCTAATTCCCTTGCTTGTCGGTTTAGGACTTTCTGCCTCCACTATTGCTCTCGGTACTGGAATAGTAGGCATTTCAACCTCTGTCACGACCTTCCATAGCCTCTCTAATGACTTCTCTGCTAGCATCACACACATATCACAAACTTTATCAGTCCTTCAGGCCCAAGTTGACTCTTTAGCTGCAGTTGTCCTCCAAAACCACCGAGGCCTTGACTTACTCACTGCTGAAAAAGGAGGACTCTGTATATTTTTTAATGAAGAGTGTTGTTTTTACCTAAATCAATCTGGCCTGGTGTATGACAACATAAAAGAACTCAAGGATAGAGGCCAAAAACTCGCCAACCAAGCAAGTAATTACTCTGAACCCCCTTGGGCACTCTCTAATTGGATGTCCTGGGTGCTCCCAATTCTTAGTCCTTTAATACCTGTTTTTCTCCTTCCCTTATTCGGACCTTGTATCTTCCGTTTAGTCTCTCAATTCATCCAAAACTGTATCCAGGCCATCGCCAATCATTGTATATGACAAATGCTCCTTCTGGGATTACAGGCGTGAGACACCGTGCCCAGCCATTTTTTTTTTCCTAAAGATGATAACCATTCTTTTCCAGCTGTCTTTTCTTTTTTTTTTTTTTTTTGAGACAGAGTCTCACTCTGTCACCCAGGCTGGAGTGCAGTGGCGCGATCTCAGCTCATTGCAACCTCCACCTCCTGGGGTTCAAGCAATTCTCCCACCTCAGCCTCCTGAGTAGCTAGGATTACAGGCACCCGCCATCATGTCCGGCTAATTTTTGTTTTGTTTTTTTTTTGGAGAGATGGGGTTTCACCATGTCAGCTAGGCTGGTCTTGAACTCCTGACCTTAGGTGATCCGCCCGCCTCAGCCTCCCAAAGTGCTGGGATTATAGGCGTCAGCCACCACACCGGGCGACAAATGCTCCTTCTAACAACCCCACAATATCACCCCTTACCACAAAATCTTCCTTCAGCTTAATATCTCCCACTCTAGGCTCCCACACCGCCCCTAATCCCGCTCGAAGAAGCCCTGAGAAACATCACCCATTATCTCTCCATACCACCTCCAAAAATTTTCGCAGCCCCAACACTTCACCACTATTTTGTTTATTAATATAAGGAGATAGGAATGTCAGGCCTCTGAGCCCAAGTTAAGCCATCATATCCCCTGTGACCTGCAGGTATACATCCAGATGGCCTGAAGCAATTAAAGATCCACAAAAGAAGTGAAAATAGCCTCAACTGATGACATTCCACCATTGTGATTTGTTCCTGTCCCACCCTAACTGATAAATATATTCTCCCCCACCCTTACGAAGGTACTTTGTAATATTCTCCCCTGCCCTTAAGAATGTAGTTTGTATGCCTATCCCAAACCTATAAGAACTAATGATAATCCCACCACCCTTTGCTGACTCTCTTTTCGGACTCAGCCCGCCTGCACCCAGGTGAAATAAACAGCTTTATTGCTCACACAAAGCCTGTTTGGTGGTCTCTTCACACAGACGCCGGTGACACTATTTTCCTAAGCCGTCTGGCTAGTAGCCCCTAATTGTTCAGCTATTCCTCTAACAGCATCTCTAGTGTAGTTAATAAATCGCTATTGGTTGTAATAGACGTAGTTTACCCAATCTACACTTTTATTAATTGTTACCCACCAAAATGTTGACTTAAATCCTGCAGCAATTTGATTTTGGGCTTTAAATTGATCTGGTATTCCCCATGGGACTCTTAATTGTGTCTAAATAGACGTGAGAGTCGAAAGACCCATAAAGGGCTTCTCTTGCTTTATGATACTTATTTTTCCTTCCTCTCGTTGATGAAATAACAGGGTGAAAGGGATAGCCAATTGGAATAAAGCACAAGTGCCATTCCAGTTATTTGGCAGTGTCCAGTAAAGATCCACCACAATACCACCACACATCCACTCGGGGATGAACAAGGGCTGACTGATTGATAAGCTCTTGAAAATTCTTAAGCTCACTGCATCCTTCAGGTCTCCAAGGAATGCTAAGTTTCCTCCCTATTGGGAGAGACACGAAGTGAACTTAGTGTTGGGAGACAGAAGCTGGATGGCCCTCGGGGGCTGACGCGCAGGGTGCCGGACTTCAGGATATAGCAGAGAGAGAGCTTGGCGTGAGTTATTACTCCAGGCTGTAGAATCCTGGAAAAGAGCTACCATGCAGCCCACACCTGGTCGACTGGAGGACCACCTTAGTGGAAAGGGGACAATCTGGGCCTCTGGCCTGCCATGTGCACAAGCATAACAATTGCTTTTGTTTAATGTGGACGGAATATTTGATCCATTCCAACCAGGCATTTGCATCTTGGTATCCTGTGTTAATTGCCAAAATGTTTTTTAAGTCTTTAACTTCTATGATCCTCTAGTAAAATGAATATATGGTTTTAGGAAATTACAAAAACTGATTGGGGCAGTCCATACTTGCTCTTTAGTGATCCACAGAACGTTGGACCGACTACGGCATAAAAGCTCTACATTGGGGGTCAAGAATCCTGGTTGACATTGGGATCTTTATCGAAATCCCCCCGGATTCAGTGGTCCTAATTTACTAATGCCCAGTGTGAGGAGAGTCAGGAGGGACAGAGGTACTTTTCAGAAGTAGAGAGCTGTCTTTGACTTGGCAAGTTCCTACGGGATATAACAAGGCAAGCACTAAATGCAATAGTTTGAGGCGAAATTGACTTGGTTATGTTAATAACTAGATGGTCAGCAATAGAGCGAGGAAAGGAGAAAGAGTAATAGAATAGATGAAAGAGTTAAATTTTTCTTAGCTTTAATTTGGTAGGGTTTCCCCCTGGGACTATGGCCCACAACTCTGGAGGGGGTGGTGCTTTCTTGACTCGGGTGTGATGAATCCATCCCTTTTTCGCTGTACAAACTGCAGTCTCGGTGGTTGGCAGCACAAGGTAGGGTCCTTCCCAGGCTGGCTCGAGTTTTCCTTCTTTCCACCCTCTGATGACAACATGATCTTCAGGCTGGTGCTGGTTTACCAGAAATTTTAGGGGTGGTACCTGTGCTAAAATATTTTTAGTTTTGAGGGAGAGGAAAGTGGAAGATAAACCAAGCATATAATTTCTAAGAAATCGACCTTTTGTTTTAAATGTGGGGACATCAGCAGTGGACTTTATAGTCCTTGGTGCCTTCTTACTGAGAAATTTCCTTTAGCACTTATTTTTATTAGTTTTTTTAGACCAAAGAACGCCAAACACCATTTTATATTTGACAGTGCTTCCTGTATGATTTTTATACCAGATAAGCTAAATTTCACCTTTATATTAGTGTGTTATTAATTTTTTTTTTTGAAACGGAGTCTCACTCTGTTGCCCAGGCTGGAGTGCAGTGGCGCGATCTTGGCTCACTGCAACCTCTGCCTCCCGGGTTCAAGCAGTTCTCCTGCCTCAGCCTCCCAAGTAGCTGGGACTACAGGCACACGCTGCCACGCCCGGCTAATTTTTTTGTATTTTAGTAGAGACGGGGTTTCACCTTGTTGCCCAGGCTGGTCGCGAACTCCTGAGCTCAGGCAATCTGCCCGCCTTGGCCTCCCAAAGTGCTGGGATTACAAGCGTGAGCCACCGCGCCCAGCCTATTAATGTTAAACTTAGTTTTAATAACACTTTGTAGACATATTTATCCAATTTTTAATGTCTGATCATAAGGTAAGTTTTTTTTTTTTTTTTTTTTTTTTTTTTTTTTTTGAGATGGAGTCTTGCTCTGTCGCCCAGGCTGAAATGCAGTGGCACGATCTCGGCTCACTGCAAGCTCCACCTCTCGGGTTCACGCCATTCTCCTGCCTCAGCCTCCCAAGTAGCTGGGACTACAGGCGCCCATCACCACGCCTGGCTAATTTTTTGTATTTTTAGTAGAGACAGGGTTTTACTTGTTAGCCAGGGTGGTCTCTATCTCCTGACCTCATGATCCACCCACCTCGGCCTCCCATAGTGCTGGGATTATAGGCGTGAGCCACCGTGCCCGGCCCATAAGGTAAGATTTTTATAGACTGTTTTTTTTTTTTCTTTTTGAGAAGGAGTTTCACTCTTGTTGCCCAGGCTGGAGTGCAATGGTGCAATCTTGGCTCACTGCAATCTCTGCCTCCCGGGTTCAAGGAATTCTCCTGTCTCAGCCTCCCAAGTAGCTGGGATTACAGGCATGCACCACCACACCCAGCTAATTTTGGATTTTTAGCAGAGATGGGGGTTTCTCCATGTTGGTCAGGCTGGTCTCGAACTCCCGACCTCAGGTGATCTGCCTGCCTCGGCCTCCCAAAGTGCTGGGATTACAGGCATGAGCCACTGAGCCTGGCCTGTTTTTAACTTTTTATAATTTTTGTTAAAGAGCGGGTTAGTGCTTTAAGAAAAACCCGTTGTGTTTTTATTTTAATGCTCAGTTCACAGAAAAACTGGGTGATACCCTTTTAACCTTAGCCAATATGTTTACACACATAATTTCCATTACAATTAACATTTTAAAACTTGCTTAAACCTTCAAAACAAATTTTTTTTTTTCTTTTTTGAGATGGAGTCCCACTCTGTCACCCAGGCTGGAGTGCAATGGTGCGATCTTGGCTCACTGCAACCTCCGCCTCCCACGTTCAAGTGATTCTCCTGCCTCAGCCTCCTGAGTGAGTAGCTGGGATTACAGGTGCCCACCACAATGCCCAGCTAATTTTCGTATTTTTAGTTGAGACGGGGTTTCACCAGGTTGGCCAGGCTGGTCTCAAACTCCTGATCTCAGGTGATCCACCCACCTCGGCCTCCCAAAGTGCTAGGTAGGATTACAGGTGTGAGCCACCATGCCTGGCCACAAAATTTTTTTTTAACCTTTTAATGTAGGTAAAAATCCACATTCTTATGCCTCCTTATAATCCTTTTACTAAAAGTATATTTTACTTTCCTTATACATCTTGCACATAAATTGTTTCTTCAATAGTTTTACATTCAGGGTAACACCCCTGGTGGCCTTTGGAATGTGTCCAGACTTGCTGGCTTCTTGCTTCTAGCACTCCCATTATCTCAAGTAGCCATACATTTCAAAGAAAATGCTAAACCATCACATCTGTAGTTCATTAGCTTGATACATCGCTTCCTTTCAACCCCCACATCCTCACCCCCTGTTTGTTTGATCACCAATAAATAGTGTGGGCTTCCAGAGCTCCGGGCCTTTGCAACCTCCATACTAGTGTTGGCCCCCTGGTCCCACTTTCTCTCTGAACTTGTGTTTTCTCATTCCTTTGACTCTGCTGGACTTCGTAGCCCCCACGGCCTGGTGTTGGGTCTGATCACCCCAAAAGGTTGATGGCCTTTTTTTTTTTTCCTGCATTGCTGAGAGCTTGGGTTATTCCTTGCACTGGGTAGGTCTTGATTTTTCACGCCTGAGGCCGCCACAATAGGGCGGGGTTCACCTCCTCAAGAGAGAGAACCAGAGACCACCCCCAGAGGGGAATGTAATCCCAGACAAGCCCCCAAATTGTTATATATAAAGTTTCGGTGCCGCAAAAGGAATATCACTCAAATATAAAATTTTCCTTTTAATTCTCAGCAAGGCTAGGTACTTCTATATAGAAGGGTGCACCCTTACAGATGGAACAATGGTGAGCGCACACTTGGACAAGGGAGGGGAAGGGGTTCTTATCCCTAATGCACGTGGCCCCTGCTGCTGTTTCGTTCCCCTATTGGCTAGGGTTAGACAGCACAGGCTAAACTAATTCTGACTGGCTAATTTAAAGAGAATGACGGGATGAGTGCTTTGGCGGGAGTCAGGGCAGAGCAGGTGGCAGGTGATCAAAATGAGTTAGGGTGGAGCAGGAGATCAGAATGAGTCAGGGTGGAGTAGGTAATCAAAAAAGATTGCTTTACGAGGAAGTTAAGTTTAAAAGTAGAAGGTAAAGAATTGAACATAATGACAATTATTTGAAAAGAAATTTAGAACTCATATCTAATACCCTGGAATATAAGAGGAAGTTGCATGCTGCCTCCTCGGTTTTATCCCAGGTAGCTCTAGCTTTCTTGCTGCCCACAGAGGCCTGGAGCAGGAGAGATGCTAAGATGCCATGGAGTGCCCATTTGGCCACTGGCAGTCTGGGCAGGTTGCCCCTTTCTGGGTTTGTGGTGACGGAGGGGAGGCCAAAAGGCGCAGACTGAGTCCCCAGGTGGCTGCAGGCAGCTCCAGCCCAGTCCTGAGGATCCTCCTCACCATGGTCACCTGCCTTAGTAACTGTGCCCAGGAAGTGGCCTGCTGCTTGCTGTGCTGCTGCTTTTCCTACTTCTGCCCTTCCCTGCCACCCCTCACATGTCTCAGTTGACAAGCAATTCCTTGTCTCCCCTGGCCCCCTAGGGAAAGGGCTAAGAAACAGTCCATGTACACCCCGACCTTACTAGCCTAAGGTGGGCAAAGGAGTGTGGAGCAGCCTAGAGTACAGAGCCCTGGGGGAGGAGCCCGCTAATAAGGGACTCTCTCCTATAGCCATATTTAAATGCTAGCTAGGCTGAGGTGGACAAGCTCTGCCAGCTGCTGTCATCTTCAGAAGATAGACGCAGCAGTAAGGAATATTTGTTTTGCTTTTTTATAAAATGTTTAAAAGCACTGTGGCTAAGAAACTTCAGGCCGGGCGCGGTGGCTCATGCCTGTAATCCCAGCACTTTGGGAAGCCGAGGTGGGCGGATCACGAGGTCAGGAGATCGAGACCATCCTGGCTAACACGGTGAAACCCCGTCTCTAAATTAGCCCGCTGTGGTGGCGGGCGCCTGTAGTCCCAGCTACTCGGGAGGCTGAGGCAGGAGAATGCTGGGAGTGGTGGCATGCGCCTGTAGTTCCAGCTACTCTGGAGGTCAAGATGGGAGTCCAGGGCGGTTGAGGCTGCAGTGAGCCAAGATCGTGCCACTACAACCCAGCCTGGGCAACGGAGCGAGACCTTGTCTCAAAAAATTAAAATAAAATAAAAACTCCCACAAGGAAGAAAGTAGTCATCTTTATAGAGTCCTCTCCATGTAGTGTTAGCACAATCGCTCAAGAGGCACCCAATGTAGAGAAACGACGGTGAGGTTAGCAGTACCAAGGAGCAGGGTTTGAATCCCGGCTCTTGCTCTTTTTTTTTTTTTTTTTTTTTTTTTTTTAGTATTTATTGATCATTCTTGGGTGTTTCTCAGAGAGGGGGATGTGGCAGGGTCATAGGATAGTAGTAGAGAGAAGGTCAGCAGATAAACACGTGAACAAAGGTCTCTGGTTTTCCTAGGCAGAAGTCCCTGCGGCCCTCGGCAGTGTTTGTGTCCCTGGGTATTTGAGATTAGGGAGTGGTGATGACTCTTAAGCATGCTGCCTTCAAGCATCTGTTTAACAAAGCACATCTTGCACCGCCCTTAATCCATTTAACCCTGAGTTGACACAGCACATGTTTCAGAGAGCACAGGGTTGAGGGTAAGGTTATAGATTAACAGCATCCCAAGGCAGAAGAATTTTTCTTAGTATAGAACAAAATGGTGTCTCCTATGTCTACTTCTTTCTATGCAGACACAGTAACAATCTGATCTCTCTTTCTTTTCCCCACATTTCCCCCTTTTCTTTTCGACAAAACCGCCATCGTCATCATGGCCCGTTCTCGATGGTCGCTGTCTCTTCAGAGCTGTTGCGTACACTTCCCAGACAGGGCAGCCTGGCAGAGGCGCTCCTCACCTCCCAGACGGGGTGGCCGGGCAGAGGCGCCCACTTCCCAGACGGGGCGGCCGAATCCCGGCTCTTTCATGTTTTAGCTGTTGGGCTTTGGGGAAGTTATTCTACCTCTTTCAGCCTGTGCACCCTGTCTCATCATTAAAAAATGAGAATGAGGCCAAGTGCAGTGGCTCATGCCTGTAATCCCAACGCTTGGGGAAGCGGAGGCAAGAGAATTGCTTGAGGCCAGGAGTTTGAGACCAGCCTGGGCAACATAATGAGATCCCAATCTCTGCAAAAAAATTTAAAAATTATCTGGGCATGGTAGCACACGCCTGCAGTTCCAGCTACTCAGGAGGCTGAGGTGGGAGGATCACTTGAGCCCAGGAATTTGAGGCTGTAGTGATTGCTCCACTGCGCTCTAGCCTGGGTGACAGAATGAGACCCTGCCTCAAAAAAAAAAAAAAAAAAAGTGAAAAGTGAAAATGATAATACCTACTATGAAGGATTGCTTTAAGAAGAAATGAGATGATGTACACAAAAGTACATCACATATCGCTTAGCATGTGGCTGAGACTCAGAAAAAATCCTGGCTTTGTTTTCCTGCATTGGGAGTTTATTGTTGTCAAAGTGATGGTTCCAAGAAGTCAAAGGAGAGCCAGAGAACTGGACAGCTCAGCAGCAGTTGGTTTGGGTCACCAAATGCCTCTCTTCCCTCCCTATTGCCACTGACTTAGATCCTGGAGATGTAAGGTTTTAAAAACAGCAGCCTATTATCTTTTATTTTTGGTAATCCTTGTAACCTGGTTCCCTATCTTAATGAAAAAAACCAATGGTTCTGGCTTTATTACCTAAAGAAAGGAATGACAGTATAATACCAATTATAAATAAATGGGTCAAATTTTTGGCTTTAGAGTTTCAAAGACTTATGGCATTAAAAAAAAAAAAAAAGAAAAAATGGACCGGGCGCAGTGGCTCACGCCTGTAATCCCAGCACTTTGGGAGGCTGACGCGGGTGGATCACTTGCAGTCAGGAGTTTGAGACCATCCTGGCCAACATGGTGAAACCCCGTCTCTACTAAAAATACAAAAATTAGCCGGGTGTTGTGGCACGTGCCTGGAATCCCAGCTACTTGGGAGACTGAGGCATGAGAATCCCTTGAACCCGGGAGGCAGAGGTTGCAATGAGCTCACTGCACTCCAGCCTGGGCGACAGAGCAAGACTCTGTCTCAAAAAAAAAAAAGAAAAGAAAAGAAAAAAAGAGAAAATGAAGAGTTCCTTTTCTCAACACTCTCATCAATACATGCATGCACACACACTCTTGCATGCAGCCATGAATTCTCATGTGTGCATACACACATTCAAAGGACTAGATAAAGATTCTCCAGACTTTGCAATAGGGAAGTCAGGTGGAAGCAGGGAGCTAGAATGGATAATGTATGAAGAAACTATTAATGTGTTTTTTCCTTTTATACTCTTTTGCCTTCAGCAAGTAAATGACCTCTTTCTTATTTGGTTGTGGCATCAAACTGCTTGTGAGGAGATTAAGATTGTTTCAGAAGAAATATAAAGAGAAGGAAATGGTAATATGCATCTATTGAAATTCAAAATAGGATTTTGCAGCAAGACAATGGACTTGAAAACTGGACTATGAGAAAGAAATTGTTTTCTGCATTCATTTAGCTCCCATTTAACATAATCAAGAGCCAGATCTAGAATCAAGTTTCTACCAAAGGAGGAGGTAATTTAATCTCTCATCTTTGATTTCCTATATGTCCATAATGAGGATAATAACAGCTACCTCAACAGATTGTTTCCAAAGGGAACCCTTGTCTTTTGAAGTGGCAATTAGAGCTAGGAAGCCAAAGATAAGATATGAAAAGAATAAAAGAGAAGCCTACCACTTCTCATCTTGGAGTTTCAACAAGACGAAGGCAGGGAGGTGAGAGTCAAGGAGATGCCTTGGAATTGGGGGAATGGCTTCAGAAACATCCAGAAAACAGAAGAGATCACTGAAGCTGCTACAAAATTTTGCCCATTGTAGATAAGTGGGCAAATCAGGATGCACTGGCAGGGAGACAGGGTCTGTTTTGTGTTACCAGCCCTTTTCCAGTGATGGGTATTGAATTGAGAGCCATGGGCCTGCCATGGGGCATGGGGGGTAGGAAGAGGGTGACCTGGCAGCAGAGGCATGTGGTTTGCATAACTTGGTTAGGAGCTGAATGGGAGACATGGTAGAGATTCAGGGGTCCCACTGGGCTACCGAGAGCCACAGGGAGGTTGAGTCAGCCAGAAAGCACCAGTGAGATCAGATCCAGCCAAGAGATCCACGAGAAACTCTAAATGTTGACTTTAGCCAAAGGCCCCCAGGATGAATGTGACCAAGTACATACTGACTCATAAACCGGAGGAGCTGGAGGACACTCTGAGAACCCAAGGACCCTTGCTGTCCTCCTATACCTGTCCCCAGGAGATTGCTTAAGCCACTCTATTTATTTTCATGCTCATGGGTTTGTGAGTTGTCTGTGGTTTGTCTAATCAGGCTGGGCTTGACAGGGCTTGGTAGGACTCCTTTAGTCCTGGTCCAGTGTCTATTCTGGGTCACAGCTGAAGGGGCAATGGATATCTGGAATTTGCCTTTCTCTTGTCAGATCACAGGAGTGCAAGAGGCCAAGCCAAACTACAAAAGCACATTGAAAGCATCTGCTTGCATCGTGTCCTCTGACATTCTGTTGGCACAAGCAAGTCACACAGCAAAGGGGATGGATGTACACTTAAATAATAAGGAGGAAGCAAAGGATTGGGAATAACAGTCCAAACCACCACAGGGCCCTACCTACCCCCAAGAAGTAATATCCTCAGATTGATCTGGGAAATCCAAGAGCAGATGATGTTTCCCATGTGCCAAGAATATCAGTGGAGTATCACACAGAGGGCCCCAAAAGCCAGCACGCCAAGGATGATGGAGCAGGATGAAGAGACCCTGGGTCTTAGATAATATCGTTAGGGGGCTTACTGGCTGCTGACCTCCGGACATTTTTGAAATATGAAACAATTAAATGTCTTTATTAACTGACATTATTAGCTGAGTTTTCTGTTGCTTTCATCTGAATGCATCCTCACTGTTGCAGGACTCTATTTTTATTTTTATTTATTTATTTATTTTTGAGATGCAGTTTCACTCTTGTCGCCCAGGCTGGAGTGCAATGGTGCCATCTTGGCTCACTGCAACCTCCACCTCCCGAGTTCAAGTGATTCTCCCACCTTAGCCTCCCCAGTAGCTGGGACTACAGGCATGTGCCACTATGCCAGGCTAATTTTGTATTTTTAGTGGTGACAGGTTTCACCGTGTTGGCCAGGCTAGTCCTGACCTCAGGTGATCTGCCCACCTCGACCTCCCAAAGTGCTGGGATTACAGGCTTGAGCCACCACGCCCAGCCTTGTTGCAGGACTCTTATTAACCCTATTTGTCCATGAGACCCAGAGACATAAAGGCGGGAGTTTGGGTTTTTTGTTTTGTTGTTTTTTCAGGCAGCCCTCTGAACCAAAATGGGTTCAGAGAGACTCCCTGGAGGTTGGGTTTGATCTCAGACTTTGTCTCCAGAGCACATGCTTTTACCCACCATTGTGTTATCCTACCTTCCAAGCTTGCGTGAGGCTGAAGTGTCTTATGTACTTGTAGTTTATTCAAAGGATAAAGTGGTAAAATGCCCTCATAGTGAAAAAGTGAAAGGTCTGTGCATGGCAGTAAAAAAGTGCCAATGTGACCTTGGTCTGGCCGGTAGCTGGTCAACTCAGGAAAGAGTCAGCTCCCAGAGACCCCTACTCAGTTGTAAGGCTTGTCTTGGGATTGCCCCAGCTTTACTCAGAGAGGAATGTTGTAGTGAAGGTGACTCCATCCAACAATTTAGTCAAACCTGCTTGCTTGAATCAGGCCCTCTCAAGTACCTCCTCCCTTCATTACTCTATTCTCCTTTGAGATACTGGGAAGGAAATTTAGCAAATAGCTGGTCTAAGCCATCAGCTCTCAGATCCACTCTATAGATTAAGATATCTGGATCACATGGAAATATTTGTCTAAGTTGATACCAGGGACAGACCCAACCATGGTCTGCCCCCCAGGAGGTGCTCAGTCAGGATTTACTAATAAACAAACAAACCATCATCTAGTATTAAGGACTGATGATTGTCACTAGGATCCAGCGATAACTTGACTTAAAGTTCTATTTGCCAGAATATTCAGGGTTATTGACATTCAAGGGAACTGACTGACGCTAGCCAAAGTCACACGAGACTGATAGGTAAGCTAGAATACCTGGGACATTGATTTTTCCAGTGAGTAGTGAATTCTTGTTCCTCAGCCTAAGGCACTTCCTGGTACTAAGGTGCAGATGCAGACTAAACAAGATGATTACCCAACATGAGCCAGAGGGTCAGAACCTGGTGAGGGAAGTTTCTCCAGGGCCCTGCAGAAGCCACTGAGCTATCCGTGCCTTGGGTGGATTTAGGAATTTTGAAAGTGTGACTTAGGCCGGGTGTGGTGGCTGACGCCTGTAATCCCAGCACTTTGGGAGGCCGAGGCGGGTAGATCACGAGGTCAGGAAATCGAGACCATCCTGGCTAACACGCTGAAACCCCGTCTCTACTAAAAAATACAAAAAATTAGCCAGGCGTGGTGGTGGGCGCCTGTAGTCCCAGCTACTCGGGAGGCTGAGGCAGGAGAATGGCATGAACGCGGGAGGCGGAGCTTGCAGTGAGCCAAGATCGCACCACTACACTCCAGCCTGGGCGACAGAGTGAGACTCCGTCTCAAAAAAAAAAACAAAACAAAAACAAAAACAAAACAAAACAAAAAAACTGGAAAATCTAGTCCTGCCCAAGCTCCTCTCTCTGTCTTTGAGGGGAGCCAATCTCCAGAAATCGCTGCTGTCTTCCCCATTACCCTGCATGGCTGCTGGCTCCCAGGTGACCATCCCAGAATCTCCAAGTGTTCAGGGCCACCTCTGCTGCATCTGCCAGAACTCCCAAGCTTCACTGACCTCCTATGATGATGGGGCCCCTGGTGCTGACACAGCTCAGCCTCTTTATGAGAGGCTCCTGCACAGAGGGACCAGGACTGCACTGACACCTCCTTGCCTAGGGCTCTGCTTCCACAGCTGGGCTGTAGCCCTTCTTTCTTCCAGTCTTCTCCTTTGTTCTGAAGCAGGAGGACTTCCCAGGGCATTCCAGTTTGCCGTGTTTCTTTCACTCATTCCGCCAAACATATTTATTGGTGGCCAATTTTGTGACATCAATGTGCTAAGCACTGGGGTAGTGGTGAACAAAAGTTAGGTCCCTGTCCACGTAGTTTAGGGTCCAGCTGAGAATACCAACATTTAATGAGACATCACAATGAAATGTGCTGAGAGTCATGGAACAGAGACACCTAATCTAGTGGGAGAGAAAGCAAAGCCCTTTCTAACAATGTGAAGTTTATGATGAGAACTGGAGAATGAGTAGAAATTAGCCCCGTAAAAGAATGGGGGCGAAGAGGCTTACTGTTTTATACAAATTGCTTCCAATAGCAGAAAAATGCTTCATGAGATAATTACCTAGATACAGAGTTATAACCAACATTAAAAACAAAACAAGCGGCCAGGCGTGGTGGCTCACGTCTGTAATCCCAGCACTTTAGGAGGCCGATGTGGGCAGATCACGAGGTCAGGAATTCGAGACCAGCCTGGGGAAGCCAACATGGAGAAACCTTGTCTCTACTAAAAATACAAAAATTAACCGGGCGTGGTGGTGGGCGTCTGTAATCCCAGCTACTCAAGAGGCTGAGGCAGGAGAATCGCTTGGACCTGGGAGGCAGAGGTTGCAGTGAGCCGAGATTGTGCCACTGCACTCCAGCCTGGGCAACAGAGCAAGACTCCGTCTCAAAAACATAAAAAAAAACAAAGAAAAGAAAACTAAAAACAAACAAGCAAAGAAAAAAAAATGCCTTTCAAAAAGAGAGTATACTTTCAAACTATTTTATAAGACTTAATATAACCTAGTCTGGTAGCAGTGGCTCATGCCTGTAACCCCAGCATTTTGGGAAGCCAAGGCGGGTGGATCTCTTGAGGCCAGGAGTTCGAGACCAGCCTGGCCAACATGGCAAAACCCCATCTCTACTAAAAATTTAAAAACATTTTTTTAAAAAATTAGGCGACCATGGTGGCACATGCCTGTAATCCCAGCTATTCGGGATGCTGAGACACAAGAATAGCTTGAACCTTGGAGGTGGAGGTTGCAATGAGCTGAGATTGTGCCACTGCACTCCAGCTTGGGTGACAGAGCGAGACTCTTATCTCAAAAAAAAAAATTAATATAACCTCTATAACAATATTAGACAAAGACAGTGAAAGAAAGGAAAGCTATAGGCTAATCTCACTGACAAGCATACCTGGAAAAATCCTAAATAAAAGTTTTGCAAATGAAACCAAGCTGTGTGTGTGAGCATGTGTGTGTATTTGTGTACAATGCTAACTTGACAATGAAAAATAAAAAATCCATAAATAATGACTTATTTCACTTAGCATAATGTTTTTGAGGTTCCTCACCGTTGTAGCATATAATGTATCACTACCACATTCCTTTTTTTTTTTCTTTCCTTGAGACAGGGTCTTACCATTGCCCAGGCTGGAGTGTAGTGGTGTGATCATGTTTCACTGTAGTCTCCGCCTCCTGGGCTCAAGTGATACTCCAACCTCTTGCCTTCCGAGTAGCTGGGACCACAGGCACGAGTCACCATGTCCGGCTAATTTTTTTTTTTTTTTGAGGAAGCAATTTCTTTAATTTTATCAGAATCCAGGACACAAGAAGAAAAACACCCAAAAACCACATGGAGACAGAAGACAAGACACAACTCCTCCCCCACCGCCTCCCTGCTCTAGAGTGGGGACAAAGTGGGGGTGAGACAGCTGGGGGGAGACCTGAACCTCAGTCCAGCCCTACAGGCTCCAGGCCTGCAGGGAAGGAGGGTAACGGGGAGGCAGGGCCCAGCCCCCCAGTGTGGGGAAACAGCTGAGGGAAGGCCCCCCTCAAAAGGCTCCACCTCCTCACCAGCACTCCTGCCCAGGGACAGGGAGCCCACAGCAGCAAGGGGACCCCCGGGGCCATGGCCACGTTCATGACTGAGAAGCAGCTGAGTGGAGGCAGGAGACACAAGATTATCTGGGCAGAATCAGTTGGGGCAGGGGCCTGGGAGGGCCCCATGGGCCAAACCCTAAGGTTACAGGAGGGGGCCCAAAGTGGGGCTAGTGAGTGAGGTCCTGAGTGAGTGGGTCAGTGGCTGGGCCTCTTTCTCCAGCTGCCTGTAGCCCCTCCAATACTGCTGCCAGGGGGGCCCGCCTCCAGGGAAATGGGATAAGAAAGCAGCCTGCCCCTACTGCAGACAGAGCCAGGTGGCTGAGGCCAGGAAGGAAGGCCCAGCCAGGCCTTGCCACCTGCCCCTAGAGGCCTGTGGGAAAAGGACAGGTCAGGAAGGGTGGGGACAGGGGCTCGACCAGCTCAGACCCAAGATGGTGCCATGCTTACTTGCTGAGTCCCCCATGAGCTGGGGTACTGCACTGGGGCCAGCGACTAGTTAGACAGGAGGCAGCAGCTTCTCAAGAAATTCCTTCACAGCTGCCATCTCCTGAGGACAGGAGCTGTGCATGACACCCAGGTATGTCTGGAACTGGACCCTGGCAGGTGTGACAACAGACCGGAGCTTCTCAGCCATCAGGGCCCCAAACCGTACGGGCACCATGGGGTCCAGCTCCCCATGGCACTGGAGGATGGCCAGGTCCTTGGCACTGCCATTAGCTGCCTGGGGGAAGGCCCGGTGCAGAGGCGGCCAGCAGCTCAAAGCCAGGATGCCAGCCAGAGGGTGGGGGCAGGTGAGGGCCATGTAGAGGGACAGGGCCCGGCCCTGTGAAAAGCCTCCCAGGATGATTTGATTGGCAGGGATCCCGTTCTTCATTTCATGCTCAATCAAGGCCTTGATGTTCTCTGCTGCCTTCTTGATGCCAGCCTCGTCCTCTGGGGCATCTGGACTCAGCCCCATCAGGTCAAACCAGGAGGGCATCACCATCTTCATGTTGAGGGTCACAGGGATCCTAGGCTCATGGGAACAGATGTACTTGACGTGAGGGAGCCGAATGGTGGAGAGGGCGTCAGCCCAGCTGTGCCCTGTGTCTCCAAGTCCATGTAAAAAAATAACCACGGCCGTTTCCCGCTCAGCTCCAGACACGGTGGCAGCATCGTTGAGCAGGGGCACAGACATGGTGTTACCACACATACACCACACGGCTCCATGGCAGGGGCCTCCACTCCCTGGGACTTCTGAGGCCGCTTGGGTGATTCTCCTCTTTCTCCCGCAGACACACACTCTTCCCCCTCGGCCGCCCCCGCCGGAACACTAATTTTTTTATTTTTTTATTTTTAGTGGACATGGGGTCTCCCTATGTTACTTACCTAGCCTGGTCTCAAACTCCTAGGCTCCAGGGATCCTCTTGCCTCAGCCTCCCAAAGTGCTGGGATTACCACGCTCAGCCCATCACTCCCTGTGTTCCTTTCATTTATTTTTTTCTTTGAGACAGAGTCTTACTCTGTCACCCAGGCTGGAGTGCAGTGGTATGGTCATGGCTCACTGCAACCTCAACCTCCCAGGCTCAAGTGATCCTCCCATCTCAACCTCCCTAGTAGCTGGCATTCCTTTTTATGGCTGAATAATACTCCATTGCCTGTACAGATCACAATTTATTTATCCATTCATCAGTTAGTGGGCATTTGGGCTGTTTTCACCTTTTGGCTATTATAAATAATGTTGCTATAAACATTTGTATACAAGTTTCTGTGTGGATATATATCTTCATTTTTCGTGGGTATATACCTGGGAGTAGAATTGCTGGATCATCTCATAGATAAACAAAGCCAGACACTAGCTAAAGTGGTAAGGACAGGACAGGCACAGAGGCTCACGCCTGTAATCCCAGCGCTTTGGGAGGCCGAGGCAGGCGGATCACTTGAGGCAAGGAATTCGAGACCAGCCTGACCAACATGGTGAAACCCCATCTCTACTAAAAAACAAAAATTAGCTGGGCATGGTGGTGCACACCTGTAATCCCAGCTACTCAGGAGGCTGAGGCAGGAGAATCTCCTGAACTCGGGAGGCAGATTTTGCAGTAAACCAAGATTGTGCCATTGCACTCCAGCCTAGGCCACATAGCAAGTCTCCGTCTCAAAATAATAAATAAATAAATAAATAAAAAGTGGTAAGAACAGATTTTAATCAGTGACATATTATTGCAATAGGGAAAAGAGCCTAGCTTGAACTGAACTCAACTTTGATTTGTAGAGATAACTGGGCATTTTAAAGCAAGAATGAAAGAACAGAGAGGGTGAGTGGGGACTCAATGACGTCAGAGAAGTGACAGATTACAAAAAGTGGGAAGGGGGTTGGTCTGTGTTAAGCCCACCTGGCCTTGTTAGCTGGGGCTTATCATTAGGCTCCTACACTCTCACAGCAGCTGGGAAACAGGGGCCTTACCTTCATCTGTGGGCTGGAACAAACAGTACATTCTTTTGGCAGCCTTGAGTTCTCTCAGTCAGACACTTTAAAGGGCATTAGGGTCATCCTAGAGATGTGGCCTTGAACTGTTAGAAACTATGTTAGTGTTCATGAAAGTCTTTATCAAGTCGGACGCAGTAGCTCACGCCTATAATCCCAGCACTTTGGGAGGCCGAGGTGGGCGGGTCACTTGAGGTCAGGAGTTCGAAACCAGCCTGGCCAACATGGTGAAACCCCATCTCTACTAAAAATACAAAAAAAACTAGCTGGGCTTGGGGGCAGGCGCCTGTAATCCCAGCTACTCAGGAGGCTGAGGCAGGAGAATTGCTTGAACCCGAGAGGTGGAGGTTGCAGTGAGCTAAGAACGGGCCATTGCACTCCAGCCTGGGGGCAACAAGAGTGAAACTCTGTCTCAAAAAAAAAAAAAAATCCTGGTTTTTTTTTTTTTACCTTTTTTTTTTTTTTGAGACGGAGTCTTGCTCTGCTGCCTAGGCTGGAGTGCAGTGGTGCGATCTCGGCTCACTGCAACCTCCGCCTCCCTGGTTCACGCCATTCTCCTTCCTCAGCCTCCCAGGTAGCTGGGACTACAGGCGCCTGCCAACACACCCCGCTAATTTTTTGTATTTTTAGTAGAGGTGGGGTTTCACTGTGTTAGCCAGGATGGTCTCGATCTCCTGACCTCGTGATCTGCCCGCCTCAGCCTCCCAAAGTGCTGGGATTACAGGTGTGAGCCACCGTGCCCAGCCCCTGGTTATCTTTTTGTACCTTTTGAAATATATGTAAATATGCTGGTTTTGCAAACATTAAATTAATAATAAAAGCCATGCCATAGCAGACTACATCATATATAGGTATATAACCAATAAAGAATTACTGTCTAGAATTTACAAAGAACTCCACAAATCGATATGAAAAAGACAACCAACCCAAGAGAAAAAAAAATTTAAATATAGGAAAGACAATCCCTCAAAGAGAAAATAGAAAATGCAAATTAATACTGACATTTTGGGCTTCAAAAAAAAGCAAATTAAAATAACGACAAGGGCTGGGTTCAGTGGCTCACGCCTGTAATCCCAGCGCTTTGGGAGGCTGAGGAGGGTGGATCATGAGGTCAGGAGTTCAAGACCAGCCTGGCCAAGATGGTGAAACCCCATCTCTACTAAAAATACAAAAATTAGCCAGGTGTGGTGGCAGGTGCCTATAATTCCCGTTACTCAGGAGGCAGAGGCAGGAGAGTTGCTTGAACCCAGGGAGGGGGTGGGGGCGCAGAGGTTGTAGTGAGCTGAGATCATACCACTGCACTCCAGCCTGGGCAACAGTGAGACTCCGTCTTAAAATAAATAAATAAATAAATAAATAAATAAATAAATAAATAAATACATACATACATACATAAAATAAAATAACGATGAGGTGAAAAAAATAAAATTAATAAAATTAAAAATAAAATAATAAAATAACAAGGCGACATTCATTAAATTGGCAAAGACAGGTTTGGGAATATCAGATGTTGCTGAAGCTCCAGGGCAACAGGGACTTTCTTCTAGTGGATGGGAGCGTAAACCAGAAAAACCACTGTGGAGACCATTTGGCAATATCTAGTAGAGTTGATAATACAACTCTACTTATGAGCTTATACCCAGCCTTTCCCACATTTGCTCAAGAAGGCATGCAGAAGTATGTTCATTGCAGCATTTTTTAATATAACAGTATATAAAGTAATTGGAAATACTTTAAAATCCATAAACAGAAGAATGGATACATTATTTGTGATATATTTATATAATTGAATATTAAAGAGCTGCGTTATCCCACATGGTAGCAATGAGCCACATGAGGCTATTTAAACTTAAATTTAAATAATTAAAATTACGTCTATGTTTCACATTTTAAAAATTTAAATTTAGTTCCTTGGCCAGGCACGGTGGCTCACGCCTGTAATCCCACCACTTTGCCGAGGCGGGCGGATCAGGAGGTCAAGAGATCGAGACCATCCTGGCCAACAGGGTGAAACCCCATCTCTACTAAAAATACACAAATTAGCTGGGTGTGGTGGCACATGCCTATAGTCCCAGCTACTCAGGAGGCTGAGGCAAGAGAATCGCTCGAACCCTGGAGGTGGAGGTTGCAGTGAGCTGAGATCACGCCACTGCACTCCAGCCTGGCGACAGAGCAAGACTCCGTCTCAAAAATTAGTTCCTTTGTCACATTAGCCACATTTCAAGTGCTCAGTAGCCACATGTGATTAGTGAGTACCCATATTAGACAATGCTGATATAGAAAATTTCCATCATTGCAGAAAGTTCTATTGGACAGCACTGTTCTACAACATAAAATGAGCTAACTGGGTCTAAATATTTCAAAAAGAAAAAAAAACAAAAAACATCAAAATATAAGACTCAAAAATATGAAGTTCATCAGAAAAAGAAGGCAAGTTGTAGAACACATAGAATATCCTCCTATTTAAAATTTGGTACAGCATGATGACTATAGTTAATAACAATGTATTGTAGGCGCGGTGGCTCACACCTGTAATCCCAGCACTTTGCAAGGCTGAGGAGGGCAGATCACCTGAGGTCAGGAGTTCGAGACCAGCCTGGCCAATATGGTGAAACCCCATTGCTACTAAAAATACAAAAATTAGCTGGGTGTGGTGGTGCGCACCTGTAGTCCCAGCTACTTGGGAGGCTGGGGCAGGAGAATCTCATGAACCCGGAAGGCAGAGGTTGCAGTGAGACGAGATCACACCATTGTACCTCAGCCTGGGCGTCATAGCAAGACTCCCTCTCAAAACAAACAAAGCAAAACAGGCCAGGCATGGTGGCTCACGCCTGTAATCCCAGCACTTTGGGAGGCCGAGGGGGGCGGATAACGAGGTCAGGAGATTGAGACCATCCTGGCTAACACGGTGAAACCCCGTCTCTACTAAAAATACAAAAAAAAAATTAGCTGTGTGATGGCTGACGCCGGTAGTCCCAGCTACTTGGGAGGCTGAGGCAGAAGAATGGCATGAACCCAGGAGGCGGAGCTTGCAGTGAGCCGAGATCGCGCCACTGCACTTCAGCCTGGGTGACAGAGCGAAACTCCGTCTCAAGAAAAAGACAAACCAAACCAAACCAAACCAAACCAAACCAATATATTGTATTCTTGAAAAATGTTAAGAGATTGAATGTTGTGTTCTCACCACAAAAATGGTAATTATGTGAGGTAATGCATATATGTTAATTAGCTAGAATTAGTCATTCCAAGTTTATATATGCTTCAAAATAGCATGTAATACCTATGGAAACTAAGAATTAGGCTGGGCACAGAGGCTCACACCTGAAATCCCAGTGCTTTGGTAGGCCAAGGCAAGAGGATTGCGTGAACCCAAGAATTTGAAACCAGCTTGGGCAACATAGGCAGGCCATGTCTCTACAAAAAATACAAAAAATTAGCTGGGAGTGGTGGCTGGAGCCTGTAGTCCCAGCTATAGGCTGAGGTGGGAGGATCACTGGAGCCCAGGTGTTTGAGACTGCAGTGAGCCTTGACTGTGGCAGTGCACCCCAGCCTGGGAGACTTGTCTCAAGAAAATACTGAAAATAAAAATAAAAAAGCAGGCCAGGCGCGGTGGCTTACGCCTGTAATCCCAGCACTTCGGGAGGCTGATGTGGATGGATCACTTGAGGCCAGGAGCTCAGGAACAGTCTGGACAACAAGGAGAAACCCCATCTCTATCAAAAAATACAAAAATTAACTGGACATGGTGGTGCATGCTTGTAGTCCCAGCTACTCTGGAGGCTGAGGCATGAGAATCTCTTGAATCCAGGAGGTTGAATTTGCAGTGAGCCAAGAAGATCACTCTACTGCACTCCAGTCTGGGTGACAGAGCTAGAATTTGTCTCAAAAATAAATAAATAAATATTTAATAAATAAATAATCAAACCAAAACCAAACCATCATGTCCTATATGATAAATATGTAAAATTTATCTGTCAGTTTAAAAATAATAGGCTGGGCACATTGGCTCATGCCTGTAATCCCAGCACTTTGGAAGGCCAAGGCAAGTGGATCACCTGAGGTCAGGAGTTTGAGACCAGCCTGGCCAACATAGTGAAACCCTGTCTCTACTAAAAATACAAAAATTACCTGGGCGTGTAATCCCAGCACTTTGGGAGGCCGAGGCAGGTGGATCATGAGGTCAGGAGATTGAGACCAAAAAAAAAAAATTTTTTTGAGACAGAGTACTCTGTCACCCAGGCTGGACTGCAGTGGTGTGATCTTGGCTCACTGCAACCTCTGCCTCCCCAGTTCAAGGGATTCTCCTGCCTCAGCCTCCCGAGTAGCTGGGATTACAGGTGCCCACAACCATGCCTGGCTAATTTTTGTATTTTTAGTAGAGATGGGGTTTCGCCATGTTGGCCAGGCTGGTCTCGAACTCCTTACCTCAGGTGATCTGCCCATCTCGGCCTCCCAAAGTACTGAGATTACAGGCGTGAGCCACCACACCTGGCCTCTAAGAACTCTTTTTTTTTTTTCCGAGACGGAGTCTTGCTCTGTCACCCAGGCTGGAGTGCAGTGGCCCGGCCATAAAAACTCTTGAACAAGAATGGATGGGGGCTGGGCACGGTGGCTCATGCCTGTAATCCTAGCCCTTTGCTGAGGTTGGCAAATCACTTGAGGTCAGGAGTTGGAGACCAGCCTGGCCAACATAGCAAAACACTGTCTCTACTAAAAATACAAAAAGTAGCCAGGCGTGGTGGAAGGTGCCTGTAATCTCTGCTACTCAGAAGGCTGAGGCTGGATAATCCCTTGAACCCAAGAGGTGGAGGTTGCAGTGAGCCGAGATCTTGCCATTGCACTCTGGCCTAGGCAACAGAGTGCAACTGCCTCTCAAAAGAAAAAAAAAAAGAATTGATGGGTTGGCAGGGTACTGACACTTGGAGGTGCTGGGAGGGTGGTGCCCAGATGGGCCATGGAAGCGCCAAGCCTCTTCCTCCCAAAAGCTCACCCTATGCATCTTTTAAATCCAGCTATTCATCTATATCTTTAAAACGTCCTGCATAATTAAGTGATAAACGTGTTTCCCTGAGTTCTGTTAGCAATCCTAGCAAATTATGAAGCCAAGGAGGGGGTTGTAGGAACCCTGATTTATAGCAGGTTTGTCAGAAGCACAGATCACAGCCTTGGTCTTGGAATTGGCATCTAAAGTGGGAGGCAGTCTTTTGGGACTCAGCCCTCCCCCTGTGGAATCTGATACCATCTCCAGGTAGCTAGTGGCTGAATTGAATCAAATAGGCCACTCAGTATTTGCTGGATAGTTAACTGTTTGGTGTGTGGAGAAAAAGTCCCATACATCTGGTCACAAGTGTTTTGTGTTGTGTGAGCAGACAGGGAGGGTCTTCAGGGATTACAGAAATTTAATCACCCTGAGCAATTGGCTTGTTTTACAGCCTCCTGCCGTGCAGCCTCTTTTTTCCTAAACCCTGTGTTGACTGCAGTCACCTAGTTGGTTAAAACTGGCTCCTGGCAGACCCCAGAAACTTGTAGATAAACCTGAGTGAAAGTTCCTCATTACCATGCTGAAATCTCCATCCTGGGAGGAGCTGTGGCTTCATTCTCATAGCATGTGACCTGTGTGCGGGCGTGAGGATTCACTGTGTTTCCAAAACTGGGACCCCTCCTCTACATGCAATGAGGCACCCTCTCCCCTCCCCATCACCCCCTAAAATCCTCCTGTCACTTCTCTCCGGGAGACACTGCTTTGAAGAATCCTCCCAGTGCTCTCCTTACTTGTAATTAAACTCCTGTTGATTAAAACCTGCCTTGTGGAGAGTCATTTGTTATTTGCCAGGCAAACAAACCCTGTTTTTTTTCAGGTAACAAGAGTATGGTGGAAGAAAACAGTTTAGGTCAGGCACAGTGGTGCATGCCTATAATCCCAGCACTTTGGGAGGCCGAGGCAGGTGGGAGGAACACTTGAGCCCAGGTGTTGGAGACCAGCCTGGGCAACATAGTGAGACACCCCCCAACTCCACCCCCATAAAAAAAAAAAGAAAAAAAGATGTAATCCCAGCACTTTGGGAGGCTGAGGCAGGCGGATCACTTGAGGTCAAGAGTTGGAGACCAGCCTGGGCAACATGGTGAAACCCCGTTTCTATTCAAAATATACAAAAATTAGCCAAGCATGGTGGTGGGCGCCTGTAATCCCAGCTACTCCAGAGGCTGAGGCAGGAGAATTGCTTGAACCCGGGAGGTGGAGGTTGCAGTGAGCCGAGATCCTGCCATTGCACTCCAGCCTGGGTGACAGATCGACACTTAGTCTCCAAAAAAAAAAAAAAAGAGGCCAGGCACAGTGGCTCACACCTGTAATCCTAGCACTTTGGGAGGCCGAAGCGGGTGGCTCACCTGAGGTCAGGAGTTTGAGACCAGCCTGGCCAACATGGTGAAACCCCATCTCTACTAAAAATACAAAAATTAGCCGGGTGGGGTGGCACGGGCCTGTAATCCCAGCTACTTGGGAGACTGAGGCAAGAATTGTTTGACCCGGGAGGTAGAGGTTGCTGTGAGTTGAGATCGTGCCAATGCACTCCAGCCTGGGTGACAGGGTGGGACTCTGTCTCAAAAAAAAAAAAAAAAAAAAAAGTTTGTGTTTACAGTTGTATAAGGAAGTGGTGTCTGTGAGGTTTGCTGAGGCTCAGAAATTAATACCCCAAAATATGCCAACATGCTGAACTGAAGAAGAAACTTCAAGGTTTCTCTGACCTCTCTTCTCAACCAGCTCTCCCACAGGCAGGATGAGTTATTCTCTGAAGTTCCTTTATCTGCTTCAAGTCCAGACATACCACAAAGAATAATTGTTTTCTCTTCCCCTCCCTGTAAGATCAGGAATGGAATCACACCTGAGCAGGTCCTTTCCCAAAAGAGTCTGTCTCTCAGCTCATTCACATTCCACAGGGAACTATTCAAAACTCAATCTCTATCTCTGGGCCCATTCATTCTCCCTAATAATCGCCTATGGCCCCTCAAGAGAATTCCTGTTCCCTATCCCATAACCTGTTTTGCCAGGATGGTAAATAAGCTCCTGAACCCTGTTGTGGATTGGTTAATCACTCTGTGGTTCTCTCTGTGTACACATTAATCCATTTATATGCCTCTTCTCCAATGCACCTTTTTTTGTTTTGTTTTGTTTTGTTTTGTTTTGTTTTTTGGACAGACTCTTGCTCTGTCGACAGGGCTGGAATGCAATGGCACAATCTCAGCTCACTGCAACCTCCACCTCCTGGGCTCAAGTGATTCTCCTGTCTCAGCTTCCCGAGTAGCTGGGATTACAAGCACACGCCACTGTGCCCAGCTAATTTTTATATTTTCACCATGTTTCCAGGCTGGTTTTGAACTCCTGACCTCAGGTGATCCACCCGACTCAGCCCCCCAAAGTGCTGGGATTACAGATGTGAACCACCGTGCCCAGCCTGCATCTATCTTTCGTGAGTTAATTTTCCAGCCAACCTTCAGAGGGCGAAAGGGAAGTTTTCCTTTGGCCCATACAGGTTCATTATAGCTATTCTATGTAGTTTTCTACTTAAGTATGTCATAATTTCAAAAGAGAAAAAGAGAAGGGAGAAAATTGTTCTAAGCTTTCAATGTGAAGGCCTGGCACTTTTAAAGAATAACAGCTTCTGTGGCCAGACTTTTAGTATCAGTATGGACTTTCCCTGGAGAAGTCCAGCCAGATGGGCAGACTGGGCAGATGCTTATACTGATTAGCTAGATTTAGCTAATGGGCAGAGCCGTCACAATGCACTGGTTGAAATGGTGCAAAAAAATAATGTAAGGCTTTTTTTTTTTTGGTACAGGATCTGGCTCTGTTGCCTATGCTGGAGTACAGTTGCTCAATCTTGGCTCACTGTAACCTCCGTTTCCTGGACTCATGCCATCCTCTCGCTTCAGCCTTCTGAGAAGCTGGGACTACAGGAATGCACCACCACACCCGGCTAATTTTTGTATTTTTTGTAGAGATGGGGTTTCACCGTGTTAACTAGGCTGGTCTCATAACCGCCCAATGTGTTTACCTTGCCCGCTGCCTAGACAGAGCCGATTTCTCAAGACAGAGGAATTGCAATATAGAAAGAGTAATTCACGCAGAGCCTGCTGTGTGGGAGACAGGAGTTTTATTATTACTCAAATCAGTCTGCCCAAGAATTCGAGGAGCAGAGTTTGTTTTTGTTGTTGTTGTTTTGTTCTGTTTTTTGAGATGGAGTCTCTCTCTGTCACCCAGGCTGGAGTGCAATGGCAAAATCTTGGCTCACTGCAACCTCCACCTCCCAGGTTCAAGTGATTCTCCTGCCTCAGCCTCAGTAGCTGGGATTACAGGCCTGTGCCACCATACCCAGCTGATTTTTGTATTTTTAGAGACAGGATTTCACCAAGTTGGCCAGGCTGGTCTTAAACTCCTGACCTCAGGTGATCCACCTGCCTCAGCCTCCCAAAGTGCTGGGATTAGAGGCACGAGCCACCTCGCCCAGCCTGGGGAGCAGAGTTTTTAAGGACAACTTGGTGGGTCAGGGGAAGCCAGTGAGCCAGGAGTGCTGATTGGTCAGAGATGAAATCATAGGGAGTCTAAGCTGTCTTCTTGCGCTGAGTCAGTTCCTGGGTGGGGGCCATAAGATCAGATGAGCCAGTTAATCAATCTGGGTGGTACCGGCTGATCCATCAAGTGCAGGGTCGACAAAATGTCTCAAGCACTGATCTTAGGAGATGTTTAGGGAGGGTCAGAATCTTGTAGCCTTCACCTGCATGACTCCTAAACCGTAATTTCTTTCTTTCTGTTTTGTTTTCTTTTTTTTCTTGAGACAGAGTTTCGCTCTTGTTGTCCAGGCTGGAGTGCAATGGCGCAATCTCGGCTCACTGCAATTTCTGCCTCTGGGGTTCAACCCATTCTCCTGTCTCAGCCTCCTGAGTAGCTGGGATTACAGGCACATGCCACCACGCCCAGCTACTTTTTGTATTTTTAGTAGAGATAGGGGTTCATGATATTGGTCAGGCTGGTCTCGAACTCCTGACCTCAGGTGATCCGCCCGCCTCTGCCTCCCAAAGTGCTGGGATTACAGGCATGAGCCACTGCACCCAGCCTAAACCATAATTTCTAATCTGTGTTAGTCCTACAAAGGCAATCTAGTCCCCAGGCAAGAAGGAGGTCTGTTATTGTCTTTGTTTTAAAGGGCTATTAAAACAAAGGGAAAGGGCTATTATTGTCTTTGTTTTAAATTATAAACCAAGTTTCTCCCAAAGTTAGTTCAGCTTAGGCCCAGGAATGAATGACAGCTTGGAGGTTAGAAGCAAAATGGAGTCGGTTAAGTTAGATTTCTTTCACTGTCTCAGTCATAATTTTGCAAAGGCAGTTTCAGTCTCTAACTCCTGCGCTCAAGCAATTCACCCACCTCGGCCTCCCAAAGTGTTGGGATTACAGGCATGAGCAACCATGCCCAACCTGTAAGGCCTTTTTAAAAAAATATAAAATCAGATATGAAGTTTTCTTTGGACTGGGCGTGGTGGCTCACGCCTGTAGTCCCAGCACTTTGGGAGGCTGAAGCACGTGGATCACCTGAGGTCAGGAGTTCGAGACCAGCCTGGCCAACATGGTGAAATCTCATCTTTACTAAAAATAAAAATAAAAACTATCCAGCCGTGGTGATGGGCGCCTGTAATCCCAGCTACTCAGGAGGCTGAGGCAGGAGAATCATTTGAACCTGGGAGGTGGAGGCTGCAGTGAGCCGAGATCTCGCCATCGCAAATCAGCCTGGGCAACAAGAGGGAAACACACAACTCTGTCTCAAAAAAAAAAAAAGGTTTCTTTGAAGAATTGTTGCCAGAAAGTGGTCATGATCCAAACCCCAAGAGAGAGTTCTTGGATCTCATGCAACAAAGAATTCAAGGCAAATCCATAAAGTGAAAGCAAGTTTATTAGAGAAGTTAAGAAACGAAAGAAGGTTACTCCAAAGGCAGTGCAGCCCTGAGGGCTGCTGTTTGCCCATTGTTAAGTTATTTCTTGATTATATGCTAAACAAGAGGCAAATTATTCATGCCTCCCCTTTTTAGATCATATAGGGTAACTTCCTGATGTTTCCATGGCATTTGTAAACTGTCAGGTTGCTGGTGGGAGTGTAGCAGTGAGGACAACCAGAGGTCACTCTCATCGCCATCTTTGTTTCGGTGGGTTTCAGCCGGCTTCTTTACTGCAACCTCTTTTATCAGCAAGGTCTTTGTGACCTATGTCTTGTGCCGATCTCCTATCTCATCCTATGACCTAGAATGCCTCAAGTGTCTGGGAATGCAGCCCAGTACGTTTCAGCCTCATTTTATCCAACCCCTATTCAAGATGGAGTTGCTCTGGTTCAAATGTCTCTGACAGAATGGAAGTCCCCTTTCTATTTGTTTGTTTTAAAAAATAAAGTCAGGCCGGGCGCGGTGGCTCATGCCTGTAATCCCAGCACTTTGGAAGGCCGAGGCAGGCGGCTCATGAGCCGGGCGTGGCGAGCGCCTGTAGTCCCAGCTACTCGGGAGGCTGAGGCCGGAGAATGGTGTGAACCCGGGAGGCGGAGCTTGCAGTTAGCCAAGATCGCACCACTGCACTCCATCCAGCCTGGGCGACAGAGCGAGACTCCGTCTCAAAATAAATAAATAAATAAATAAATAAATAAATAATTAATTAATTAAAAAAATAAAAAATAAAGTCAGAGTTTCTGCTATATTGCCCAGGCTGGAGTTCAGTGACTATTCACTGACGAGATCACTGTGCACTATAACCTGGAAATCCTACAGTCTTGAACTCCTGGACTCAAGGGATCCTCCTGCTTCAGCCTCCAGCGTAGCTGGGACTACAGGCACGCACCACCACATCAGGCTCAGAAGATCACTTTTAATTAGCAAACGGCTCACTAGCAAGATTTGAAAAACTTCAAAAAGCTAAGTATAACTCTCAAATCGAATGCATTTTTACTTTGCACATACTGTTCTCAAGATTCTGGCATCCAAGAAAAAAAAAATAATACTTCTCCTAGGGCTAATAAATTTGTAAAGACTTGCTATTACATGACTTGTTTCAAATGTTTGCAGCATATTGTTTATATAAATTATAATGGTTTCCGTGAAATTTAATAATGGTTCAAAATTTGTATCATTTGAGATAAGTGAGGCATCAGTGAATTTACTATGCTTTTCCCACGTTGTGTTATATTCAAAGACAAAAATCTATGGCTAGGTATGGTGGCATACGCCTGTAGTCCCAACTACTCCTCAGACTGAGGCGAGAGAATCGCTTGAACCCGGGAGGCAGAGGTTGCAGTGAGCTGAGATCGTGCCACTGCACTCCAGCCTGGGTGACAGAGCAAGACTTTATCTCAAAA
Organism: Homo sapiens; assembly: GCF_000001405.40. Lineage (NCBI taxonomy): Eukaryota > Metazoa > Chordata > Mammalia > Primates > Hominidae > Homo > Homo sapiens. The sequence continues at coordinate 4,790,385 of NT_113891.3, forward strand.
ATTTAAAAATAGGCCGGGAGCAGTGGCTCACACGTGTAATCCCAGCACTTTGGGAGGCCGAGGCAGGCGGATCACGAGGTCAAGAGATTGAGATCATCCTGCCCAACCTGGTGAAACCCCGTCTTTACTAAAAATACAAAAATTAGCAGGGCATTGTGGTTCGCACCCGTGGTCCCAGCTACTCAGAAGGCTGAGGCAGGAGAATCGCCAAGATCACGCCACTGCACTCTGGCCTAGGCGACAGAGCAAGACTCCATCTCAAAAAAAAAAAAAAAAAAAAATAGAAACACAGTGGCTCACACCAGTCAGTAATCCCAGCACTTTGGGAGGCCAAGGCAGGTGGATCACGAGATCAAGAGTTCGAGACCAGCCTGACCAACTTGGCAAAACCCCATCACAAAAAACAAACAAACAAAAAAACTCTCGGCAAAACAGAGCAAGGCTCCATCTCAAAAAAAAAAAAAAAAAAAAAAATTAGCCAGGCGCGATGGCGGTTGCCTGTAATACCAGCTACTCAAGAGGCTGAGGCAGGAGAATCACTTGAACCCGGGAGCTGGAGGTTGCACTGAGCTGACATCGCACCATTGCACTCCAGCCTGGGTGACAGAGCGCGACTCTGTCTCAAAAAAAAAAAAAAGAAAGTGATCACATTTTGGGAATGCATTGACTATACCCTAAAAAGCTCAGGAGAATATACAGTTGAGGCTGGGTGTGATGGCTAACGCCTGTAATCCCAGCACTTTGGGAGGGCGAGGCAGGTGGATCACCTGAGGACAGGAGTTTAAGACCAGCCTGGCCAACATGGTGAAACCCCATCTCTACAAAAATACAAAAATTAGCCGGGCATGATAGTGGGTGCCTGTAATCCCAGCTATTTGGGAGGCTGAGGCAGGAAAATCGCTTGAACCCGGGAGGCGGAGGCTGCAATGAGCCGAGATGGCGCCATGGCACTCCAGGCTGGGTGACAGAGCGAGACTCCGTCTTGAAAAAAATGACATCACTATACTTCACATGGGCTCATTTATTGTCATTATTATTATTATTTTTTGAGACAGAGTCTCACTCTGTCGCCCAGGCTGGAGTGCAGAGGTGTGATCTCGGCTCACTGCAACCTCCACCTCCCGGGTTCAAGTGATTCTCCTGCCTCAGCCTCCTGAGTAGCTGAGACTACAGGTGCCCGCCACCACGCCCAGCTAATTTTTTGTATTTTTAGTAGAGACCGGGTTTCACCATATTGGCCAGGATGGTCTTGATCTCTTGACCTCGTCATCCGCCCGCTTCGGCCTCCCAAAGTGCTGGGATTACAGGTGTGGCGCTCATGTATTTTGTAATATATTTTCTTTTCTTCTTTCTTTTTTTTTTTTGTGTGTGTCTGTGTGTGTGTGTGTAGAGGCATGGTCTAAATATGTTGCCTGGGCTAGTCTCAAACTCCTGGGCTTAAGTAATCCACCCACTTTAGCCTCCTAAAGTGTTGGGATTACAGGCATGAGCCATTGTGCCCAGCCTGTTATAGACTTTAAAATAAATTTGTTTATGTATTTGCTTATACCCTGCACACCCTAAGTGCAGTGTAGCCTCAACATGTCCAAGCAGAGCCCTTGACCTTCTCCACAAAACTCCTCCTCTTTTGGTGCCTGTCTCCCTGTGACTGACTTTGCCAGCCACCCAGTTGCTCAAGCCAAAAATCTGACATTCTCCCTCCAACTACCTTCTCTGCTCGCCCCACCCATTTCATGTCTTATCCATCTCCAGGTCCTGCTGGTTCTGCCTGTTAAGAACCTTCCACATCTCTGACCTCTCTGCATCTTCACAACTACACTTTTGTTCAGGTCCTCTTGCCTCTTGCCTGGATGACTACAGTGGTGTCCTAACTATCTTTCCTCATCCTCACCCAATTACTGCCAATCTATTCTCCATTTTGTAGCTAGCGTGTTCTTTCAAAAATGCAAATACCTTCACATCACTGCCTAAATTAAAGAGCACCCCCTCTCATTGCTGAAGTGTAAAGTCCCATGATCTGATATGTTCCCTTATCAACTAACAAGGGCCCTACAGTTAAGAAAACCAAAGTTACTTCTGGCTGGGAGTGGTGGCTCATGCCTGTAATCCCAGCACTTTGGGAGGCTGAGGCGGGTGGATCATGAGGTCAGGAGTTCAAGATCAGCCTGACCAACATGGTGAAACCCTGTCTCTACTAAAAGTACAAAAAATTAGCTACGCATGGTGGCGGGCGTCTGTAATCCCAGCTACTCAGGAGGCTGAGGCAGAGAATTGCTTAAACCTGGGAGGCGGAGGTTGCAGTGAGCCGAGATCGCACCACTGCACTCCAGCCTGGGCGACAGAGGGAGACTCCATCTCAAAAAAAAAAAAAAAGAAAAGAAAAAAAGAAAACTAAAGTTACCTACAGGTAGAGGGTTCAGAGTCTGGCTGGCATGGCAAATTTCTAAATTCCTATGGCTATAAGAAAAGCCATAGTCTTACTATAAACTCTCTAACAATAGGGAGTTAGGAGCTATCAGACCCCTCTTAACTATGATTTACAACCCAGATCACTACAACTCCGAGTAGACGAAGGACAGGCCTTCCAAACATTCTGTTTTTATTTTATTTTATTTTATTTTATTTTTTTGAGACGGAGTCTCACTCTGTCGCCAGGCTGGAGTGCAGTGGTGCGATCTTGGCTCACTGCAACCTCTGCCTCCCGGGTTCAAGTGATTCTCCTGCCTCAGCCTCCTGAATAGCTGGGACTACAGGTGTGCCACCATGCCCGGCCAATTTTTTTTGTATTTTCAGTAGAGATGGGGTTTCACCATGTTGGTCAGGCTGTTCTTGAACTCCTGACCTCAGGTGATCCACCAGCCTTGGGCTCCCAAAGTGCTGGGACTACAGGCGTTAGCCACCATGCCTGGCTGAATGTGATCGCCTTCAATGATGGCAGCACCCCTACATTTTACACAGGACCACCAGTAGGGTGGATAGGTGAGCGGCCTGTAGGTGGAATGAGAAGGGCAGTCCCTTTCTTTTCCTTCTTTTTTTAGTAGAGAAGTGGTCTCACTATGTTGCCCAGGCTGATGCTGAATTCCTGGTCTCAAGCAATCCTCCCACCTTGGCCTTCCAAAGTGCTGGGATTATAAGGGTAAGCCACTGCACCAGGCCAAGCAGTCACTTTGACATAAAGAAAGTCCATCCCTTGACCAGCACAGCTAACCTGGGAGAGCAGAAGGTCAGCACATCAATTGAAGAGAAGAGAGGACATTAATGGGAAGAGCCTGTTGGGTTGTGGAACAACCTTCCTGAAAGCTTTGAGAGGAGATAGGCAGAGCTATTCCCAGAGGACAATCTGGCATGTAGCACAGAGGCTGTGGAGTGGATGGGATGACTTTCCTGGGTGCCAGTGAAGCATGTGGCGCGACACCATCAGTGAGGGACACACAGGACGAAGGACTCCTTTGACTACCTGCCACTCTAAGGTAACAGAGATACCACCACAGTTGGAACACAAAGAATGGGGGTGGGGGAGCCATCACTAGGACCCACACATACAGCTCAAGCTTAAGGGTCAAAGTGGACCAGCCGGTAGCCCAATCATGTGCGATCCATAAAAGAAATACCTCTCTGCTAGCAGAATTGATCCTACAAGGCTACAGAACCCCATGAGCGCCCAATGGGAGCGAGTTCTCTGCTGGCACAGGCTGGCCCTTGGCTCTGTAGAGTGACTTAGGAAATTTCAAGGAAGATACTCCAAAGTGCAGAGTCCCTTCAAACACAGGGTCCGAGGCAGGGCCCAGGCCACTCAGGCTACTCCACGGTACTCTGTGGAGGCATAGCAACAATGTCTAGGCTGGGTGCAGTGGCTCATGCCTGTAATCCCAGCACTTTGGGAGGCCATGGAAGGCAGATGGCTTGAGTCCAGGAGTTTGAGAAATAACAGTGGCTTAAACAAGAGACAAGTGAATTTTTCCTGTAAGCAAATTCTGAGATAACCAGTCCAGGACTGGTGCAGAACTTCCAAGATTACCAGGAAGGCAAGACATTTCTAATTTGTGGTTCTTTTTTCTTTTTCTTTTTTTTTTTTTGAGATGGAGTCTCACTCTGTCGCCTAGGCTGGAGTGCAGTGGCACAATCTTGGCTCACTGCAAACTTCCCCTCCCGGGTTCAAGCGATTCTCCTGCCTCAGCCTCCCAACTCCCAAGTAGCTGGGATTACAGGCACATGCCACCACGCCCAGCTAATTTTTGTATTTTTAGTAGAGACGGGGTTTCACCGTGTTGGCCAGGCTGGTCTCAAACTCCTGACCTCAGGCGATCTGCCCTCCTTGGCCTCCCAAAGTGCTGAGATTAGAGGTGTGAGCCACCACGCCCGGTGAAGCTTGTGGTTCTTCTATTCTCAACAAATGGCATGGTTTGACGGGGAAGGGCATACTCCTTCCTTTAGGGCTCTCCCTGAAATGTGGATATATTACTTCCATTTGTGCTCTATTGGCCAGAGCACTGTCCATTGCCATACCTAGTCTCAAGAGAGGCTGGGAGTTGAGATCTTTTTTGGTGGCCATGTGTCTTGCAAAAAAAAAAATCTAGGGTTTATTAACAGGAAAAGATTGGAGAAACAATACTGGGGGGAAACTAACAGCCTCTATCAAAGGCTCAGTGTCAGTATCAGTATTATGCTCAGCTGTGAGAGGCTGGACCAAGGTTGAGAGCCTGAGCCACAGCACCCTGTGTGGGCAGGACACCCCTGGGCAGGCCTGTAGCACTCGAGGTGGCCGGGCAGAAAACCTTGCCCTGTGGGGATCTCTATAGCAGATGGTGGCAAACTGCATGATGCAGAAGAAAAGGAGTGTTTACTCTTTTTCCCCATGTTGCCCAGGCTGGTCTTGAATTC